>NC_000011.10:117172424-117475454 GCF_000001405.40 Homo sapiens | reverse complement strand
GAGGAGAAGAATAGAGAAAGATAAGGCTGGGGAGGTGAGCAGGAGCCAGATGTTGCAGGGCCTGGGTCAGGTTGTGAAATTTTACCTTTATCCTGAGAACAAGGAACAACTATTGAAGAATTTTATGTTAGGAATGGCAGTATCAGATTTGTGTTTTGAGAAGACTACTCTCAGACTCTCAGGGCCAAGATGGAATGCTCACCTGTAAGAGGAGCTCGATTGTATTTGTAGAGTGGACAATGGCCGCAGTGTAGAGAACAGATGAAAGAAACAGGGTATGCTGAGCACGTGGAGAGCTAGGGAAGAGGCCATTTCCCTGGTCTAAGGAGGGATGACAGTGGCTAAGCCTGAGGTAGAGATGGGGATGGAGGGAAGCGGAAGGATTCAAGAATGACACAGAGGCCAGGCGCGGTGACTCACGCCTGTAATCCCAGCACTTTGGGAGGCCAAGGTGGGCAGATCACGAGGTCAGGAGATCGAGACCATCCTGGCTAACACGGTGAAACCCCATCTCTACTAAAAATACAAAAAAATTATCTGGGTGTGGTGGCATGCGCCTGTAGTCCCAGCTACTCCGGAGGCTGAGGCAGGAGAATGGCACGAACCCGGGAGGCGGAGCTTGCAGTAAGCCGAGATCGCGCCACTGCACTCCAGCCTGGGCGACAGAGCGAGACTCCATCTCAAAAAAAAAAAAAAAGGAAAAAAGGAATGACACAGAACACAAAAGCTATCCCACTTGATAAGGAGAAAGGGAGAAGGAAGAGTCAAGAAATTGATAATGGTGGTGCCATTCAAGATAGAACCCAGGAAGTTGCTGGGTAAGCAGGGTGTATGGTCAAGAGTTCTGTCTTGGACAGGTTGAGTTTGAAGTGTCCATGAAACATCCAAGATGAGCCGTCAACTAAAAACTTGGCTATAAGGTCTGGAGTCGGAAGGAGAGGCCCAGGCTGGATATTAATCTGGGAGGTATCTGCGCAGAGATGAAAATAGAATGCATGGTTGGGGAAAGTGCATGGCAAGAGAGAAGGAAGCCTCGGGTGGAGGCTTGAAGAACTCGAACCATTCCTGGTAGGGTAGAGGGGGATGCACCTGCACAGAGACAGAGAGAAGCTGGCCCAAGAGATAAGCAAAAGGCCAGAGAGTGTTTTATTATGGAGCTGAGTAGGGGGATGTTTCCTGAAGAAGGGAGAGAGGTCCAAGTGTTGAATACACCCAAAAAGCCAGGAGAGAAATTGGGTTTGGTGCCGCGAAGGTCACCTCTGCTGTGGAGATGGAGCACTGATGTCGCAGGAGGATGTGAGGAGTAAATGGTGAGCATTTAAATTGCCCAACGCTGCACCTGGCACACTGCAGGTGCTTGGTAAATATTAGTGCCTCTTCTCCAGACACACCGCCCCAGTCTCCTCCCTCTGCGTGCACTCATCAAAAATGAATGCACTGACTTGTGCTCCCTCTCCCTCTCCTATAAACATGGGCACATCAGATGTGACTTATGAGCTGGCGCCAGCTCCCAGGATGCCACAGAGAGAAGGGAGCACCTGCCTCCACATGACTAGCCTGTTCTGTCCCAAACCCACAAGCAAGTGCCCACAGCAGGTAGGAGCCTGCATATTTGCAATTCCAACTTAACCTGCCAACCACAAAGTGACCCTCCCGTGGTTAGGGTGTTTTAAAATACAAAGAGAAAATAATGTGTTTTTGAGCACCAACAGCCTGCCATTTTGTTTCTCTGGCTCGTGAAACCAAAGAATTAAATGCAAAACTACAGATGGGGAGCTGGGCCGGTGCCCTTCACAGATGCTAAGCCTGAGCAGCTATAAGTGGTGTTTTGCAAACCATCAAGATCTCAACTAACCAGAAATTGGAGGCCTGGGACATTGTCTTCTGGTGAACCAATTCTCCTGATTTATCAGGCATTACGTTTTTCTGTTTTGTTTTGTTTTGTTTTTTTCATTTTTGAGATGGAGTCTCGTTCTGTTGCCCAGGCTGGAGTGCAGTGGCATGATCTTGGTTCACTGCAACCTCCACCTCCCGGGTTCAAGCAATTCTCCTGTCTCAGCCTCCCAAGTAGCTGGGACTACAGGCACCCACCACCACGCCCGGCTAATTTTTGTATTTTTAGTACAGACAGAGTTTCACCATATTGTCCCAGCTGGTCTCAAACTCCTGACCTCAAATGATCCACCCGCCTTGGCCTCCCAAAGTGCTGGGATTACAGGCATGAGCCACTGTGCCTGGCCTATCAGGCATTAGTTTTAACCAAAAAAAAATTTTTTTAGTCTTTCTAGAATGTGCTAGCCTCCTTTCCTGATTTAGGATTTAAACTGTGGTGAATACAACTTAATCTTTTCTATGGAGAATTTTTCACGATACTCTACTGTGGGTTTAAAGGCATAGAAAATTAGACGGAATAGTGACATCTGGACTTGCCCTGGGAACATTTTTCAGCCCTACTATCAGCTTGTTTCCTTGTGATTTGCCTTTTTTTCTTTTCCAAGTAAGGTGCCAAAACAGTTATTTGGTTAAGAATCCCGGGTGTGGAAGGTCCTAGCTGAGGCATTTTTAATTGCAACTCCTTCCCGTTTCCTCTGGAGACCCCTAATAGGTGCGCAGCCAAAACATATTTAACAAATGACTGGATTCCTCTGGAGATGCAGGGTGTTCACCATCACGATATGTTCAGTCACACCTGAATGGTATTTATCTGGTATTTTCCACCTCCTACAATTTTGCTAAACATCAGCCGTGAGATAGACTACCAGTCTCCCTGGATAAATCGTGAACATGTTAATCTCTTTGGTGGCCCCTAACCCTAATGACTCTGAAACCATCCTCCTGTCGATGAAGGAAAGAGGGTAGGGTTTGGACTGGGGACTCTGGTACTTGGCCTGTCCCCCTCAACCCTGACATATAACACTCAAGTTCATCACCTCACAAGTGCACAAGGAAAAGAAAGACAGAAGCACACACAAAAGGAGGAGAAAAGGAGAGGAGACTTAGCCTCCTGCTTTGCATGGGGGCCACTGGGTAAATGGGGTGTCTCACTGTTAGACCAGGTCACTGATGTGAGGGGAGACCCAGGAAGAAGGGCACTGGCCAGTCAGACCCTCAGGGATAGCAAACAGATGGTGATCTTGGCAGGGACCTTGGGGAACGTCTCGTCCGACCTCTGCCTGAAGTTTGAGCTTACAGGCTGGCCAGTGGCAGAGGAGAGTCAGGCTTCTCCCAAGCTGGAGCTGCATGGGACAGACCCCTTGCACCGTCTGTGAAGTTGTTCAGGCCTGTGCCCTCTCTGCAGTCTGTGTGAGCTGGACCCCTCGGGCATCCAACTTAATATTGGGTTGTACTGGTACTTCAGGCTGGGAAGGGGTCCTGGAGTTTGCCTGGCCATGCTTTGACATAGGTGTCTTCTCTCCAGATTCCTGGGACTTCAAGCAGTCCACACGCAACATCTCCCCCACCATCAACCAGGCCAACATTGTGGACTTGCACCCGGCATCTGTGTACAGCATCCGCATGTACTCTTTCAACAAGATTGGCCGCAGTGAACCAAGCAAGGAGCTCACCATCAGCACTGAGGAGGCCGGTGAGCACCTCACCCAGCCTGCCCTGCCCATGGCCTCAGGGATCAGGACCACCAGGGGCCTACAGCGATCCTGTTCACTGGCAATGAGCTTGCAGTTAAAGGGGGTGGCGTGGGGAAAAGCATCCTAACAGATGTTTGTGTCCACCTCTGGATCACTGCAGGCTCCTATTTGACCCTTTTCCAAGCGGGGTTCTAGATACTGGGTTTGGGGGAACTATCTGTGGTTCTGCCCCACTCCCCTGGCCCCAGCATCTGGAAAGATCTATCTGCAAGATAGGGTACTAGGGCCTGGATCATTTTCTATGACCCTCATCATAGAGTTTTCTTGAAAGTTTAAACAAGGTTTATCTTGCTATGTTTTCTTTTGTTATCATGTAATACAAAATAATGCAGAAGAGGCCGAGAGTGGTGGCTTATGCCTGTAATCACAGCACTTTGGGAGGCCAAGGAGGGTGGATCACCTGAGGTCAGGAGTACGAGACCAGCCTGGCCAACTTGGTGAAACCCTGTCTCTACTAAAAATACAAAAATTAGCTGGGCGTGGTGGCGCATGCCTGTAGTTCCAGCTAATCAGGAGGCTGAGGCAGGAGAATCGCTTGAACCTGGGAGGCAGAGCTTGCTGTGAGCCAAGATCGCACCACTGCACTCCAGCCTGGGCGACAGAGGAAGACTCCATCTCAAAAAAAAAAAAAATGCAGAAAAATACACATGACATATATGTGCAGTTTTATAAACAAGCATAAGGTAAACAATGAGTATAACCAACACTCATCATCCATTAGCCAGCATGGCAGAAGTCCCCCATGTACCCCTTTCTGGTCATAACACCACCCCTCCTCTTGAAGTAATCAATATCCTGATTTTTGTGATACTAATTTTCATTCTTTTTTGTACTGTCACCACAGTGTATATGCAATAAAATGTATAATTTAGTTTTCCCTATTTTCCAGTAGAATGTATTCATGACATCATACTTCATCTATTCTTCCGTGTCTTGCTTGTTTTAATCAATATTACTTTTGCAAGTTTCATTCATGTCATTAGCATAGCTATATCATTTATGCTTTTTCAGTGCTGTATAGTATCCATTATATGACTATACCACAGGGGATTTGTCCATTCTACTGTAGATGGACATTTAGATTGTTTGTAGCTTGGAGCTATTACAAAAATACTGCTATAAGCATTCCTGTATGCTAGTGTACCGGTTCATGAGTTTCTCTAGGGGATATAAGCAGTTGTAGAATTACAGAGTCATCAAACAGGCAAATACTTCTACCTTTAACAAAAAATGCTAGAATGTTTTCTGAAGTGTTGTGCCAATTTTCTCTCCCATGATCAGAGGATAAGAGTTCAGGCTCCACCCCCTGGGTTCATGCCATTCTCCTGCCTCAGCCTCCCGAGCAGCTGGGACTACAGGCGCCCGCCACCTCGCCCGGCTAATTTTTTGTATTTTTAGTAGAGACAGGGTTTCACCCTGTTAGCCAGGATGGTCTCGATCTCCTGACCTCGTGATCCGCCCGCCTTGGCCTCCCAAAGTGCTGGGATTACAGGTGTGAGCCACCGCGCCCGGCCTAGACATTCTTTTATGAAGCAGACACTTCATACTCTTCAACTTTTAAAAACTTTTGCCATCCTACTGAATGTACAGTAGTACCTTATTATCATTGTTTGCTATATTTTCAGCAAATTATAGAGAATGAAGAGGAAATTGAAACCCTATGTTACTTTCAGGGGAACTCAAACAAAAGTTCTCTGCTATCTGCATCTGAGCTTAGTCTTCTCCCCAGGAGCCCTCCAGCTCAGGAGGGTGGGAGTGGGAACATAGAACCCCTTCCTCTTCCAAGTCTTGACTTGTAATGTTTCTCCTCCCCGCTACCCTGCTCAGCTCCCGATGGGCCCCCCATGGATGTTACCTTGCAGCCAGTGACCTCACAGAGCATCCAGGTGACCTGGAAGGTAAGTGTGTCTAAGGCATCTCCCCTGGAATGTCTGCTTGCCTCCTCTCTCCTCAATCCAGGACGAAAGCTCCCAGCAGGCTTGCTAGTCTCTAGTCTTATATGATGCCCATGTCTGTTTTGTCACTAAACCTAGTGAGATTTGAGAGATGGAAGGAGAGGGAGGCAAAGGCAGGTCCCTCCAGCACAATAATCCCCACTTCCCTCTCCTCCCTGGTTCTCTGATGGAGGCTCTGCCTGGGGTGGAACGAAAAACTTGCAGTGCCAAGGAGGGAAGATGGTTCCTCGGTGGTGCTGGCCCGTCGTCCAAACCCCACATGTTGTAATAAGGTTGGAAGTAGGTTTGATTTTGTGCCAAGTTCCTCCTTTCTAACATCAGCATGAAAACAACTGCCCTCCCTACCTCTGAGGGTGGAGAAACTGTAGAGAAAAGAGACCACTATGTGCTATAGCCATTTCTAAGGGCAAAGACCTGTAAAATATAGGGGGTGACTGAAGCATCTGTCACTTAAGGAAAATCTTAGGGGAGATTCCACAGCTGGGCAGGGAAACAGAACAGAATGACCTTGAGCAGGACTCAGAAATGGGCATCTTCTGGCCCTACCACCAAACCCCTCCATGGGCATAGAAGGGCTGGCAATCCAGGGGCTTCCTGTCTCACTGCATCCTCCAGTCTCCAAGTGCTTTCTCTTTACCAACTCATCTGACCCTCTCCTCATTCCTGGGGAGCAGCGAGAGAAGGCACTTTTATCCCCTTCCACCAGAGGAGGCCATGGAGACAAGATGTGAGGTGGCCTGGCTAGCAGAGACAGAGCTCAGACTGCAACACAGAGTCTGCAGCCCCAGCCACTCTTCCCTCCACAGCCACTGCACAGGGCTCTGGATCAGAGAGCATTCTCAGGGCCTTCTGTGTTCTTCCTGGAGCTTTCCCATCTCAACAGTGGGGCTCGGGGGTTGCCTGTCTTAATCAGGGACCAATTGTCCACGGTGACTTTCTGACTCTCCGCCTGACAGGAAAAGCCCAGGTGCTTGAGTCCTTCTTCTGGGCTCTTTAGAAAGGTAGACTTGAGAGTGAGAGAGATTCAGAAGGACCTAGTGATATTTTTCCTAAGACCATGTGCACGCACACTCACACTCACACTCACACACATAGCAGCAGCCTGGTTCCTTCCCTCCCAGAGGCATGACCAAGAGGAAAGCGAGGTAGGGCTGGGCAGCTGGTCCTTCCTGGGGGCAGCCCACCTAGTGGATACCTGGAGCCAGGGTTCCTCTCCAGATTCAGATCTGGGTTCCAGGGCTCTCCTCAGAAAGTGGGGTGAGGCCGGGCATCCAATCCCAAACTCTTGGCTGCGTCCTGGCTGTGGACCTGTATCCTAGAAACACTCCAAGGCAGCCAGGAGGTGGGGGCAGGGATGAATAAATATGTAAAGTACTGAAACATTGGGCTACAAAGCTCTGACCCACAGGTCGATAAAAATTTAGAATCAGATTTATTTCTCCAAAGTCTCATAATGAAAAATAAAATTGATTAGAAAGTTAGAACTTCAGAATGAACCAGGTGGTCAATAAATTTTGGGCTGACTTCTCAGGGGATTTTTTTTTTTAACATTGAGAAACAGATTAATGAAAAATAAAGATTCACTTGAAGATAAGTCACTTCATTTTAAGACCCTTTCCACGAGATGGATCGCCCCTGCTTTATGACATAAATTTGCAATCAGCCCTATTGATTTCTTAATGCTTCAGAGAAATATTGTTAAGATTGATTTAAATCCTGACTGTGGCTGTTTGGAGAGGCGGGGGACAGAGAAGGAGAGAAAAAAAGAGAGAGGAAGGAGGCAGGAAGGATCTGTGAAGATTTGTATAAATATGTGAATCTATCTGGATGGATAGATTGGGGTGTGCCTGCATGCCTGTCTGAGACCTGTCAGTATATGTGGATGTGGTCACGTGTGCAGGTATATATCATGGTATACATAGCTCTGGGCATGTAGGCAATCTGTGGCATAGTATAATGATGTTCAATGTGTGTCAGTATAGATACACGTACATGAAGCGTGAGAATGGGGGTCGATGTGAAGAGGAAGGTCTCAGGCTCTTGAAGATACATTTGTATCTATAATGATGTCTGTGTGTATGTGTGTGTGCATAGACATACATGTGTAGATACAAGACCCAAATGTAAAAATGTGTCCACTTACAGAGCAGCAAGCAGAACTGCCCAAGTGCAGAGAGAAACATTCAAGCAGCAACAAAGAGTAAAGTCAATTAAACACACACACACAGACACACACCTATTTAGTGAGTCCAAAACAATTATGTTAAATTAAAAACTTCATTTTATTAACAGTGAGCTTAAAAATGCAGTTCATTTAAAACATTCATTGACTAGAAAAAAAAACAGTAGTGCTGTTTTACTAACTTAATTGTTTTTATCTCACTATTTTTTAGTACAATAAAAGGTGGGCTTTTAAATTAACTTCATTGTCTTTAAAACCCCGATTCAAGCTGTTTTTAAATGCGCTGGGGTGGGTGTTCTGTCTCAATTTATAGATGGGCAGGCCCGGGCATTAAAGGAGCCAGTTTCTATTTGCGGATCTAAATGTATCTGGTTGGGAGTAGGGGTGTGGATTAAGATGTTTGCTTTGATGGGTCTGGATACGTGTTCCTGGTTCTGGGTGTGAATGGATATATTGGCGGCGGGGGGAGGGGGGAGGTGTGTGTGCACGCGCATGCGTGCGCGCACCTGGCTGGGTGTCTATCAGGGTTCGAGCCTGGGATGAGAGTTTTCCAGCCCCAGACCGATGCCAGTGGAGTTTCTCCATTCGCCTGGCTGACTGGGCTCAGTCTTCATTCCCACCAGCCCCCTTCTAACCTCCAAGTCCTTGCCATCTCTGTGCCTCCATCCAGGGCTCATTCGGGCCTCAGCCTTCACCATTCCCCAATCCCTGGCCTTGGCGTCTGGGGCACTGCAGCCTTAGAGTTCCCAGAGGGGCTGCACCCAGGTGAAAGTCAGGGATCTTTTTTTCTCTAGTTTTAACAAAATACATATAACTTAAAATCTACCATTTGAACCATGTTTAAGCGTGCAGCTCAATAGCAGTAAGCACATTCACAATGTTGTACAACCATCACCACTAGCACTTCCAGAGCTTTTTCATCCTCTCAAACTGAAATTCTGTACCCATGAACCATGAGCTCCCCGTGAAAGCTCTATTCCACCCTCCTTTTGTTGAGACAGAGTCTCACTCTGTCGATCTTGGCTCACTCCAACCTCCGCCTCCCGGGTTCAAGCGATTCTCCTGCCTCAGCCTCCTGAGTAGGTGGAACTACAGGTGTGTGCTACCACACCCAGCTAATTTTTTGTATTTTTAGTAGAGATGGGGTTTCACCATGTTGGCCAGACTGGTCTCGAACTCCTGACTCAACTGATCCACCCACCTCAGCCTCCCAAAGTGCTGAGATTACAGGCATGAGCCACCGCACCTGGCCTTTCTATTTTCTTCTGATTTTGACTATTCTAAGTACCACCTAAGTGGAATCGGACAAATAGCTTTTGTCCTTTTTTGTCTGGCCTATTTCTCTTAGTGCAGTGTCTTCAAGGTTCATCCGCGCTGTGACGGATGTCAGTGTTTTCTCCCTTTCATGGCTGCATACTATCCCATTGTATTGCACTATCGTATTCTGCTTCTCCACTCATCTCCTGGTGAACACTTGAGTTGCTTCCACCTTCTGGCTATTCTGAATAATGCTGCTTTGAACATGAGTGTACAAGTATCTCTCTGAATCCCTGTTTTCAATTATTTTGGGCATAAACCCTAGGAATGGAATTGCTGGATGGTATGGTTATTCTATGTTTAGCTTTTTAAGGAACTGCCAAACTCTTTTCCATGGTAGCGGTGCCTCTTTCCATTCCCACCAGCAATGTACAGGGTCCCATTTCTCCATCCTCACTACCACTTATTTTCCATTATTGTTATAAGAGCCGTCCTAATGGATGTGAAGTGGTATCTTGGGACTCTTTCTTTTTATTCAAACTAATTGCTCACCTCCCTCTCCATCTTATTACTTTTTGTCTGCTGTTCTATTTTCCCCAGGCCCCTGAACCCATGCCAAATGATATCCCTATTCATTCATTCATTCATTCATTCATTCATTCATTCATTCAATATGTATTGAGGGCCCATAGTATGCCAGGCACCATTCTAGACACGGAGAGTGCGACAGTAACAAAGCGTCCTCACAGTGCTTCCGTTCTAATGCAGGCAGACAGGCAAATTTCACTAATGCATAAGTGAAATTTATAGACTGTCAGATGATGCTAAGTGCTGTGGAGGAAAATAAACCGGGAAGAAAAATAAGGAGTGCCAGAGAGAGGCAGGGAGCTGTCTTACATAAGGAGTTAAGGAAGGCCTCGTTCAGAAGAGGCATTTCGGCAAGGACGCGGCAGAGGGGAGGAGTGTTTCCCCTGAGATGGGGATGCGGCCAAAGAGGCCAGAGTGCTGGGGCGCAGGAAGCGAGGGGCACAGGAGAGGATCTGAGAGGTAATGGGAGGTCGGGTCACACAGGGTAGAGTAGCCATTGTAAGGACTTTGGCTTTCATTCTGAGTGAGATGGGAGCCTTTGAAGGGCTGGGGCAGAGGAGTGACATGATCTGACTTTGGTTTTAAGAGCATCATCTCAGCGTGTTGCCATTTCTTTGTGCCCACCCCCACCCCATGCTCACAGGCACCCAAGAAGGAGCTGCAGAACGGTGTCATCCGGGGCTACCAGATTGGCTACAGAGAGAACAGCCCCGGCAGCAACGGGCAGTACAGCATCGTGGAGATGAAGGCCACGGGGGACAGCGAGGTCTACACCCTGGACAACCTCAAGAAGTTCGCCCAGTATGGGGTGGTGGTCCAAGCCTTCAATCGGGCTGGCACGGGGCCCTCTTCCAGCGAGATCAATGCCACCACTCTGGAGGATGGTGAGGGCCCCAGCAGAAGGGAGTGGGCACAGATTCCTGCCATGGGCAGAGCCAGGGCTGCCAGAGAGGGTTTGTGGGTCCCTCTGTTTGCCCCTGGGCCCCATTTTGGTCCTGTGGTCCACGCAGGCTCCCTGCATCCCCGCCATCTCCTCTTGTCCATTAGCTCCTCCAGAGATGTATGGGCCATTCAGCATATCGGGCCTCTCCTTCCTTTTGACCGATGCTGTGCTCATCCGGTCTCTGTTGACCTGTTGGCCTGTCTGAGCACTTGTCTGTCCACCTGTCTCCCCATCCACGCTTCTCCCTTGGCCTTCCTCCTTCTTCCTGGCACGCTAACCCCTCTCTCTTCCCTCTACACCTGGGTCCTATTTGCCTTTGTGTTCTAGTCTGGAACCTGTCCACCATCTACCTGAGATGAGGCTGAGGAGTTAAGAAATCCTAACGTGCATGCGGCAGAGGATTTAGAGGATTTTTAAGTCTTCATTCTTCCATGACTGGAGAGAACCCCACACTCTGATTAGCACATCAAAGGGCCCAGTCTCTCCAGGAGGAGAGGGTTAGGAGGAAGCAGGAATATGCCTGCACTCCAAGCACAGAGAAGATGCCAGCTGGTACCTGAGCCCGCACCAGGTTGAGAAAAAGGACATGGCCCCTGATGCTCCCAGAGAAGGGGCCAGGCTGACCTCTGTCCCCTAAAGAGCAGAATAAAGAAGCAGCAGAGCATTCTTCCAAGCTTCCTTCTTGATGCCCCAACCCAAAGCTAGGGTCTGAGGCCAAAGCCCCCCGAGTCAGAGCCTACCCACCCCGCCCCAACAGAGCGAAACCAACAGTCCGGAGGGCAGAATGATATTTCCCTATTCCCATCAGGAGACCAAGCGTTTCACCATCAGAAAGCTATTCCTTTAGAGGAAGCAATGTCCTCCTCCTAGCTCATCCTCTCTGAAAATGCAGCACCCTGGGGATGGTGGACACATTAGGTCAGAAACACCTGAAAGTAGATTCGCTCATACCAATGGTTCCTAACGCTGGCCACCAGTTGGCATTATCTGGGGAACTTTCAAAATACTGATGCCAGGCTTCAACACCAGAGATTCTCATTTCATGATTCTGGGGCAAAAGCTGGGCTTTAAGATGGGGCCGACTTCAATAGCCCCAGAGCACTGAGCACCTGAGAAGAGGGGAGAACTGAAAGAAGGAAAGAGGCACGTGGCAGAGAAGTCCAGGGGGAGGGAGGAGAGCCGCACCACAACCAAGCCCTCAGCCCATGGCCCTCGCTATCCCTCTCCATCCCTCCCACCCTGAGATGCTGGCCTCGGGCCTGGCTGGATTGAGGAAGATCAGCTTGTCTCCTCTTAGTGCCAGGAGTGTTCATTTGAGCAGTGCCCTAACACCTGGTTCCCAGCCCTGAGCACAAAGCAGACCTCCTGGAGGTCTAGGAAATGTAGGTTGCTGGGCTCCAACCCCCAGAGCTTCTGCTTCAAGCAGGTCTGAGGTGGGGGCCAAGAATGTTCATTTCTAATCCGGGTGTCCAGCATGGACAATACAGCAAGACCCCATCTCTAAAAAAAAAAAAAAAAGGATGTATTATTTCTAATAAGTTCCCAGGTAATGCTGCTTGTCCAGGGAGCACCTTTGGGAATCATAGCACCAAGAGTCGCACAATTATCCATGAAGGGAGGCCAAGGCTCAAGGAGATTAAACCATCTAGAACCATCTATCCAGAAAACAACAGAGTCTGGATCAAAATCTCTGATTCCCATAGCCTTCCTGCTTCACCTTGTGCCTCCCTTTTGCTTGGGAGCAAGGCTGGATGCACGAACAAGTGACGCAGATGCAGGAGGCTTTAGGAAGGTGTGTCCAGGGAACAGTCGTGCTGAGCCGAGGCCAGCCTGCCCCACCTAACGCTAAGCTCCCATGCACCACCCGGGCCACGCCAGGCCCACCTCTGGCCTCTGTCCAAACATCACCTCCCTTGCCTCGTGGGGGGCCCCTGGAATTTCCAACAGGGAGAGATCAGCACAGGCTATGGAGTCATTTTCAAAACAGAGGAGAGGGGAGAAGAAAGTTTCCAGCAGCATTTGCTCAGCAGTTTTTCATACTTAATTAAGGCCCTCGTTAGCCTGTCAGATCCTGATCGTTTCCTGGCAATATTAGCACTCCTCCTGGGGTATTCAAGGGCCCCTGCTTTAGCAATAGTGTCTTTTCCATAATTATATTACCTTCATTTTGTTCGAATGGGCGATCTGTATTAGTTTATTACACTGGGTCCCTAATTACATGGTGCTTATATTTTTACACCTAAGTAATATGAAACAATAATCATTCTCAAAGAGGATCGTTAGGATGATGTATTATCATTTAAATGCTCATAAAAATTAGAGTTGCCTCTTGTGGGGCAACGGGATCTAATTTCCTTCCAGCCAGCCTGTGCATCCTTTCTTCCACTCGGAGCGAAGCAGACTCCGTCTTGCGCTTTGTCCCTGGCCCTCGGATGCCAGCAGGAAGTGCCACCAAAGCTCCCCCGAGCTGAGGTGGATCCTGGGGCGTGGGGTTTCGGAGGCCTGTCATCTCAGGAGGGGCAGGCTGCACTGCGCCCCAGGGTGAACCTCAGCTTAAACTCAAAGGTGGCTCTCAGAGGGAGAGTGTGACTGGCGGGAGAAGCACCTAAGCTGGTCTCAGAGAGGGTTTTCCCATCACACCAAGCCTTTTGGTGTGTTTGAATACAAGGGCACGAGCGAAGCTTTAATGGTCCCAGAGGTCCCAAGGTCCGGGTAGAAACTCCTCTCCTGCACCAGGGTTAGCTGAAGTCCTTTTCCCTTCTTTGCCTTCCCTTTAGCTTGGAACAAGGACACAGGAGTCCCTAGAACCAGGCCTTGGCCCAGACCCCTGGTCAGACGACACAGAGGGGCTGGCAGCCATCAGATGAGGTGATGCATTGCAGACACCTCCAGGGCTGGCTTGGTGGCCTTCCAGGTCTGTCATGTTCATCACAGCAGGATTTGCCTGGGTCGTGGTGGCCTGTTGGGGAATTCCTAGGGGCTCGTGCCCAGAGTTCCTCACCTTCTTCCCCAGGATTTAACCACAACCAGGAATGTGCTACCCAGAGAGCAAGGAACCAAGTCTGTAAAGATTTCTGTCTGCCCCAATCTCCAGGAAAGGAAACTCGGTTCACTTCCCAGCCTCCCTGCCCCAACAATCAGGATGCTCAAGTCAGGAGGTCCCCCCACTTGTCTAACTGGACGCTCCTCTGGTTGGACTGCGGGACCCAGCCTGGGACACAATTGCTGTACTGTCACTCACATCCATGACTGACTGGACCCTTGGTTCTCCCCCTACCCCCTGCAGTGCCCAGCCAGCCCCCTGAGAACGTCCGGGCCCTGTCCATCACTTCTGACGTGGCCGTCATCTCCTGGTCAGAGCCCCCGCGCAGCACCCTCAATGGCGTCCTCAAAGGCTATCGGGTCATCTTCTGGTCCCTCTATGTTGATGGGGGTGAGTCTGCTGGGACTGATGGCTGGGACTCAGGGGAGAGGCGCAGGTCAGTGGAGTCTGCTTCCAGGCGTAGTTAGAGCTGAGCATCCTCCCACAGCTTGGCAAGAGGAAGTGCAGCCCCCTCTTCTCCACACGGGGAGACCACGGGGGGCGATAATGGCTATAGGGGCCGGGGGAGAGTGAGGAAGGGGCTCGGGATTCACTTGAACACCTCCGTGTTCAACTGGGGTCAGAGCCAGGAGCAAGGTGGGGGGGTGGTACCTAGGGTGGCATCTCTGGTGAGGGGTGGGAAGGAGACACCTAGCTACTCCTGGACAACAGTGTGTGTTTGGGGAAGTGTTGGGGGCATGATAGGGGCAGATTGGCTTTTCTAGTTTCAGTGTTGATATTAGGCCTTTATGGCTATGTGAGCCAGGGACCGGTGGGGAATAGTCGGTACACTCAAATGGGGCGATCAAAGAGTTTAATGAAGGGACTGAGGAGGGAGGTGGGCACCTGGGACCAGCATCAGCAGGAAGCCATCAACACCTAAGGCCAAGGGGGAGAGGGAGGAAGCAGGGCTACCAGAACCCAGGGAGAGCCTCCCTTGGCCAAACCCAGCTGGAGCCAGGCACGCAGCAAGGCGTGTTTTCTGTGCAGACAAGCCGCCCGGGATCCAGAGAAGGGCAGAGAGGTGCGCACAGTGGAGCAGGGGGGTAGAGAAATGGCAAATGGAGAGAAACCAGTAAGATGGCCCAAACTTTTGAATGTCTTCCTCGCCCTGGAATGTGCAAACAGGTTTGAGTAGCTTCCCGCAGGCACACCAAGCTCCTGCCCACTGGTGTACACAGACCTTCACGTGACCTGGAGACTTGTAGCTCACACAGGTCAGAGGACAGGCATCCCATACTGTGGAAATGCTCCATTAAAGGCCTTAGTCATCTCAATAGACCACAAAGGACTAAAATGAGTTTGCCCCCCACCCAGCTCCTGCACTTTCTGCCTCCCAGCCCCCTGGGCCCTCTCTTCTTTCCTGGAGGACCTTGGAATCCAGCTCACAGTCATTTGTCCAGCGCTACTACGGTCCCCTCTCCCATCCAGATTCTGCTCTGCCCAGACACACTGCCAGTAGGAAGTGTCTTTCCCCACCACCACTTCCACTCTCTCCCACAAAAAGCAGAGGGCTCTAGCTCAGATTGAGCTCTCTGAAGGTCTCCCCAGTTCTTTTGCTGTGCAGTGTCAGGCCACGCTGCTCACAATGTGACCTCACTACATTCATATTTGTGTGGAACCAAGTAAAGGGTGGTTCCCTGTTTTCCAGAACTCGCTTCCTCTTTTCGAAGCCTGCGGGCTTCTCCAGCTTAGCCCCTAAGGAATGTATTAGCCTCAGTAATCCCCAAAGACAAGCTGGACTCCTGACCACGCTGCCCTCTTCCTGCCCTTTCTCTGGCTCCAGTCCTGGACAGGCCAGCCTGGTTTCTGACTCCAGGAGAGGAAGGCCCTGCTGCTCTGACCTCCGAGGGTCCTCCTTCACTGACCTGGAGTCTTCTCACGCTGGGCACAGCCTTCTTGCCCTCTGGATCCCAGCAGCTGCTGCTTTCCCTGGCTAGGCCCTCTGCCTTGGCCTTTTGCCTGCCCTGGACCATCCGCGAGGTGCTGGGAGGGGGGTCTCCAGGAACTCATGTCTACGAGGCTGGTCCTCAGCCCGTTGCTGGACCTGTCTTTCTGAAAGCCCAGCAGTCCTAGTGGGAGGCTCCAGAGTCTGTCCCTTTTCCTCCTCTTACAACTCTGGCCCCCATGGGACTCTCTCCCTAAGCTCCTCTTTAGAGTCTATGAGAAGGTCCTTGCAGGGCTGGGACGTTGGGTCCTCCCTGAGCCTCAGGAGTGTCCCAGCCCTTCCTGGCTAAGGCTATCGGCTCCACCAGACTCACCCAGGCTTTCTGTGCAGGGAATGGCTGGGTGTCTCCAACAGTGGGGAGAAGGCAGATGAGTCACTCAGCCCCTTACCCCAACTGGGAGTCCAGGGCACTGGCCCAGGAGTGGTCAGAGGCAGGGGAGGCAGCCTCAGCCTGTCACACACCATCCCCAGGTTGATAACTGCCCAGGGAGGTCTGGCGGCCCAAGGCGGGCTGGCCAGCAGGAAGAGTGGCTGCTGAGCTGTGCCTCCTGCACGGGACCTCCTCCATCCAGGTCCAAGCCACTCTGGGCTCTCCCATGGGAAGGGAGTTGGGTAGCGGGAGGGAGAAATGTTGCCTGGAGAGATGGAGAGAGGCGTTTTAAAGAGCGTGTCAAGGTGAAGTTGGTGCAAGGTCAATTGAGGCCGGGCCCAGGCCAGCATCTGTGGCTCGCCCTCACTGGCCCCTTAGAGAGACGTGGCCTGGGGGCAGTGGCCCGCATCTGCTCCTGGGTACCTTGAGGTGAAAGACCCTCTAGTCCTCGCCACCATGGAGTCGAGGGCTGAGCCTGTGCAGTAGGTGTGGGCAGAGCCCAGGCAGCAGGGGTAGCAGCAGGGGCCACAGCCCGATGGAGCTGGGTCCTCAGAGTTTGCTGGTCTCTGGCAGAGTGGGGCGAGATGCAGAACATCACCACCACGCGGGAGCGGGTGGAGCTGCGGGGCATGGAGAAGTTCACCAACTACAGCGTCCAGGTGCTGGCCTACACCCAGGCTGGGGACGGCGTACGCAGCAGTGTGCTCTACATCCAGACCAAGGAGGACGGTGAGTCCAGGCCTCTCCTTGGGACAGGCTGGCCCTGCCACCCACTGCTAACCCCCAGCCCCACCCCAGGAGGCAGGGTGAGAGCAGGGTACTGTCCTTTCTCCTGGCCTTCAAACTGTGGGAGAGTAGCCTTGAGGACTCTTGAGGGAAATGCTCTAGGATTCATGCGTGAGCAGATAAGCAACTGTGAACCTCCCTGCACCTCCCCCCGCACCCCCTACATACACACCTGCTCTCTGCAGCATTGAGTCAGAGGCCGGAAAAACCCTCTCCTCCCACACCATGGGCATTCTTTCTGTGGCATCTGCTCCCCTGCAAGATTCAGCCTGCTTTCCTCTGGATACACGCTGGGGCTAGGGGAAGCAGGAGCATCGCTCAGTACATCACGGGTTAGGGACTTTGTGGTCACCCCACAGAGGCCGCAGCATGGTCCTGGCCCTGGACTGTCAAGGCAGGGATGGGGGTGTGCCTCCATTTGGAGCTGGGTGATCTCAAAGCCCTTCCTCATGGGGCAGAACTGGAGGAAAGCCAGAGACAGAGGGCCAGACTCAAGGACAGAGTGACACGGTAAGGGCAGGGGAAAAGGGGAGGCTGGGATGAAGTCAGCCCAGGAGGAACAGGCCAGGAGAAGGACCAGGCTTCCACCCAGGCCTGGAGCTGCACTACCCCAGGGCCGCCAGGGAGGCACAGTGCATGAACAGCACACAGCTCTGGGCTTCCGCCTCCAGCCCCGCCACTTTCTTCCCCTCCCAGTACCAGCTCCATCATTTAGTTGTTTCACAGGTGAGTGCTCTGGGCCGGGTGCCCCGTTACTAGAAGAGGTGTGACAAACGACTGGCACACAGCAGGCACAGAAGCGGGAGACATCCTTGGCATGGTGGCTTCCTTTCCACTCACCCTTAGTTTTTTCGAGGGATATGGAGACCCAGAGTCTAGATCCTACCCAAACAATTTGGCTGAAGGCACTGGAAGGGTTTGACATGTTGAAAAGGAACGACTCGGCTGGGAGTGGTGGGGGAGAAGCTGCCATTGTCGCCCAGTGCCCGGGGACTGGACCAGCTCCCAGCTCAGCTTAATCTCCCGGCTCTCCCTCCCTCTCCACCTCCAGCAGGCCCCCTCTCCCTTTAAGCTCTGAGCAATTCAATATTTACCAACCTGCCTGCCCTACTTTTCCTGTCATTAATCCTCCCATCAAGGCCTCCTGGGACAGCTCCGGGCAGAGCCACCTGCTCCAGCGTGGAGACTGTGCTGAGATGGCATCTAGAGCCTGGTCCCATCTGAGGCCTCAGGGCCACACTCAGGCACCTTTTGGCCTCCAGAAATGAGCCCCTGGGGCCCCCAGCCTTCTTCTTGCCTCCTATTCTGATGCAAGGCCTGAGCTATAAGCACCTCCACCTGTTTAACTGAACAAGGCAAGGCCCTGTGAGGAACCCAGAGGTCTAGGGGCATCACCCCTCCCTGCAAGGAGCCTTCAGCCCTCTGCCCCAGAGCCACTCATGGTTATACACAGCAGGAGCCCGGGCCCAAAGCAGCACTGCCCCTCACCTTCGGGAGGCGGCGCCGCAGCATGGAAAAGGCGCTGGTAAATACAGCGGAAGTGCATGCCCCCAGCCTGGCATTCATGGGGAAGTCACTTAGCCTTCCTGAACCCCAGTTTCCTCATAACATGGGGAGAGTGGTACCTCATCAAGTACTAATACCACGTCTAAAATGTCAAGTACTAGCAAATAGCAGGTGCTTTATGGCTACCAAGGTGCTGGCAATGAAATGATTGCTTCAGGCCGGATGCAGTGGCTCACACCTGTAATCCCAGCACTTTGGGATGCCGAGGTGGGTGGATCACCTAAGGTCAGGAGTGCGAGACCAGCCTGGACAACATGGGGAAACCCCGTCATTACTAAAAATACAAAAATTAGCCGGATGTGGTGGTGGGCACCTGTAGTCCCAGCTACTCAGGAGGCTGAAACACGAGAATCGCTTGAACCTGGGAGGTGGAAGTTGCAGTGAGCCGACATCATACCACTACACTCTAGCCTGGGTGACAGAGCGAGACTCCATCTCAAAAAGAAAAAAAAAAAAAAAGAAATGACTGCTTCAGATAGCGGCATCAGGGCCTCCAAGGGGAAGCCCAGGCCACAAAGAACCCAGTGTCAGATGACGTCTCATCCAGAATAGCAGTCATAATATGACTTAACCTGCCCAAGAGCCCTGTGAGGGAGGCATTATTTCCATGTTACAGGGGAGAAAACTGAGGCCTTCAGAGTGAAAGCTACTTTCCAAATGCCGCTCAACTAACAGGTGACAAATCCAGGCTTTCTTGTCTCCGTATACTTTATCCTTTCCATCAAACTACTTGTGTCTGTTAGGAAGCTTTTTGTTGTGAAAGCCAGCAAAAACATTTCAGCAATAAGCACATTTATTATCACACATAGCAAGAAGTCCTGAGTAGGACAGCTCCAGGGTTGGTTAAGTCAGTGGTTCCCAGCCTTCTGCTCTGCCATCCTCTGAATATCAGCTGCCCCTGCTATGATTTCAAGATGGCTGCAGCCCTAGGCATCACACCAGGCAAGACAGAGTTCAGAGTGAGAAGAGGGAGTCTCTTCCTGCGGGCATGCCTCTCTTGGGAGTCAAAGTAACTTTCCCAGAAACCCCCTCAACAGACTTATCCTCATTTCCCATTGGTCAGAGTGGGGCCACATGCCTCTTGCTAAGACAGTCACCAAACGGGAAATGGAATTATCAGGACCGATTTACCCCAAGCACGACATACCCTCTACTGTAGGCAGTAGAGACAGCTGTCTCTGAAGTGTGGAGGAACACAGATACCTAAGCAAAAGTTAGGTTCTAATTGCAAGGACTAGGAGGGAATGGCAGAGGGTAGCAGTCAACTCTGCCTGTCCTCCACAACCACCCCAGCTCCACCAGGCTCTCCCATTCATAGGTGGAAGTTTTTACAGTTATTACTCAGTTGGCATGGAAAGCAGACAGATCTGTGGTCCAAGTCCAGCCCTGGTATGGGAGCTTTTGCAAATATCCTCATCTGAAGACACCGTGATCCCACCCTCAGGATTTTGCATTTTTCTAAAGGAAAAACAATATCAGGAAATTTAGAAAAAAGCAAAATAAATTTAAAAGAACAAAATGCAAACATAAATTCAGGTTTATTTACTGAGTCCAGATCTCAGTCTGAGCGTGGTTTCAGGCTGGCTTGGCTGGACCCAATTCATGAGTTCCAGTGCTAACTCCTCAACCTCCCCCTGTGAATACCAAACCTAGCAATATGACCTCCACATGCAAAGCTGACTTGGATTTTAAACCACTTTAAAGACCTTTAACTGAGGAAGAGGCATGACTAGACCCATGTTTTAGGAAGGTAATTCTTGTTGATGGCAGGCAAAGGGTGGGTAATGAGGACTAGTGTCAGAGAGACTGGTTAGAACCTGTTAAGGCAGAGACGAGGAAGTTATGTACTAGGGCAGCAGCACTGAGGATGAACGGCAGTGACAAGTTCAGAGAAACATACCAGAGGAGTTCTATCTCCAGCAAGGGTGGATTGGGTGACTGAAACTCACTCTTCTTGCGGAGGACAGCTAGGAAATATGGACAAACTACTTTTTAGAACACCTGTTGAAGGCATCATAAAGCTAGCAGGAGAGTGAAGAATCATTAGGCCGGGATCCAGGGGAAAATAGAGGCCCTGGAGGTGAGCCTGACATTTGGAACAGCTCCTCCCCTAGGGGACATTTGCTGAATCTGGAGGAAGTGGCCAAGAAGCTGAACAGCACTAGAAAGACATGAGCTAGAGGTCAGGGCCTGCCAGGATGTGGGGGTCTGTCTGGTGAATCCCCCTCACTTAGAGGTGAGACCATGAAGGACAGCACTCTAAGGGTAAAAGTGGACCAAAAGCAGACAGTTCACCTTCAAATCATCCCAATACTGGAAATTGAATTTAAGTTACCCCAGATTGCTCATGCCCAGATTGCAGGTGCCTATCAGAAGCAAACATGAATCCTCTCTTTAGGAAGATAACATCAGCAGATGCCACAAATTATTTCTACAAACTATTTTGCAAATGCCGTGTCTGGCATACAATAAAAAATAATGGGACAACATGAACAAAAGCCAGCAGGGAAAAAAAGACAGATAAGAGCAACAGACCCACAAAGGTTTCCAACTTGGGTTTTATCAAACATGGACTTTAAGATAATTTTGCTTGACCAGATTGAAAACTTCAGAGAATTGGAAACTATCAAATGGAAAATCTAGGGGAAAAAAACCCTAATACTTGAAATTAAGAACTCAGTTGATGGGTTTAATAACACATTAAACACAGTTGAAGATATAACTTGTGAATTGGAATATAGGCAGAAGAAAATATCCAGATGTAGCACAGAAAGACAAATAGATGGAAAATTAAAAGAGCAGGTAAGAAACATTAAACTTCAGTGTGTATACAGATCAGTTGGGGATCATGTTAAAATTCAGATCCTGATTTGGCAGGTCTCAGGTGGAATCTCGGATTTTGCACTTCTAACGTGCTCCCGGGTGATGCTGGTAATGATCCACAGACCACATTCCAAGTATCAAGGACATAGAGGATGCAGTGAGAAGAAATCCCAAAGAAGAAGAGACAGAGAATGGAGCGGAAGATAAAATGTCTGAAAATGTTTCAAAACTGATGAAAGATATCAAGCCACAAATTCAAGAAGCTCTACAAACTCTATTGTCACACATTTAAAAAATCTGCACTTTGGGAGGCTGAGGCGGGTCGATCATGAGGTCAGGAGTTCAAGACCAGCCTGGCCAACATGGTGAAACCCCATCTCTACTAAAAATACAAAAAATTAGCCAGGTGCAGTGGCAGGTGCCTGTAATCCCAGCTACTCAGGAGGCTGAGGCAGAGAATTGCTTAAACCCAGGAGGCGGAGGTTGCAGTCAGCCAAGATCGCACTACTGCACTCTAGCCTAGGGACAGAGCGAGACTCTATCTCAAAAAAAAAAAAAAAAGAAAGAAAGAAAGAAAGAAATCCACACCTAAGCATATCATATTAAAGCTGATAAAGAAAAGAGAGAGAGATCTTAAAAGCAACCAGAGGAGAAAAGACGGATTACCTCCAAAGAAGAAGCAATAAGATTGTGGCTAACTTGTCAGAGACAATGGAAACCAGAAAAAAGGACAATGATGTATTTGTATATATATAAAATATGTAAGGGAAACAGTTACCAACCTATGATATTATACCTAACAAAACTATTCTTCATGATTAAGATGAAATAAAGACATTTTCAGACAAATAAAAACTGAGAGAATGTATCACCAACATACCTGCCCTAGAGAAATACCAGAGGATATTCTTTAACTAGAAGGAAAATGATTGTAGGAGGAAGCTCAATGATGCAACGAGTAAAGGCAGAGCAATTAAATGCTGAATGTATGGGTAAATCTAAATTAATGTTGGCCGCATAAAACAGCAGTGATGATGATGATGTATATACAGAATTAAAATAAACGACAATGGGGTTGGACATGGTGGCTCAAGCCTGTAGTCCCAGCACTTTGGGAGGCCGAGGCCGGTGGATCACTTGAGGTCAAGAGTTTGAGACCAGCCTGGCCAACATGGTGAAACCCCGTCTCTACTAAAAATACAAAAATTAACCTGGCATCATGGTGGGCGCCCATAGTCCCAGTTACTTAGGAGGCTGAGGCAGGAGAATTGCTGGAACCCGGGAGGTGGAGGTTGCAGTGAGTGAGCCGAGACCACACCACTGCACTTCAGCCTGAGCAACAGAGTGAGAGTCTGTCTCAAAAAAAATGAAAATAAAGTGAAATAAGATACACAACAATGGCAAGGTTGGGACAGGGTAAATGGAAGCTCTAAGGTCATTGCATTGTCTGAGAAGAAAAGTGCCCATTGATATTAGACTTTGGTAAACTAAAGATTCATGTTGTAATCTATTATGGAACCACTAAAAGTAGTGAAAGACTGTGTAACAGTCAAGCTAATAGAGGGAGGAAAATAGAATATTTTTTATTTGACTTAATTAAAGAAGCCACAAAAGAAAAGAAAAAGAAAAATGGGGATAGGATAGATGAGACAAATAGAAAGTATTTAATAAGATGGTATATTTAAACCTGAATATAACAATAATTGCATTAAAGATAAATTAACTAAATCCTCCAATTAAAAGATAAAGACTGTCAGAATGGTAGGTGAAAAACAATACCCAAATATGTACTGTTTACAGGAGATGTCTAAAACATAAGGGTATAGAAAGGTTCAACATGAATGGAAAAAATAAGACATATCATTCAAACTGTCTAATAGAAAACTGGAATATTAGTGTCAGACATACTATAAGGCAAAAAGAATTTGTAGAGATAAAGAGGAACCCTTTGTTCTGATAAAAGACTCAATTTACTAGGCAAATAAAACAATTCTAAATTTGAATGTACTCAATAATATCGCCTCAAAATATAAAAAACAAAAACTGATGAATTACATGGAGAAAGAGACAAATTCACAACCACAGTGGAAGACTTTGACACACCTCGTTCAATAACTGATAGGAAAAAAGTATGCAAGGATAGAGATTTGAACACTCCAATTAGTGCACTTACCCCAGTGGCCATCCATGGACTCGTTTACCCCACAGCTGCAGAGACATCCAGCAGAAGTGACACACAGGACTGTGTAGCAGGGAGGACAGGTGGAGTCAAGAACAATTCCCAGGTTCTGGACTCAGGCCCCCAGAAGGATGATGACGCTGTATCTAGTTATTTTATTTAGCCCCAAATGATTGACTAGGAAAGAAAACATTGAGGTAGGTGCCATCAGCTGAGAGTTAGAGACAGAATGCAAAAATAATAATCGTTACAATTTATTGAGTGTCTTATGCAATAGGCACTGTGCTAGGTGCTTTATTATTTTTTTTTTTTTTGAGACGGAGTCTTGCTCTGTTGCCCTGGCTGGAGTGCAATGGCGTGATCTCAGCTCACTGCAACCTCCGCCTCCTGTGTTCAAGTGATTCTCCTGCCTCAGCCTCCCTAGTAGCTGGGAAAACAAGCACACACCACCATGCCTGGCTAATTTTTGTATTTTTTATAGAGACAGGGTTTCACCAGGCTGGTCTCAAACTCCTGACCTCGGGGGATCCGCCCGCCTTGGCTTCCCAAAGTGCTGGGATTACAGGCATGAGCCACCGCACCTGCCCAGTACTTTAATTAGCACTAATTCTCAATACAACCTTTTAATAGAGTTCTTATCTCCATTGTATAGATAGGGAAACGGAGGCTCAGAGAGGTAAAATAAATTGAATGGGATGCTATCACTGTCCTCAAAAGATCATAAAAGTTTCTAGAAAGGAAACAAGTACACAACCATACAATGGAGAGATGAGGATAGGGAGTGTGAGCTGAGAGCAGGAAGCTTCCAGTCTCCCAGGCAGAGTCCTGGGGTCCCAGTTAGGAGAGACAGGCCCAGAGAGGAGGGCAAGGGGACATCAGAGTCCATAAGAGTTGGAATCCACTTAGGATGGATTTCCTAGTGACTTCTAAGGTAGACTTTCTTCCAGAAAGGGCCCAGCCAGCACTCCAAGGGCAATGCCCTGGGCTCATGCCAGAAAACAGGTTGTGGTCCCAGCTTCAAGAAACTCACAGGCCAAAAAGGAAAGTGACAGGTGCCGGGTATTTTCCCCCTAAATACATGCTTACAGTTAGTAAGGGGGTGAGGGTCAGGGGTTAAGGTCAGAGGGATCAAGATGAATTCCTCATAGGTTCTGTTTCTCTTTTGCCTATCCTAAGTCCTTGGTTCTGGCCAAACAGTTCTGAAGCTGGCACTCCAAGGGCCTCCATTTCAGAGACTTCGTTACAATTCCAAAATGATCATTTTCTCCTCCCACCTGTTTACCATGCTGGATGGACCCTCCCCTTCTAAACCACAGCTCAAGGATGCCACCTCCAAGAAGCTCTCCCAGATTGATCTGCCTCCCTCTCCCAACTCTGTCATTTTCCCCAAAGGCTGTGCTCCTGCTTTCTCTCAACTGACCAGGCCTTCTCCCTGCTCAGTTCCAGGTCCCCCTGCTGGCATCAAAGCTGTCCCTTCATCAGCTAGCAGTGTGGTTGTGTCTTGGCTCCCCCCTACCAAGCCCAACGGGGTGATCCGCAAGTACACCATCTTCTGTTCCAGCCCCGGGTCTGGCCAGCCGGTAAGTGAGTTCAGGGCCAGATGATGAAGGGGATGGAAGAAAAGAAAAGGGACCTTGTACATCAGCCGGCTTCCAGGCCAAACCCTGAGGCTGCCTGTATCTGAGCTTCTGCCTGGATTCATAGATAAGAATGGGGACTGGCCACCCAGAGTGGCCGAAGCCTTACTCAGTGTCCATCTTGGGTCAGTCCTCTGTTCCAGAGGCCACAAGATTGTCACAAACACTGGGGGCTCTTTTGAGTCAGGTGGGCCATGCCCAACCAGGCAGGGTGGAAGGGAGGTCAGCCTCGGCTCTTCTGCTCTGGCTCAGAGGAAGCTCCCAGCAGGTCCCCAGGCTGGTCTGTGCCCTCTGGGAATGAACCATCTTTCAACATGGTTGGTCTGGGCTTGGAGGTGCTGTTGGAGCTCTGCCCTGCATAAGCGCCTCCACATGGAGCAAGCTGAGGGAGGAGGAAAGACGGGGGAAAGCCGAGAGAAGGCACAGGCGTCTCTCGACCAGGGCCTGGGCTCAGGCGAGAGGAGAGGATTGAGAGGCTGCGATATCTGCCCTAACCCTGGGAGCAGAGGGGGCAGCCCCCAGGCAGGACATAGGGCAAGGGGCTAGCCGCCCTTCCACTGATGCTCTGAGGGGCCCCACAGAGAGGGAAGGGAGGATGGGGATGGGTGCAGTGGGATATGCACCTATATCCCATCATATGTATTTTCCCCTCTGCCTCTTTCATCATCTCCAGCCAGTCAACCACCAAGTCCTGCTGAGTGACTACTATAGAGAATGCCTGTTCTAGGTACGGGAGCAGGAGCAGATACCTGCCCTCAAGGGGCTTCCAGTCTAGTGGAGGTGGATGGCAGAGGGGAGCACACTAGAGGGGCAGGAGTACTGTCAGGAAGATGTGCCCAGGGCTGGAAGCAAGGAACGGAAGCAAGGAGCAGAAGCAGGAGCAGGAGGCCTGCTCCTCCCTCCATCAACAACTGGGCATCAGCCTGAGATCTGCAGATAAGCTTATGGCCACCAGGAAAGCTGCCCTGAAATTGCTCAGTAATTGTGTCATCATCTCCTCCTATACTCTCTGCTTTCCTGTGGTCTTTCTGAATTACCCTCTGAGTGGTAGGTGGCCCAGCTCCCCGCCAGTGAGACCAGAGTTCTATTACCAGAGGGGAAGCCCACTGACTGCGGCCCCCCACTCCATCCTCACGGCCACTACCTCACATGCAGCAAAGTGCACAAACGTCATCACTGTAGACCTCCGCGAATTTTCACAACCCACCCAAGCAGCAGCGCCCAGAGCACAGAACAGGACATTACAACACCCTGAATCCCCATGCCCCCTTCCAGCTCCCGCCTGCCCCTCCTCCCAGGTAACCATCATCCTGACCTCAATAGCATAGATTAGTGCTGCTTCTTTTTGTACTTTGTGTAAATGGAATCATACCATTTGTCCAGCTTCTTTTACCCAACATTATTTTGAATTCCTGAATTTCATTCGCGTTGTTGTATGTGGTTATAGCTCATTCATTCTTCTGTATAGCTTTTGTGTGCATATGTTATGATTATTAATCCATTGGGCTAGCCGTTAGTATCCATTGATGGAAGGCTTTGGGGCAGTTTTCAGTTTGGAACTCTTCAAATGGTGCTGCTGTGAACATTCCTGTATGTGTCTCTGGGTGCTCATGGGCATGGATCTCTGCCAGGTGTACGCCTAGGAGAGGAAGCGCTAGGTCACAGAGTTTGCAGGTGTTCACTGAGAACAGCCTGCCATTGTTGGGTGCTCATGCCAATCACACCCCCACTCACAGGGGATAAGAGTTCCAGTGACTCCACATCAGCACAGACACTTGGTGTGTTTTGGGCAATGCTTTCAGCCATGTGTCCTGCTCTGTTTTCCCGTCTCCCCCCAACTCTACCCACCCCCCACACACACACACACATTCTAGGCTCTCAGGACACTAAGCTGTTCACAATTCTGGACAATACTGTGCCTCTTCACACCTCCACACCTTTGCCCCGCGGCTTCTTCCCGTGGCACGTTCCTCACTCCCGTCAGACACTGAATGCATTTGAAGGCAGTCACTGTTCACATATCTGTCTCCCACCCTGGTTTCTGAGGCCCCCACGAGGACAGGGGCAGCATCTTTTCATCTTTGGGTCCCCAGAGGCTGAACACTGTGCCTGGAACATCCTGGTCATGGAATACACATTCGAAGAATGAATCGGTAGCAGCCTAGCAATTCTATAGCCTCAGATATTGGGCAAGCTTCTGTTCCTTAATTGGTGGGAGAGGGTAGTCATTCTCTAGCCTGGACTTTTGCAGTCATTTCCTCCTCTGATAATGAAGTCTTTCCAAGGTTGGTGTCCGGGAGCCACGCCTCCTCACTAACTCAGGCTTCAGGCTCCTCTCCCGGGCTCCGGAACAGAGCTCCTGGTCCCCGTCCCCTCCTCCTGCTGATGGAGACATTGGGACCCTCCCTCCATCTTCTTCATGTCTTGCGATTTGCCATCAGACAGTATCACACAAGTCCTGCTGATGTGATGAGAACTTCAGTTCAGCCCTGTAGGGGGACTGGGGTCAAAGGTTGGGGGGAAACTGAACTTAGTGAGGGACCTGGGGACCTAACCACTGTGTGTGACGTGATCACTTTGCACAAATATATTCCAAATTCCAAACAATTTCAACACAAACTCATTTATGAAAGACAGCTCTGGGAGAGGGTGCTAGGGGTGAGGGCACACGCGCGTATCAGTGACAGTGCAAAACTGTGGCATGAGCCTGGAATTATAGGCAGATACCTGAGACTGTGTGTGCTCACACATGCTGGCGGGAGCGGATGAACCATACCTGTGGCATCCTCAGAAAAGACTGTGTATGGCCTTGGCTCTAGGGAAGCTACCCCTGGGGATGGCCACAGCTACACTGAATCCTGGTAGACATTTTACTAATAATATAATACATTTTTCACTGATTATAAAAATAATGCAATTTTATTATAGAAAATCTGTAAAACATATAAAAGAATAGAGAGGAAAGTAAAAATTACTTGTACTTCCTACAGATAAACACTGGTGATGTACTTCCTACAGATAAACACTGGTATATAGTCTTCCAGTCTTTGATCTGTACACATAGTACAGGTTTTGAGGTGTTTCATTAAACCAAATTAAAATAATATTATACATAACGTAATGCAATCTGCTTTTTTCATGGAATACCTGTTGGTGCTTTCCTACACCATCAGATATTCTTCTAAAACATTTTTTCGTGTGTATGTGACGGAGCCCTGCTCTGTCACCCAGGCTGGAGTGCAGTGGCACCATCTCAGCTCGCTGTATCCTCCACCTCCCGGGTTCAAGTGATTCTCCTGCCTCAGCCTCCCAAGGAGCTGAGATTACAGGCACACATCACCACGCCTGGCTAATATTTGTATTTTTGTAGAGGCAGGGTTTCACCATGTTGGCCAGGCTGGTCTCGAACTCCTGACCTCAGTGATCCGCCCTCCTCAGCCTCCCAAAGTGCTGGGATTATAGGCATGAGCCACCACCGCACCTGACCTAAAACATGATCTTGAGTGGCTGTTTATACAGAATCTACTTAACCAGTCTCCCATTGTTCTGTATTTAATGTGTCTTTGAAATTTTCACCATTATAAATTACGTCTCAATGAACATCCTTCACAGAAATCTTTATGCACATATTTTAATATTTTCTTAGGGTAAATTTCTATAGGAATTCCTGGGTCACAAAGAATAAGTATTCTTAAAGTTCTGCATACAGACTTACAAATTGCCCTTCGGAGCATTTGCACCCATGTATGTTTCTACCAGCAGGGTGAGTGGCCAACAGTATTGTCCTTTGCACCTATGCTGATCCCACATTTGTTTTCTGATTTGTTCTGCTTTATTTTTGTTAGATGGATTTTTTATAAATGTGCCTTATTTTAAAGTACCTTTCTTTGGTTACTAGTTAGGTTGTATATGTTTATTGGCTATATTTTTCTTCTTTGGGTAATTGTCAATTTACGTCCTTTGTCCAGGTTTCTGTTTGGGTTTCTCATATTTTTCTTATTGATTTATAAGTGTTCTTTACATATTAAGGATAATAGCCATTTTCTGTCATATAAGTTGCAAGTATCTGCCAATTCATTGCTTTCCTATTGATTCTGGTTTTTTGTTTTTGTTTTTGTTTTTGTTTTGAGACAGAGTTTCACTCTTATTGCCCAGGCTGGAGTGCAATGGCACAATCTCAGCTCACTGCAGCCTCCACCTCCCAGGTTCAAGCGATTCTCCTGCCTCAGCCTCCCAAGTAACTGGGATTATAGGCATGCGCCACCACGCCTGGCTAATTTTGTATTTTTTAGTAGAGAGGGGATTTCACCATGTTAGTCAGGCTGGTCTCAAACTCCTGATCTCAGGTGATCCACCTGCCTTGGCCTCCCACAGTGCTGGGATTACAGATGTGAGCCAGTATGCCCAGCCTTTGATTCTGTTTTTGATGTATCATAGTTTTTCTTTTTACAGAAGCTGAATTTATCAATCATTTCCATTTATGATTTTGCCTTGATTTTTATGATTAGAAAAATGGGTAAATATTTACCTATAGTTTCTTCTTTCATAGCTTGCCTTTTTTCAAAAACCTTTGATCCACTGGAACTTTATTTGGGGCTATGTCTGTGTGCTTTTGAACATGATTTCAGGAGACTCACGGGGTGTCCAGGTTAAAAGGAAAGCGCCCAGTATCTGGGTTGGATGCTAATACCTACAAGAAGAGGCCAAACTTTCTTGCCCTGCCTGTGTAGGCACAAATATACACTCAGGTATACACTGATGCACACAAGCACATACACTCAGCTGTTCTCCACACATGCACATGTACATAGAAACACATACGTTCCTGTACTGTCACCAAAAACAAGCCCGGAGAAGAATATGTCCTAGTTTACAAAGGACGTGCACACCCCTGCCTCCTTGTGCCTCAGTCACACACAGGTTGGGCAGAGCTGTATTGCTTCCCTAGTTTGCAAGAGAGAAAACAGCGTCCAGAAACTATGGGCAACCTTACGGGCTGTATGCCCAGGAGGAAGGGCAGGAGGGTGTTGAAGCCACTACACTACCCCACACTTCAAGCACATATCAACGACAGATACGCACACCAGTCCCAGGGTGCTGTGGCCTGAAAGGGCTTCCCAACCACCAGGGCTCAAGGGTGGCTCTGCACCTGCCCCCCCGGACCTCCTGGATTCAAGGCCAGACCCCCACGAGGGAGGCAGGAGGAATATGCCAGGGAGCTGTGTGTGTGTGTTGCAGAGATGCCTGTGCCTTTTCCCCTAACATTTCCCTGCAGATGGCCTGGGGCCAAAAAGGATGTCTCCTCCTGTTATAAGTTATTGGGCCTCTCAGCCCCACTATGGGGCATGAAGAATGTCCCTCTGTGCCCATACATGCCTGGAGGTCTGTTCCTCAGCATGTGTGCATGCGTCTACATGTGTGTGTGCTTGTGAGCGTGTGTGTGCAAGATCCTGTGACTGCAGAGATAACTAATTATTAGCTCCCTCTGGCCTCGGGCCCCCATCTGTTCTGGGGCTGCTCTCCCTCCCTGGACTTCCGCTCTGTTTTCAAAGGGGCCCTGGTGCTGTCCTCCTCTCCCTTCCCTGCGGCTGACCAAAAAATAAAATAAAATGAAAGTCAGCCCCATCCCGCCCGTGCCAGGGAAGAGGCTGACAGGAGGTCTGCAAACTAGCGCTTATCAAAAGCTCCTTCTCAAATTCATTTCAATATCTGAGCCTCTGGTTTCCAAGGCAACATAATCTTTTCATCAAAGCAACTGGTAAAACCACTGGGATCCGATATTGTTTTGTTGGCAACTTGTCAAAACTGTCATTTTGTTAAAAAAAATTTTATAGATTTGTATAACCTACAAATATATATGGTGATCTATACCACTAATAATCATTAATAAAGTGCTACCCAGTAAAGCTTTCATAGTTCCTTCTCCCGCCCCCTCCTCCCTGGACGGGCGGGCGTGCTGCCTGCAAAATGCAGGAGTGGTAATTAGACGGCAGGGCTAGGAGGTGACGGGAGCCAGAGCAGGCTGCAGGAGCCTGTCTCCAACCCTCATCAGGCAGAGGCAGTCATTTGCCTTCTTCCTGAAGACTCTTTCCTCAGGGCTTTCCTGGGACCCCCTGTCCCCCATTCTCCCTTCTCCTGGCTACCCCGTCCCTCACCTAAAGTACTCACATCCCCTGGCCTGAGCCACAGCTGCCAGAGCGTGGATCAGTTAAAGAGGTAAACTGAGGCTGACCCAGCAACACCGCGAGGCAGGCCCATCAGCTCCCAGGGACCAAACCCAGGGCACACTCTGTCCGCTGCATCTCTAAAACTTGGAAAGGGCAAATAGGACAGAATCCTGCCTCGCATCCGACCCCGCCATCCTCTCCTCTGAGCCCCGGGCACTGAGGAAGATTTGGACGCTGGAGGGCCCCAGTTCTGCTTCTTAGAGCCTCTTTGCCTCTGCCCCGCAGGCTCCCAGCGAGTACGAGACGAGTCCAGAGCAGCTCTTCTACCGGATCGCCCACCTAAACCGCGGTCAGCAGTATCTGCTGTGGGTGGCCGCCGTCACCTCTGCCGGCCGGGGCAACAGCAGCGAGAAGGTGACCATCGAGCCTGCTGGCAAGGGTGAGAAGCCTGAGGCTGTGGCAGAGGGGCAAACACTTCCAAAAGCTCCCTTACAGAATCCTGGTTCTCCCCAGACAGGGTCTCTGCCTGCTCCGCTTTATCTGCCACCCAGCTGTGAGGAACTGGCCACCCGCCTGCCTCCCGCACACACCAAGACTGGGCCTCTGCTGCCCCCTGACTCCAGCAAAGCCTCACAACAGGCTGCCTCCGGCTCTTGCCTGGGGCGGGTGGACAGGGTGCACTCAGTTCCCGAGTCCAAACCCTACTCCCAGCTTGAAAAAGGGGGAGTCGCCTCTACCCCCAATTCAAAGCCGGGCCTTTGTCCCAATGCTCAGCTCCTCCAGAGGTGGCTACAGCCGGGTGTGCTGCTTCCACAGAGCAGCTGAGGCTCAAAGGAGAGCCCCCGTGCTGAACTGGACACCGGGCAGGGGTGATTCCAGCGATGGCGGATTCCTGCGATCCGCAGACCTTTACGGAGCGCGTGCTGTGAAGGAAGGCTCTGGGCTAGAATCAGACCCTCTTAGGGAGTGCCCCACTGAATCTCTGACCGGGACATGGGTGTGCCATGGGGGCTGCACCCCCACTTTTCAGAGGAATGACACTTCCAAGGCCTCATCCCAAGGGCAAGCTGTAGCAGCCGCGCAGGTAGAGCTGCAAGGCTGAGCGTCTGCCTCTCCCTGGGGCGTAGGAACTGGCCACAACTAGCCCAGGACCGCAGGTCCTCTACTTGCCGTTGGGCCTCCCTGGGCCCCTCCTCACTCCCCCACTCTCTTATCCACCGCAGCCCAGACGAGAGGAGGTGGTGCCTGCGCAGCCTGGCCAGCCTACCGGGGCCACTCAAGCTTCTCTTGGCCCAAACACAAGAGCCCCAAGCCCTACCCTGCCGCGGGCTCAGAGCCAGCCAGCATCTGATCGAGGGCCTACGGTGGGCCAGGGGCTTCCACCTGCCCTGCCAGCAGGGCTTGTTGACCCATTCCACAGCTGAGCAACCTGAGGCAGGAGTGGCATGGGCTGCAAAGACAACCGGGAAGGAGTGAGCTAGCTCTCCCAGCGCCAAGTCAGGGCTCTTTCCACACAGCCTCAGCACCTCCTACCACCCCCTAACCCCTACCACCAACCTCTTCTTCAGGAAGGGAAGGGGCCTAAAGCCTATCACCCTTCCAGAACAGCTAGCACTGGCCCAGAGGCAGGAGTGTGAGGGCTGGGCATCTTTGCAGAAGGCTGGCCTCTTCTCCTGGGGGCATTAAATAAACACGGTCCTAGAGAGCTGTGGACTTCCTAGAACACATTCACACAGCGTCACCTCACAGCCGCCCTGTGAGGTGGGAAAGACAACCACTCCTGCCCCCTTCCCCCATACACACACACGCACACACACACTGCACACTCATACATGTGCACACGCACAAACACATGCATATGCACGCGCACACACTTATACACACAGACCCACACATACATTTACGCACATACACATACTAATGTGCACACACATGCATACACACACTATACACACTAATATATGCATACACACATGCACACACATACACACTATACACACTAATACATGCATACACATATGCACACATATACACACATACACACTATACACACTAATACATGCACACACATATGCACATGCATACACACGCACACACACACTAGACACACTAATACATGCACACATGCACACACATACACACTATACACACTACATGCATATACGCATATACACACGCATACACACATGCATACACGTGCACACTCACATATGCACATACACAACATGCACTCACATGCATGTGCACAAACACGCATCTGCGCACACACATACACTAACACACACACACACATACACACACTCACATGCAGATGCACATACACACCCACACATACACACACATATGCACACACACCCTGAGACACAGATTCAGGGAGCCAACCCCAGCCTGTGGCAAAACCAGGTCTGGAACCTGATCTCTGGAGAAACTCTGAGAACACCCACAAAGCCCCCAGGCTTCTCACCGCCCCCGCATGGAGGCCGTCTTCATGTGGACCCCTCTGCCGGGCCTGTCTGGTGCCCCCACTGCTCCAAGCAGACCCCAGAACTCCCCTGCTCTGAGAGCCCCTTGGCACCTGGCACGACCAGCACAGGAGCCCACCCCCACGCCATGCACCTGAACCTCTCAGCTGCTCCCTCACTCTCACTCTCCCTCCACCCCAAGAAGGGCCCCAGCTCCATGGGCCTCCTCTACTCTCTGAGGCACTTGGGCACTTGGTTCCTTTAAATCTGGGCCTGGCGATCTCCCAGGCACTAGATGCATTTACCCACCCACCACACTCTGGGCACCTGTGGCCCCGCACCTTCTGTGATGCTGCTGACCCAGTCCTCCGCCACCACCCTTGGGACACTCCCGTCCTCTCTTCTGTGCCTGTGCATGCTGATCCTAGAGTTGGTCACTTCCCTGTCAGTCTGCATCCCCTCCTGTGGCCTCATCATGCCTGCTGACTCTCAGATCAGCGTCTTTGGTCCAGGCATCTCTCTGGTGCTCCAGAACACGCACCCACCTGTGGTCTAGCTACAGCTGTGGCTGCACTGTGGACTCAGTATGAGATGAAGCCATCCGGTCCTTCCTGCCAAGCCTGCCCCTCCTTCAGTGTGCCCTGTTCCCATGAGGGTGCCATCACTCACCTTGGTGGCCCAGCCAGAATCCTGGGAGCCATCCTTCCCTCCCCGCTCTCTTCCCCCAAACCAGCCAGACCCTAAGTTTTGTCAGCTCTTGCTCTGAGCCCCTCATCTCCCCACTGCTACGCATCACCTCCAGCCTGCATTCTGGCCACCATCCTGTCACGTTCTGTGTCCTCCAGGACCCCCTCCACCAAACTATCCTCTGCAAGCAGCCAGGATGCATCTGAAATCGGCTGAGGACACCACTCCTTTTTTTTTTTTTTTTTTTTTTTTTTTGAGACAGAGTCTTGCTCTGTCACCCAGCGTGGAGTGCAGTGGCATGATCTCGGCTCACTGCAACCTCCACCTCCCAGGTTCAAGCGATTCTCTCGCCTCAGCCTCCCGAGTAGCTGGGGTTACAGGCACCTGCCATCGTGCCCGGCTAATTTTTTGTATTTCTAGTAGAGAGACAGGGTTCTGCCATGTTGGCCAGGCTGGTCTTGAACTTCTGACTTCAACCTCAGGTGATCCGCCTGCCACAGCCTCCCAAAGTGCTGGGATTACAGGCGTGAGCCACCAGGCCTGTCCAACACCACTTCTTATAACCCTCTGGTGGCGGCTTTCTAAGAGGGAGTCCAGTCTCCTGGCCCTGCCAACAAAGCCCCCAAGATTCTACTTCTGCCCGTCCCCTTGGACTCAAGCTTTGGTTACCCCAGAGTATTTGCAAACCCTCACAGCTGCCGTGAGCTTCAGGTCTCCATGTCTGTGCTTAGTGCTATTCCCTCTTCTTGACATGTGTCTCCTTCCCTGCTTATAAAGTCTTTCTTAACCTTCAAGTCAGAGCTTCCAATTCCAGATGCTATTCCCGGCCGTTGCCTCCACTGCCCACTTATGGGCAGCATTCATTCCCCCTGCCTCGCACCCCTAGGCTTCCTCGTGCCTGCACCTACCATAGCATTTTGCCCCGTTATAATTTTTCCTTAAGTATCTGTCTCCCTCTTGGATGGTGATCAACGTGAGGACAGGGAATAAATCATACTCATTTTTTGAATCCTCAGAGCCTCTTGTGATCCTGACCATAACTGGTATTTCATCAATGTTTCTTGAGTCAATGTCTCCCAGCCAATATTCCCTGACACCTACCCCTCACCAAAAGCCCAAGGTGGAGGTCAGATCGGGGAGGGAGGATTTGAACTGTAAATCCAGGGGGCCCTAAGGAAGGAGGCCAGGATATTGTGCAGGGGTAGAAGTGGAGTGGCCCTCATCCTCTCCTCCCTGTAGCCCCAGCAAAGATCATCTCCTTTGGGGGCACCGTGACAACACCTTGGATGAAAGATGTTCGGCTGCCTTGCAATTCAGTGGGAGATCCAGCCCCTGCTGTGAAGTGGACCAAGGACAGGTGTGTGTCGGGACAGTGGAGGGATGGGGTGGCCCCAAAGAGGGATATAGTAGAAGAGCGGTGTGGAGAAGAGTCTGGGGCCCTCCTGCCTGGTGACCCGGTTGCCTCCAGGCCTGCAGAGGCCCTGCAGGGTGTGCTGCTACTGCTCTCTCAAGCAGGCCTGGCCTCCTGGCTCCCCTCTTGGGAGCCAAGGACCTCCCTTCCCCGGATGGTTAAAGAGGCTGGGTTACCTCATACCCCCAGGGAGTGCTGAGCAAAGCCCCAAGAACCCGGCGTTCCCTGGCGAGCCTCCTTCCACCCCCAGCTCTCTTTGTCACACACCGGGGGGAGGGCCTCAGGAGGAAGGGGTGCTTGACATGACCCACCCGCCCCATCCTCGCCCCTGGCAGTGAAGACTCGGCCATTCCAGTGTCCATGGATGGGCACCGGCTCATCCACACCAATGGCACACTGCTGCTGCGTGCAGTGAAGGCTGAGGACTCTGGCTACTACACGTGCACGGCCACCAACACTGGTGGCTTTGACACCATCATCGTCAACCTTCTGGTGCAAGGTGAGGCTCTGTGAGGCAGGTGACCCCAGGTGGGGACAGGGATGGAGAAAGGGTAGGGATTCCATCATGCGAGAGGGTCATCGAATGGAAGAAGCCAAACCAAGGGAGAGACAGACCTCTGGAGAAACAGAGGTGCACATGGAAGGGGAGGCAGGAGAGCTGGGGAGTGGGAGTGGGAGTGAGGGTGTGGGAGAGCCAGCACCTTCCCGTCACGGGGGGACTCCCCACACCCCATCACAGGGTCCGCCCTTGTGCTAAGGGGTGGTGGCTTTCCCCTCACAGTTCCCCCGGACCAGCCCCGCCTCACTGTCTCCAAAACCTCAGCTTCGTCCATCACCCTGACCTGGATTCCAGGTGACAATGGGGGCAGCTCCATCCGAGGTGAGGAGGGGTCTGGATGCGGGGGAAGATAGGGGAAGGAATTCTGGGCCCGGGGCAGGGAAGGGGCTTCACCCACTTCTGCCATTTGTCTCCAAATGACAGAAACGATCTGGGGGCCAAGTGACCCACAAGGAAGTCACTCAAGTGCCAAGGGAACTGCAATGGCCCAGGCACCTGGGATTTAGTACGCCCGCCCCTCCAATGCCACTTGTGAGCTGTGTGACCCTGGAGTAGGCTGTTTCCCTCTCTGAGTCTGGGTTTCCCAATCTGTCGAAGTAGACAAATGGACTACTAGATCAGTGCTTTCCAAGTGTGGGCGTGCGTCTGCGTCACCAAGGGGCCTTGTAACAATGCAGTTCTGACTCAGCGCTCTGGGCTGGGGCTGAGGACCTGCCTTTCTAACACGCCCCAGGTGCTTCTGAGCCTGCTGCTCAGGGGGCCGTGTCTAGATCCTAGTGAAGATCTAGACAGGACCCCTTGTGAGCCTCACAACTCTGGTTTTCTCCCCTCCCGAACCTGCCGCTAACCCCTAACACTAGAACCAAAGTGACAGCGTCAGACCCGCCGGGGGCTGGACCCCAGGCCCTCACAGTGTTTTGTTGATTGGTTGGTTTAACATAGAGAGTTGACTGGGGCTGATCCTTCCAATTTTGCTTCTAAGGAGCATATGCCCGTTCCAATGACCAAAAGCCTGACTCTGCCCCCTGCCTGGAGCCCAGCCCCCTGTTGGGGTACCTGAGGCTGGGCTTCTGCTGCCTTGCCCTGCCCTGCCCCCACCTGAATCAGGCCTACCCTCCGCAGGCTTCGTGCTACAGTACTCGGTGGACAACAGCGAGGAGTGGAAGGATGTGTTCATCAGCTCCAGCGAGCGCTCCTTCAAGCTGGACAGCCTCAAGTGTGGCACGTGGTACAAGGTGAAGCTGGCAGCCAAGAACAGCGTGGGCTCTGGGCGCATCAGCGAGATCATCGAGGCCAAGACCCACGGGCGGGGTGAGGCCCAGGCCACTGGGGCAGGGAAGGAGCGATGGGCCCAGGGAGGGTGGGCTAGAGGGGCCAGGTATGGGGTGTAAGGTGGCTGGGGTGGGGAAGGAGGGGTCCAGGGATGCAGGGAGACTGAAGGGAGGAGCCTCAGCCTCCTTCCCGTCACCACAGTGTCCCGATGGATCCCATTAGGAAAAACTAGTTCCACTTCCCCACCGGGTGGCCGAAGGTGGCATTCCTTTGCCTCTTCCCAGCTCCCTTCCTCCTCTACTGAGGCCCCTCTCCAGGCCCTGCCCTTTTCTTCCCTCTCCTCCCTCCCCTCCTCTTCCTCCTCTGCGCCCTGGGGCTTCCCCACCCCATCTGTGCCAAACATGTATTCTCCTGGAGCCACTGCCATCCCAGCTGCCCCAGGGAAATCCTTTCCAGCCCAGCCCAGTCCAGTCCTGCCTCCCACCAAATCTCTCTAACCTCTCTCTCTCCCTCCGGCCTGCCAGAGCCCTCCTTCAGCAAAGACCAACACCTCTTCACCCACATCAACTCCACGCATGCTCGGCTTAACCTGCAGGGCTGGAACAATGGGGGCTGCCCTATCACAGCCATCGTTCTGGAGTACCGGCCCAAGGGGACCTGGGCCTGGCAGGGCCTCCGGGCCAACAGCTCCGGGGAGGTGTTTCTGACGGAACTGCGAGAGGCCACGTGGTACGAGCTGCGCATGAGGGCTTGCAACAGTGCGGGCTGCGGCAATGAAACAGCCCAGTTCGCCACCCTGGACTACGATGGCAGTGAGTCGCAAGGGTGGAAGGGATGGTACAGAGGCTGGAGCAGGGTGGTGCGAAGGAAGTGGGCAGAGTGGCAGATACATAAAGAGACAGACTAATAGAAAAACAGGCAGGAATGCAGGTGGGGGAAATGCTGGCCTGCAGGTGAAGGGGCTGACAAAGGGGACATCAGGTTTGTTGCAGCCAGGTAAGCGGGCAGATGCACCAATGGCCACTACAGATGGACAGACACATAGGTCAGTAATACCAAAGATGGAGAGTCTTTGAAGCTGCAGTCCTCAATCACTGTGCATTGTTTCAGGGAGGTGACAAGGGAGGTAGAGGTGTGGTTGAGGTCCTGACCTCTAAGAACTTTCTGCTGATATGGAATATTAGCCAGGAGGGGACAGCCTATGCTGCAGTCGCAAATACCAAAACCTGGTGGCTTAACCCTGTACTGATTTGTTTCTTGCTCTCTTGGAGTCCTGCGAGGGTTGAGTGGCCACCATCTTTTTGAACATGGAGACTCCAGGATCCACAGAAAAGGCATACTACCAGTTCCTAACTGCATCTGCCACATGGGGATACATACACACGTGCACACATACACACACATACACACACACACACATCCATTGAAGGGACATGGAAGGCTGAATTCATAGAAGCCCATTGTCACAAGTCTACCTATGTGTTAAGGAAACAGAATAAAAGCAGTATTAAAAGGGGATGGACTCAAGCAAGGAAGGCTTCATGAAGGAGGTGACTCTTAAGCAAAGCTCTGAAACAGGCAAGGGTCAGGGCTTGGCAGAGGGTTATGTCAGCAGGAGAACTTGCCATGCTTCCCCACAGGAGCCCCAGGTTAACAGATATGGCCCCCAGGAGGGGTGAGCAGGGAGAGAATGTAGGGTTTGTAGTGGTTTTTGTCTCCATCTGGGGAAGAGAACCCAGGGTCCACTGCCCAGACTTCTCCCTACCATGCTTCACCCTTTGTTCTCCCCACCCCAGCTGGATATCAGAATTTAAGCCCATCAATCCACTCTCTGGGAATGAGCACTGAACTTCAACAGGCGAGAGACTAACTCCAGGAGACTTTAGGCTAATTCTACAACAGTACCAGGACTTTGTTAATAAAATGCAATATTAAAACTACACAACTGTTCATGGCTGTCCTGATAGGACCAGAATTTGGGGAGCAGAGGGGAAGTCCAGGGTTCTGTGCCAGGAGGTGGAGGTCAGAGCCCAAGGGCAGCAAGAGAGGTCAGAGGACTGCCCCACCCATGAGATGTTCTGCACAGCACCTGGCTCATAAGGGACATCTAATTCTATTCTTTGCCCTCATTCAGGCACCATTCCACCCATCAAGTCTGCTCAAGGTGAAGGGGATGATGTGAAGAAGCTGTTCACCATCGGCTGCCCTGTCATCCTGGCCACACTGGGGGTGGCACTGCTCTTCATCGTACGCAAGAAGAGGAAGGAGAAACGGCTGAAGCGACTCCGAGGTGGGGGAGCTTCCTATGGGCCTTCCAGGAGGGGGTGTTGGCTCTCAGCCACATTGTCCCCCCCCTTCCCTGGCTCACAGCACCATCTGGATGATACAGAGTGCCTGTGTCCCCTTGAAGGAGGAGCAGCCACTCAGACTTTCTGAAACCTCCTTAGTTCAGAAGGTTTCGTTCACCACTTCCTCCTCTATGCCCCCAAGACTTTGTGCCTGCCCCAGTCAGGGCTAATATTTAGAGGTACACACTGGTAAAGCCATGTTGATTGTTAAATATTTAAACATTTCCATGTTGGTTGGTAAACAGATGTTGCTCCTTTCCACACTGGATGCTTCATCCCCTCTCACGGGATCCCTGCAACTTTCCTAGGACCCATTCACTAAAGAATAGACCTGCAGGTAGTCTCTAGGACAATGCTCAGTTCTAACTGGGCAGTTTCTGCACCATGTCAGGTGTTAAATATTTTGAATATTATCCCCTTTTTCCATTACCTGATGCCACAGTCTACTGTGAATGGGTCTGATTTACCTCAGTTTTCCCACAGCCTAACACAGTGTCTGGCACCTACTAGTTGCTTCATAAATATACTTTCACTTATTTGGAAAACTTTTATTGGGTCTGCTTCATCATAGATACTGCAAGACTATAGAGATCAATAAAGAACGGCCAAGCCATACTCTTACAGAGTTTATCATCTAATGTGAGGAGCCAGGAGACAATAGTAGCACAGAAGAGGGAATGACTAATGCTCCCTATTGTGTTCAGGAATTGGGTAAATGGATGAATAGATGGTTCAATGGATGGTTGATGATTGGATGGATGAATGGATGGAAGGATGGATGGATGGATGGATGATTGGGTGGATAATTGAATGACTAGATGGGTGGTGAGTAGTTACATGGTTGGATGGTTGAATGGATCACTGAATAAATGGTTGAATGGAAGGATGTATAGATAGAAGGATGGCTGGATGGCTGAATAGATGGCTGGGTGTAAGGATGGTTGAATAAAAGGCTGAATGAATAGATGGGTGGATGGATGGATAAATTGATGGATTGTTGAATGGCCAGATAATGATTATATGAATAGTTGAACAGATAGGTAGATGATTGAACAAATGCTTGGATGGATGGATGACTATTCTGATAGATCGATGGATGACAAGATGGATGGATGGCTGGATGGAAAAACTATTGGAATTGTGGAATGATTGGGTGAATGGTTAAAGGAGTGGTTGGATGTAAGGTTTAACATATAAATATAAGAATGATTGAATGGATGTTGAATTCATGAGTGAATGGTTGAATGGATTACTGGTTGAATCAATGGGTGGATGGATAGACAGATGGATGGTTGAATAGGTGGATGATGAATTAATGGTTGGTTGGATGGATGAATGGATAATTGGATGGTAGGTGGTTAGATGGATGGATGGCTAGATCAGTGAATGGATGGATGGATGGATCAATGGATGGGTGAATGGATAGCCAGACAATTGGATGGTTAGATGCATGCATACAGCTATTTGGGATTCATTCTGACAGCTCATTCTCAGGTATCAGGGGTCTAATAAATTAACTAGGCCCTTTAATTCTCCTCTCTTCCAAATTCCTAACCTGAGAGTCCTGATCTTATTCAAGGCTCCTCTGAGACAAAGCAGGGGCCACAAAATCCATCCATGGACTTTTTGGGGACAGAGGCCCCAGAGGAGGAAGTGAAGCCTCTTGGTTGATATGAGAGTTTAATCATCTGGGGCTTCCCATTGACCACCTCTACTACATCCTCCACTCTCTCCTCTCCACAAGATATAACTGAAGATAAATCTTCCACTGATATCCATTTCCAGCCTGTTATGGTGTTGTGTTTAAGCAGAGTCAATTCATGAAGCAGATGAGGCACTTGCTATGCCCCCAGTGCTTTGGGAAGGTTCTCTCAATTAGATAAAATTTGAAGAAAGGAAAACAGACTTGAGCCAAATCCTGAATTTGGAGCAGTGAAACCGCGTCATGTTTTGGGCTGTTTTGTAGGTCCTTACATTTCTCCTTCTGCTTCTTAGGAGACCAGCCCTGGCCCCATTTTAAGGAATTCTCCACCTTGTTTCCCATGCCTCTCCCATTGTCATCCTGTTCAAACTTCATTCTCACCCAGCCCTCCTCTCCCTCTACTGTTTTGCAGATGCAAAGAGTTTGGCAGAAATGTTGATAAGGTGGGTATCACCAAGCTGCTTCCTTTCTCCTCCCTTCTCCCCTCTGTCCTGAGGAGGACCCAGGAGCCTCGCTCTGAACTCCCAGAATAGGAGGCAGGCTTCTAAAATCCCACTGTCCTGCAGAGCCCCCTTCCCCAACCCCTTATGGCTGCTGAGCCACCACCTCCAGTCTTTCTCCCCACAGCAAGAACAATAGAAGCTTTGACACCCCTGTGAAAGGGCCACCCCAGGGCCCACGGCTACACATTGACATCCCCAGGGTCCAGCTGCTCATCGAGGACAAAGAAGGCATCAAGCAACTGGGTGAGTGACAGGTGCCACAAGTTCCCTGTCCTGCTGGGTGTGCTTCCCCAGGCTACAACCCATGGAAGTCAAACACCAACCCTCATGGCAGTGCCCAGGGTTCTGGCAGTAGCCCCATCAACCACTCAACAACCTTAGAACTCACTGTGGCTTCTCTCAAGGGCTAATTTTCCTCCTCTGTCCAACGGAGGGAATTGCTGGCCTTTCTGTGACTCAACATTGGATAAAGTCTGGGTTGGTGGGTCATGCCTGTTATCCCAGCACTTCGGGAGGCCAAGGAGGGAGGATCACTTGAGGCCAGAAGTTCGAGACAAGCCTGGGCAACATAGTGAGATCCCATTTCTACCACAAAAAAAAAAAAAAATAGCCAGGCATGACACATCCTGTAGTCTCAACTACTCAGAAGGTTGAGGTAGGAGGATAGCTTGAGCCCAGGAGATTGAGGCGGCTGCAGTGAGCAGTGATCACAATTAAGCCTGGGCAACAGAGTGAGACCCTGTCTCAAAAAAACAAACAAACAAATCCACAAACAAAAAACACATTGGATAAAGACAAAGAGAAATTCAGTCACATCCAAAAGAGCTTTAAAAAACAATTGTAAAGGACTCCCAGTAATTGTCCTTCTTTCCCCAGGAGATGACAAGGCCACCATCCCTGTGACAGATGCTGAGTTCAGCCAAGCTGTCAACCCACAGAGCTTCTGTACTGGCGTCTCCTTGCACCACCCAACCCTCATCCAGAGCACAGGACCCCTCATCGACATGTCTGACATCCGGCCAGGAACCAGTACGCATTATCCCCAGGGAGACAGCCCTTTTCCCAACCGGGGTGGCTTGGGCATAGCATGACACAGAGGTGGTGTTTTTTTTTAAAGGGAGGAGGGAGCTTAATGGAATAGAATGCAAAAATGGAAAGCACTGGAATGAGCGTCTGGAGACCTCAACTGCAGATTTACTAACTGTGACCTTGGGCGTATCACTAACTTTATCTCTCTGGGCCTGTTTCCTTACCTAGAAATTTTGAGAGTATTGGGTATTCGTGTTCTCCAAGGGTCTTTCTATCTCTAGCACCGTGTATCTGGACATAGGATAGAACACATCAAGGACTGTAGGGAATGAATGGACAGTCAGGAGGCAGCAGGAAAGGACATCACATTCTCCCCCAGGTGGAAGGAAAAGATGGGGTGGGCGGGGAGAATGCCCTCCACTGCCCCCTCCCCAACCTTGACTCGATTGCTCTTCTCCTCTGGGGACAGCGATGTGGTTAGGAAAGGCAGCATTCCCAAGGGCGCTTCTGTGGCTGCATCTGCCTCTTCCCTTGCTCCCCCCTGCCCTTTCTGGTAAGTGCCAGCTGCCCAAGCCTGGGTGCCTTTGGTTGGAGGATGCAATTTCTTGCTTCTGTCTGTGCAGATCCAGTGTCCAGGAAGAATGTGAAGTCAGCCCACAGCACCCGGAACCGGTACTCAAGCCAGTGGACCCTGACCAAGTGCCAGGCCTCCACACCTGCCCGCACCCTCACCTCCGACTGGCGCACCGTGGGCTCCCAGCATGGTGTCACGGTCACTGAGAGTGACAGCTACAGTGCCAGCCTGTCCCAGGACACAGGTGTGCCTAAGGCCCTGCTGGCATCCTGAACACCTCCCCCCAGTTCCCCATCATTCACCTTCACCTTCTATTCTTCCCAGCTTCTACCCACCAGCTCATGGGGCCCAAGGCACAAGTCAGTTTCATGTCTAGCTGGTCACTGACCCACTGTGCAGCTGGGACAAAAACACTTGACCTCACTGAGCTCTACTTAGTCAGGGAGTTAATTTTGCTTTCCCAAAAACTGTCAGAGAAAATGGTACACATGATGTTCATTGGAGAAAGGGCTGAATGTTCCAGGGGATGGTTGCTTATTTTCAAGAATGAAAGGTGTTCTGCCCTTCATGAGCCAAAGATCCTACTTCTGCCACCACTGCCACCTTCACGGGATCTTCTCAGCCTGGTGCCCTCCATGGCCAGACTTACAGATGGCTGCTGGGGTTACGGGCAGGGGAAGTGCTCAGTCAGTCTCACTTATACCCTCCTCCCCGTAACCCACCCCTTTCCTCTTAACTCCCCAGACAAAGGAAGGAACAGCATGGTGTCCACTGAGAGTGCCTCTTCCACCTACGAGGAGCTGGCCCGGGCCTATGAGCATGCCAAGCTGGAGGAGCAGCTGCAGCACGCCAAGTTTGAGATCACCGAGTGCTTCATCTCTGACAGTTCCTCTGACCAGATGACCACAGGCACCAACGAGAACGCCGACAGCATGACATCCATGAGCACACCCTCAGAGCCTGGCATCTGCCGCTTTACCGCCTCACCACCCAAGCCCCAGGATGCGGACCGGGGCAAAAACGTGGCTGTGCCCATCCCTCACCGGGCCAACAAGAGTGAGTGCTCAGACCACCTCCCAGGCAGTGCCCCCCCGCCCCCTGGCCCCAGCCCCATGAGCCCTGGCTAGATCTAGTTCTGCCAGCACCAGGATCATGCCAGCCCAGCTTGGCTCCTTGGCAGTGCAGGGTGGTACCAACAGCAAGGACTTAGGAGCAGGCAGATCAGGGCCCACATCCTGGCTTAACCTCTTCCTATGTCTGTGGCCTTGGGCAAGTCATTTAACCTCTGTGGCCTTAAGTTTCTCATTTGTAAAATGCCAACGATAGTATCTACTTTGCATTGTCATAATGGGCATTAGAAATGATATACATCCCCAGCGTGTTGTAAGGCCTCATTCATTCGGTAGTGAGCATCCCCTTAATCTGAAGCTGTGCCAGGATGGAAACAGATCCCTTCAGGGTCAGCTGCCCAAGGGCCTCTGGTCTCAATGCTGTTTGAATTTAATCCAGACCCAAACAAACAATCCTGGCAGCTCCACCCACCATGGTCATACCTCTCAGTAGGCAGTGACCTGGCCTGGCTGGGAACCATCTGACCCCACGGGCCTGGCCGGAGCATATGCCCTTAGAGGCTGGCAGGGCAGGGCTAGGATCAGCAGGGGGAGTCTATCAGCAGATGCTGGGGTCACAGCGTGCAAAGCCCAGACTATCAAACAATGCAGTCTGGTCTGCTTAGCACTGGCCATGCTAATTGAGGCAGGGGGCGGGGCTTTCTGGGTCATGGAAAGAAGAGCCTGGAACAATGGAAAGACTGTGGAGACTGTGACCCTGAATGACACCCCCACCCCTTTTAGCTGTGCAAATTTAGGCAAATGATTTAATCTCTCTGAACCTCAGTTTCCTCACTTGTAAAGTGCAGACAGGTATTAACCAATCCTAGGGGCTGTCGTGAGGATTCAATAAGAAAATCTAAGGAAAATGCCTGGCCCAGCTCCCCGGGGGAAGAGGCCCATTTGCAGGCAGGGTGCCCATGGAGCACGGGGGGTCAGGCGGTGGAGGTCTTAGAAGCAAGTCACATGGAGGCAGTTTAAGAAATAAGGAACTAGGTTGGGTGCGGCGGCTCATGCCTGTAATCCCAGCACTTTGGGAGGCCAAGGCAGGCGGATCACCTGAGATCAGGAGTTCCAGAGCAGCCTGGCCAACATGGCAAAACCCCATCTCTACTAAAAAAATACAGAAATTAGCTGGGCATGGTGGCACGTGCCTGTAATCCCAGCTACTCGGGAAGCGGAGGTTGCAGTGAGCCGAGATCATGCCACTGCACTCCAGCCTGGATGACAGAGCGAGACTCCGTCTCAAAAAAAAAGAAATTAGGAACTTTCCACCTGGAGAAGAGGGGACCGAGGGGGAGGAGAGGGGACATGTAGCTGACTTCAAACATCTGGAAGGCTGCCATGGGAAAGAGGGGAACGCCTTACTCTGTGAGACCTCAGAGAACAGAACCAGGCTCCATGGTGGGGAGGCGACAGGGAATGATATTCCTTTCCTCCTCAGGGTAAAGAAAAGCTTTCCACCAGCCAGAGCCATTAGGACATCCTCGTCCTTAGCAGTAGTGAGCTCTCCACTACCGGAAGCTGACCAGCCTCTAGTGACCATTGAACAACAAGCATCCATGTACTGGGCAGCTGTTATCTGCACCAGCCACTGTAGCAAAGCACTTTACCTCCCTCACCTCATTCGCTCCTCACAATAATCCTGTGGGGAAGTAAGATCATCCCCACTTCACAGATAAGGAAACGAAGGCTCAGAAGGGCCAAGTACCCGACCTTTCCGCTACTCTTTATTGCCCCCCAGTGGAGGGGCCCCTATGCCAAATCAGAGAGAAGACTGGGGGCAGGGGATGGGGTGGGGGCTGAACGAGCTGCTTCCAGAGGGCTATGACTCTCTGTAACATCCTCTGCCTCTGTGATTCCAGGTGACTACTGCAACCTGCCCCTGTATGCCAAGTCAGAGGCCTTCTTTCGAAAGGCAGATGGACGTGAGCCCTGCCCCGTGGTCCCACCCCGTGAGGCCTCCATCCGGAACCTGGCTCGAACCTACCACACCCAGGCTCGCCACCTGACCCTGGACCCTGCCAGCAAGTCCTTGGGCCTTCCCCACCCAGGGGCCCCCGCTGCCGCCTCCACAGCCACCTTACCTCAGAGGACTCTGGCCATGCCAGCCCCCCCAGCCGGCACAGCCCCCCCAGCCCCCGGCCCCACCCCTGCTGAGCCACCCACCGCCCCCAGCGCTGCCCCTCCGGCCCCCAGCACCGAGCCTCCACGAGCCGGGGGCCCACACACCAAAATGGGGGGCTCCAGGGACTCGCTTCTCGAGATGAGCACATCGGGGGTAGGGAGGTCTCAGAAGCAGGGGGCCGGGGCCTACTCCAAATCCTACACCCTGGTGTAGGGCCCGCAGGAAGAGCAGCCACGCCTGGACCGCGCCGCGCCGCAGCCCCACACGCCAGCTCGGCTGTTTTTCTGCATTATTTATATTCAACTGACAGACAAAAACCAACCAACGACAAAACAAAAACCCCCAATCATGAACGCCTGTACATAGAACTCTTTTGTACAAATGAAACTATTTTCTTCTTCTCCATGAAGCCAGGGCACAAAGAATTTGACAGTACAAGTCAAATCCCCCACCCCACAAAATATGTGTGGAGATATATATACATATATAGACAGACAGGAACGCGTCCACGAGCTATATATCTATATATTTCTCTCACCCTATTTTGAGACAGAGGCACAAAGACTCAGCAATTTTTTTCCCTCCTCCTCACCTTCCCCCCAGTCTAGGTGGTTTTGACAAAGACCAAAATCCCAACTCAGAGACACTGCATGCGATTTTACTGTTCCAAGAAAACCAGGAGTTGCTTCAATTTGCAGATGCTTATGTGTTAATACCTTTTTCTATGAAAAAAGACCCAGCGCCGTGTGCAATAAAGGTTATGTTTCTATGTGGTGGCTTTTTTCCCATCTGGCGAAGGCCAGCGGGGAGGGAGGAGAGAGCCCGACCCCAGGCCGTCTGTCTCTCATAAAGAGACTTTGTGAGAAGCCTGGGCTTTGGCTCAGTGCTCTAAGACTTTTAAAGGCTTGCAATTAGCCAAGGTGCCTCCTCTTCTGTTCTCAGAGCTGTGCTGGGCCCGCAAGGGGAACTAGGTCGGTGGCTTCGTGCAAACTCCTAAACCCCTCTGACCCACAGTGTCCTTACCTGTAAACGGAGGGAAGCTTGTAGCAGATGGAATGAGGCAACCTTGGCTCACCAAGCGCTGGGGAGCCTGGGATAGGGGAGGGGTTGCCTACTGGCTTCTTTCCTCCAAGAGAGTGCAGGGTAGCCAGGGGGCCAGGACTATACAAGACCAATAGCCCACAGTTGTGAAAGAGGTGCCTATCGGGAGCGGGGAAGAAGAGATTATCTATAGCTGGGGCACCAGGCCAAGGCCTAAAGTTCTGGGCTGACTCTTAGGACCAGATGAGGCCAGAGGGAGAAGAAGAGAAGTCGTCGGAGGTGAGAGGAGTGAGAGAAGCTCATGAAGGAGAGGGAATGGAGCTCAGCCAAAGAGAACCAGGTCAGCACATCAGGTACCTCACCTGGCTTCCAAGGAGTCAGCCAAGTGGAAGAAAAGGCGTCCACACGGAGGAGCAGGCAAGGTGCCGTGGGTGTCCAGAGGCCTGGTTTCTGATGAGAGGGTCCAGAGGGCATCACAGGAGGTGACAGGTGAGATGGACCTCCAGGGACTTGAAGGTTTGGAGAGGCAGAAGCAGGTGACTGGCCCCTGGGTGAAAAGGAAGTGCACCTAAGAAGTGCACAGGGGGCTCTTGAGCACTGCAATTGAGGCTGAGCTGTGGATCAGGAACCTGGAAGGAAGGTGAGTCTGGGACCCACCGCTCCCTAGGAGCTGAGAGGAGGAACTGGGAAGGGCTGGAGAAGGAGGGAGGAGTTTGTGCATGCAGGCAGCTGATACCTATCAGCCTGGGCCCCGGTGAGGCCGCACCTGGGATGCATGACCTTTCATAGAAGCATCTTCCGAATAGCAACTCATCCCACAAATTCTCTCTGAGCACCTAGAGTGTGTGGGATGCAGAGGAGTCCCTCGCATGAATAACTAGATTCCCGGGTCGGCACGGTGAGAGGGGAGGGGCAGAGATTCCGTACGCCTCGGTATTCCTAGGCTCATGAAGAAATGCTCATCTCAGCCCCCACACCCAGGACCCAGCCAAGAGAAGCAGCTAACGGCATCAGTTGAAAACCAAAGCTCTGCATTCCAGACACCTGGTGACAGCCCAGCTTCGTTCCATCTCTGGGAGGACGGAACGCCTCCCAAGGACGCGCACGCCATCTGCAGGTCGCCTCCAGAACTGCAGGCACAACGATCAAACCTGAGCTGTCCGCATAGAAGACCCCCAACCCCACCTCCCCTGCACACCAGATATTGGGCAAACAAACACGAATCAGAGCCACCTCCAACCAGCAAGAGGGAATGAAAAACTCCTCAGAGGCTAGAGGCGCAGAAGATAGAAGCAGCCTAAGGGCTCCGAAGGGGAACGCTGTCATGAAAATACATGACGGATCCCGATACTACGTGCCAGGTGCTGCTTGTAACCTCATTGCAGACTTGGGAGAAAGGTATCACGATTACCACGTGACAGGTGAGAAGGTTAGAGGAGCTAGAAGAGATGGGAATGAGATTTAAACTCATGAGCGTCCAATTCCTTAACTACTGAGCCATACTACCTGCTGTTCCACTGTTCAAAGATTAGAGTTTCAGTTCTTCCCCCAGGATGTTGCCAGGGGAAGAGTCCGCCAGGTCCAGGGAGCAAGCTGGACGCATGGGCAGAAAAACAGTTGAGGCAGGTGACCCAATATGCAGCACAGGATGGATCAAGGGCTCCAAAGTACTTTACCCTGGTGAGGGGCGGTGGTAGAAAAGGTGGAATTCAGCTCTGGGGAGCTGTTGGAGGTCTGGGACCTGAGGTGGACTCTGTAGGATGAGAAGGATTTGGAAAGGCAACAGAAAAGTAAGATGTGGGCCAGTCTAGCTTGTATTCCACTGGGCTAGGCCCCTTATTATAAAGCACAAAGTCTAGAAATTCAGGCATACTTGAGCAAAATCCACACGATTTTATTTGCTAATAATCTCTAACTTCAGTACGCTTTGCAGGGTTGTTTGAGACAGCATCTCACTCTGTCACCCAGGCTGGAGTGCAATGGTGTGATCACGGCTCACTGCAGCCTCGACCTTTCTGGCTCAAGTGATCTTCCTGCCTCAGCCCCTTGAGTAGCTGGGACTACAGGCACATGCCACCATGCTCGGCTAATTTTTGTACTTTTTTTTTTCCGTAGAGACAGGGTTTCACCATGTTGCCCAGGCTGGTCTCGAACTCCTGGACTCAAGCAATCCTCCCGCCTCAGCCTCCCAAAGTGCTGGGATTACAGGTGTGAGCCACTGCGCCAGGCCCTTAATATGTTTGTTAGCTAAACCACAAGCCTGCCTGTTTGATCCACACCCAGAAGCTAATTCACAAATCAGTGGCACTCCTGCTCCTCATTCATCCCCAGCTCATCCTCATTGAACTCTATGTATCTGGAACAGTCATCTTACACATTCACTTGCTCCTTTCCAAAACTCCACTTTGTCTACCATGGATAAGATGACCATCTGCCCTTGAGAGCCTTGATACTCTACATGTGGGTCACAGGCCAGTGGCACCAGCACCACCGTCACCTAGGAGCTTGTTGCAAATGCAAAAAAAATACCAGGCCTCACGCCAGAACCACTGAATCAGACTCTGCACTTCAGCAAAATCCCCAGGGGACCCATATGCACATCAACGTTTGAGAAACCCTCCTCTAGAAGACCTTCAGAGAGATTACCCCTTGTTCCCCCATTCTACCAACAACCAGAGCTAGACTAGTGGGTCTCAAACGTAGATGCACATCAGATTCACCTGAGGAGCTCGTTAAACAATACAGAAGCCCAGCTCTCACCAATCCTAACAGAATAGGAATTTGCTGGTATGCGGCCTAGGCTTTTTTTTTTTTTTTTTTTTGAGACAGGGACTTGCCCTGTAGCCCAGGCTGGAGTGCAGTGATGCTATCACGGCTCACTGCAGCCTCAATCTCCCCGACTCAGGTGATCCTCCTTCCTCAGCCTCTCGAGTAACTGGGACTATAGGCACTTGCCACCACACCTGGCTAGTTTTTGTATTTTTAGTAGAGAGGGGGTTTCATCATGTTGCCTAGGCTGGTATTGAACTCCTGAGCTTAAGCAATCGCCCACCTCGGCCTCCCAAAGTGCTGGGATTACAGGCATGAGCCACTGCACCTGACCAACATTTCTATTTTTATGGTGGTAAAAGATACATAAAATTCGCCATTTTAACCATTTTAAAATGTACAATTCAGCAGCATTAAGTATATTCACCTTGTTGTAAATCACTATCCATTTCCAGAACTTTCTCATCATTCCAGAAAGAAACTTTGTACCCATTAATCAATAACTCCCCATCTTCCTCTCTCTCAGCACCTGGCAACCACCATTCTACTTTCTGTCTGTATGAACCTGCCTATTCTGGGTACCTTGTATAAGTGGAATCATACAATATGTGTCCTTTTGGTTCTGGCTTATTTCACTTAGCATCATGTCTTCAAGCTGCATCCATGTTGCAGCATGTGTCAGAATTCCACTCCTGTTTGAGGATATTCCATTATTTACGACATGTTGCTTCTCCATTCATTTCCTCTCCTGGTGGACACGTGGGTTGCTTCTGCCTCTCAGCTATTGTGAATAATGCTGCTATGAACACAGGTGTACAAGGATCTGTTTGAGCCCCTCTTTTCAATTCTTTTGGGAATATAGCCAGGACTGGAACTGCTGAATCACATGCTCATTCTATGTCTTACTTTTTGAGGAACGAACAAACTGTTTTCCCCCAGGCATCTGTATTTTTTGTTTGTTTGTTTGTTTGTTTTTGAGACGGAGTCTCAATCTGTAGCCCAGGCTGGAGTGCAGTGGCACCATCTCGGCTCACTGCAACCTCCACCTCCCGGGTTCAAGCAATTATCCTGCCTCAGCCTCCTGAGTAGCTGGGATTACAGGCATGCGCCACCACACCCAGCTAATTTTTGTATCTTTGGTAGAGACAGGGTTTCACCATGTTGGCCAGGCTGATCTTGAACTCCTGACCTTGTGGCATCTGTATTTTTAACAAGCGAAATGATACCCAAGTATTTGTTCATTCACCAAATACCCAGAAGCACTTCCAATGATCTGGCACTGAGCTGGGCACTGGAGATGCAAAGGCCCTGTGGGTCTCTTCCTGCGCTCAAAGGCTCACTCCCCGGAGTGTGCGCAAACTGGCGGAGGCGGAAGGAGGGAAGCCTGGGTCAGGGAACAGCAGGGAGGGTTTGCTGTCTGCCAAAGCCTCATGATCCTCCACAGTGCACAGTTGTTGCGGGGAAGTCGCTACGCATCCCGTGACTACAGTTCCAGGCCCCCGATTCTCAGAGAAGGCGATGAGACTGAGCTTTGACCAGCGGAATGTGGCATAAGTGATACACGCTACTTTCAGGTCCAGCTCATAAAAACTTCCCTGGCCACCCTCTGCTCTCTCCAACTGTAAGTCAATGCCCAAGGTGAACTTGGAAGCCACTTATTGAAGATGGCAGATCCTCTATCACCCTGGCTTATACATCGATGTAGCGCAGAGGCCCCTCTATCCCCTTCAATGCCAGCTGGACTTTATGTGAGCAAGAAATAAACTTGCAGTAAGCACCGATACTTTGGAGTTTATTTTACAACAATTAGCATCATCTTAATTTATGCAGGAGATGAAGGGGAACTTGGCTCCCCATAGAAATTCTCCCTTGATAGATCAGGCCCAGGGCATCCTCCCCCGCACCGCCTGCCATACCATGTCACCCACCATACCATGTCACCTCCTCTTACCCTACATATTGGATTCCTATACAGGTAAAGGGTGGGAAAGGCAAAGGGAGACGCTGGTGAGCTTAGAGAGGAGGAGGGCATCTGTGTGTCTGTAGGAGAAGGGTGGGAGAACCAGGCTGAGCATGAACCCTGAGTCAGGGCTCTGTCCTTCCTCCCAGAATCCATGTCCTCTTCTGGGCAATGACAACAATACTCTAGGCCGAAGGAGGAATAGATGCCAGCTGGATTACCCTGGAGGTGATCCATACTTGGTTTTAGTGTCTCTAAGAATCGCACAATCTCAGGACTCAAAGAGACCTTCAACGCCACCTGGTCCACGCTTCCACCCAAATTGGGAATTCCATCTGCAATCAGCAAGAGTGGTCTGGCCTTCCCGTGCACACCTCCTGATGGAGAACTCATCACTTCCCCAGCCAGCACATCTCACCTGTGACAGCTCTAACAGCAAAACCTCCCTCACACTAAGCTTGGGTGGCCCCTCCAACTTCTACTCACAAGGCTCGGTACTGCCACTCCTGGGGGGCACCACAAAACAAGTCTCATCCCTTCCCAACTCAGAAGCCCTCCACAGATGGTATTTGAACATCGTCCTCAGCAGACAGGCTCCCCAAGGGCAGAGAAGGGTTCCACTGTCTCTTCCAGAGAAGGGACAGTGCCTGACTTAATAGGAGCACAACATATGTTAGACATAGATGAACAAAGGGTAAACAGTGGGAGAAACGGGCAAGGAGTAGACCAGTGAAGGCCGAGATCTCCTGAAACATTGGTTCTCTCCGCATAGTGTCCCCAAGTTACAAGAAAACAACACAACAGAATACCATCATGCCTGCTGCCGTTTGCTGAGAGTCTACTTGAGTCAAGCACCCTGATAACCACTTAGCACGGATACTCTCCTAGTTTTACCACTACCCTGTAAAAAAGAGTAACTCCTATAAGCACAAAACCCAAGTGGTGGTGTCTCAGGGCCGTAGTGCCAGTCAAAGAACCTCAATCCACTCAGCCACCAAAACGAAAGTTTTAAATAACTCAAGTTATCTGCTTTTGTTTTTGTGATCCTGAAGGGGTCCGAAGAGCAGATGTAAGTGACACCCGCTGACACCCTACGGAGCCTGTGCCTCCCACATCCCCCCACACACTGCCTGCTCTTCTCCAGCCCTGCTCAGCTCCGCCCTCCTCTCCTCTGGGGAATGTTCTCTCACATTCATTTCCCCCCATTTTCCATTAGGAAACAGCAACAGTTGGGCATAGGGGAGGCAGAGGAGGTGGGAGAAACCGCAGGCAAGGCAGGCCTCCTCTTTGGTGATTCGTGGGAAGGATCTATGGATGGGAAATTAATGTGTTTGTAATTTCTGCCCTGAAGATGTGTGATCTCCATTTTATTGGCTAAGAAAGAAGTCAAAGAGGTCAGGTGACTTGTACAAGGCCACTCAGCCGGCAAGAGGCATCAGCCAGGGTTTGAATTCCAAAGCCGGTGCTCACCAAACCACTTCGGATCCTTTCCAGAAAGCCAGGCGGCCCCCAGAAGGCGCCATGTGTAGAGTTCCTACTATGTGGCGGGCACTGCGATGGAAACGCAGGGGCTGCGGAGTCAATCCTGCTGCTCCCTTGCCAGCTCTGTGACCTCGGGAAAGCACCTTCGCCCTCATGGGCCTCAATTTCCGCTTCTATGAAATGCGAGAATAACTCCCATGCTGCCAGGTTGATAAGACTGAAAGGAAATAATGAGGTTAAAAAGCTTTTAACTATGAAATGGGGATTAGACAAGATACAAACCAGCAGACCAGAGGGTCAGATTCCAGAGAAGCCAGGATTTGCCTCATCTGCCCAGGTTTTGTTGTTGCTGTTGTTGTTTCTTCTTTTCTTTCTTTCTTTTTTTTTTTTTTTTTGGTCAGGGTTTTGCTGTTGCCCAGGCTGGAGTACAGTGGCGCAATCATGGTGCGCTCAACCTGGAATTCCCGGCCTCAAGCGATCCTCCCACCTCAGCCTCCCGAGTTGCTGGGACTACAGGCGAGGAACACCATGCCCAGCTTTTGTTTGTTTGTTTGTTTTCCTGCCCAGATTTGTGTCCAGGGAAGCAGGTGGGATATGAAGGTCCCTTGCTGCCCTAGAGAACCTACTGAAGCTCACCAAGAGGATTCACAGCCTGTGCAGAAAGGGAAGCTCTGAAGGCCTCTGATGTCCTCAAATTCACTGTCATCAGTCCCAACCAGGAGCTAGCACTGGGCCCCCAACTCCTGGGAGTCACCAGAAAGGGTGGACGGCGCAGTAAAATGCCACCCCATCCATGCTGGGCCAATGCCTCACCTCCCCCAGGAGGCATCACCCAGATGGTGAGCTCTGCCCTAAGACGTCCTGCCTCTGTGGGTGCCATTCTTTCTCTCTTGAGCTCCACCCTTCCTGGGCCCAGTGGAGGTGGATGGCACCATTCCAGGCATGGCCCTGCGTGTCCCCAGCTGAGCCCCGCCAGGGCCTTTGTGACAAGTGGCATCTCCAGTACGCGCTGACTGGACACATCCGGGCTCAGCACCCGGGCAGCCACCACCAGCCACCACTGCGGCCAGCCGCCTCAGACCAATGCCCCGCACGAAAGCCAGGCCTCCAGCCACCATGGGGCTCTGTCGGCAACACCAAGGGAGAGGGGACTTGGCAGGTCCTGCAAGCTTAGACTACAAGTCTCCCATCCCCACCCTCCCCCAGGCATTTCTACAGTGTCTGACTCTGCCTGACACCCTGGGTCCTGCCCACCTCAGCCTCCTTCCCCAGGAGGCACAGGTCCCACGCCTGCCAGGCTCTGACACCCCTCCATGGGGATTCAGAGACTAGAGGAGTGCACGGTGGATTTTGGGGCACCAGGGGTGTCACCGCAGCCCAGCCCAGACTCCAAGGAACCGCCTGGGTCAGATCGCCCTTGAGCCAAGCAGGGATTCCTTTTAGGAGTTAGGGCCGTTGTAGGGCTTCAGGGTGTCCCTGGGCAGAGCTTAAGAAAAGGGTAGGGTCTGCAATGCCAGGGAGTGGGAGGGAATTCATCACGGGCCTTGGGTGCAGGAATACCTACTGCTTAGGGAGGTCTCCTGTGTGCTTGGCACTTCCCAGGCGCTGGGGGCATGGGGTGAGGAGAACAGGCAGCCCAGCAGATGTTCCAGGGTGCATGGAATGAGCTCATTCTCAGATGAAGACACCGACGCTGAGTCGCTGGACAGTCACTTGTCCAGAGCACAGAGGTGGTCAATGGCAGAGCCACAGATCTGTCTGACTGCTCCCAGGAGGAGGTTTCTGAGGAGGGGAGCACCCGGGCACTACCCTTACCATCTTCTCTTTGTAGCTACAACAGAGTGGATGCTGTTGTGGCCCCAGGGCCTGCCAACTTTCTCCAAGAGGAAATGGGGCTGAGGATGAGACAACAGCTATTTATTTGAAGGCACCACCGCTGTCTTGCCTTTAGTCAGACTCTGCCGGCCTCTGAAGCCGAAGAGAGCACGTAGGAGGAGGAGAAAGGGTAGGTAGAGCAGAAGGCCTTCCCTGGGGAGACCTTCCCTCTTCACACAAAGAAAGAGGCTGCCCCGGACCTCCTTCTCAGCCCCCAACCTCGCCCTCCAATCCCTGTGCCGGGAGGGAGGGCGCATACTCATGAGGGTGTGCAGTGTCCACACAAGTGCCTACGTGAACAACTGCACTACAGGCCATTGGTTTGCACTCTCATTCTGCAACCTAATAGCTTAACCTTCCAAGGCTCTCTCGCTTTCTTTTTTCATCTTGTAAAATGGAGATCATTGTCTACCTCATAAGATTGCTATGAGGATCTTTGAGAGCTGTAGATAGGTAAAGGCCTTTGCACTGGCTGGTAGTAAGCAAACAGAGGCTACTTTATTAGTAAGAGGCCCTGTGAGAATCCAAATGTGCATGCACTACACTTTAACCCCTGCATGTGCATACACTCATGTATGTTCATAAGGGGGACAAGCAGCGGACGGGAGAGGGTTCTGTGACCCTATTTCATTCTATCATGTGGAAGAAGTAAAGGGACATTTTTTTCTGTGTGAGTCCACAGCAGAACTGTAAGAGAAGACTCCCCCTCAGCCAGTTCAGAACTGCTCAACAGCAGGACTGGCTACCTCAGGGGTGATGAGCACCTTGTCCTTGGAGGCATTCAAGCAGAGGTTCAACAAACACTTGCATTTCCACAACACTCTGTAGTTTACAAGGTGCTTCACCCAAAGTACTTGTCCTAGGTTATTTCATTCACCCTGTGTGTGTGTGGTATCTTCTGCTCCATTATACAAATAAGGAAACTGAGGCTTAGGCAGAGGATCATTTCCCAAAGATACTCCACTAGTGCCTGGGCGTCAGAATTTGAGCCCAGGTCTTTTGGAGGCATGAGATAGAGCCTTGAAGCCAGCCTAACATAATAGGTAATCCAAGAGAGTCCCAGCTCCATTCCCTACCTTTGCCCCTTTCCAGGCCTAGTGCCTAAGCTGCCCCAGCAGTGGCCCTACAGGGGGACGGGTCACTAGGAGAGCGGTGGAGCCTATTTTCTCAGTCTCCAAGGTCCATGCAGCGGGTAGGCGTCGGCTCCTCGTGGGGAACCCCAGGAGACCGTCCTGTACTCCAACCTAGGGCACCGTCTCAAGCCTGACAGGCTCTGTTCTGCCTCCTGCCTGCTGGCCCCAGGTCCTAAACTTTCCACTTCCCTCTCTCTCTCCCTCTCACATACAACTGGCCATGAAGAGGAACACAATCCCCCAGCAAGCGTTTTCTTTGCCACCTGTCTTGTCCTCTGTGTCCAAGACTTTTGCGGTTACTCATGGGAAGTCACACAGGTTGCAGTCTCCGTCATGGTTCCCGACTTCCCTGGCCAGGGCAACGGCAATACCAACAGCTCACATTTATTGAGGCCTTACTATGTGCCGAACACTGTTCTAAGGACTTCTTGCATCCTCACAACCTCTTTATAAAGGATAATGTGGAAATCCTTGTTCGATTCATAGCCTCCCTGCTTTTAACCCTGAGAGTGAGACTCACCCAACTGTCCCTCTGCTTCTTACCTCCCAAGAACGGGTATCCTTCTCTTCAGCAGGGGCAATCGGAAATGTCTCCAATGCCCTCTGCTCTACCCCACAGAGCAAAAGCCATGAGGCAGACTGACGTCTCCTATCCTAGAATTTTTAAAACTAGGAGAGCACTACCTGCACCCCATCCTGCCCGAGCCGGGAGAGGAACTGTGCTTCCTGGAGATGGAGGCAGCCCCTCCCAGGCGTGCTGCCCACCCACAAACCATTTCATCACAGACCAAAGGGCCCTCCCTGTAGAGTTAGAAGGCTGCTGGAGAGAGAGTAAGGTTTCCAGGGTGGGGGCTATGGCTGAGCTGACTTAATGAAACAGCAGCTGTCTCTCACCTCCAGATCAATCATCCCAATGATCCAGATCCAGTCCCCCTATCTGATCAGAGGTCAGGGCCAGGGGGAAACAACTGACATATGGATTTGGATGAAAGTGATATGGGTCTTTCAAGAAAAAACAAAAGGGAGAGGACATTAACCAGCTGATTTGACCCAACCAAGGAAGATGGGAGGCAATCCTTCCTTCAGGGCCATCTTGTCCTAACCCTCGCCTCCAAACTGGGGTCATGGGTCCATCCCAAAGGTTATGTGCAGGAGCCTGTTCTATTGTTATGCTCTCAGGCACCAGCACCTCCACAGACACTATGCAACCCATCACCTTTTGCTCTATTTCAAGGAGCGCTGGGATCCCAACCCAAGCCTGAGGGTCACAGAGAGCATGGCTGGGAGCCTCTCAACAGTCACACTAGCCTCAGAGACCCTGGAAAGGGAGAGAAGAAACTATTGAACTCTCCAGGGAGTGTGCCTTCATAGGGCCCCATAGGGAAGGGGGATCAGGACTTTGAGGGCTGCTGGGCAAGGAGACTCCTACACCCTCTCTAGAAGAAATGCTACTACATCTTCTAAAAGCACTGACAACAATCAGGGTGATAAGTTTGATGGGGACAGTGTAATATGACCCCAAAACCAAGAGCTGGGGTTCTACTCAATGTAAGACATGGACTTTCTAACCCACAATGGAGCTAAGCGTGCTATGGGGTGTGTGCGTGTGTGTTCGCCTGTGGCCATTTCCTCTCCTCCCACCTGATAAAAAATGTTGGCAGATTCTAAATTACAAAGACTCATATTTACAAACGTCTGCCGTCTCCTCAACCCTACTGTGATGTGAGGAGTGCTTATCACTGCAGGGCACCAGCACCTCTCTCCTTCTTTCAGGGTAGCTGTGATATGTCTCAAATAAATTAAGCCTCCCATTTCATTTATTTTCTTTCTTTTCTTTTCTTTTTTGGAGAGACAGTCTCACTCTGTCGCCCAGGCTGGAGTGCAGTGGCGCAATCTCGGCTCACTGTTACCTCCGCCTCCCAGGTTCAAGCGATTCTCCTGCCTCAGCCTCCTGAGTAGCTGGGACTACAGGTGTGTGTCACCACGCCCAGCTAATTTTTGTATTTTTAGTAGAGACAGGGTTTCACCATGTTGACCAGGATGGTCTCGATCTCAATCCACCCATCTCGGCCTCCCAAAGTGCTGGGATTACAGGTGTGAGCCACCTTGCCCGGCCAAGGCTCCCACTTCAATGGACTCATTTACTAGAAACAAACTAGGTCTTTGATAATGTGTGTGCTGGCCCGTGTGAACCACCAGCTTCTTGGAAGGGGAAAATAAGAGTGCCTTGTTTTCAAACCAAAAAGAACTAGAAAAGAAGGGAAGGCCTGTCTTCCTCTGGCTGTGGTAGTCCATCATGGAAAAGAGCGTTACACTGCCCTTCCCTTGGGGTGCTGTGTGACATACCTGCTGGAGAGGGCACATGTCACAGGAGGGCAGGCAGGGGAAGCAGGCAGGAGATGCAAGAGGAAAGGAGAAAGAAGGGGACTTTCCAATTCATCAGGACATGGCTGATAGCAGGAACTCCATTTTTTAACCATCACTTCCCCACCTCCCCCAGAAAAGCTGGTGGTGGGATAAGCAATCCCCTCTCAGCACACCTCCCCACCAGAGCCTTGTCTTGGCCCTCCAGCAGCCCTCTGGATGAGGCCAACTCCCCACCCAAGGTAGACCCCTCAGAGTTGCTGAAGCAGAGGCCGCTACCCTGCTTCATTCCCAGAGTGTGGGTTCAGGCTTAGAGCTTGTGACCAGGGAAGACACAGGAACGGAAAGGACTTGTTCAGGTGACAGCTTGTAGGTGGCAGAGTCAAAAGTAAACCCAGGACGGAGGCCAAGATTATTTCCCTACACCTCATACTGCTATTTTGTGTGGGAGTTTACTGGAGGGGCAGGGAGGCGGGAGGGGTCAGTGGCGGGCGCCTATCATCTTTCCCAGCATTGTTCCCTTAAGAAAACCGTCAATCAACCACTCACGACAGAGCTTGGGGCAATCGTCCCATCCTACATTAGGAGTGACCCATACTCCACCAGTAATAGGGAAGAGAATCATAAGTGTCCCTTCTTTTTATTTGCATAAAATCTCCAGAAAGAACTGGTAGTATTTTTTACCTTCAATGGGGAGCACTAGATAACTCATGGAGTGACTTTTGTACCATTTGAATATCGAGTCATGTGAACATATAGTCTACTAAGAATATCCTTTAAAAAAAAAAACTATTTTCTGAAGCCCCAGGCCAGGAAGTTAGGACACTGGTTCTATTCCCACCTCTGCCACTGTGGCTGCAACTTGGGGCACCTCATGTAGCCTCTCTAGGCCGTCTCCTCTACTGCAAAACCTGAAGTAATCCATAAGGCCCCACTATGGACCCCAATTCCTATGATGAAACCCAATCCCCAGTGTGATGATATGAGGAGGCGGGGCCTTTGGGGAGGCAATTCGGATGTGAAGGCGCAGCCCTCATGACTGGGATTAGTGCCCTCAGAAGGGGCTGAAGGAGCCAAGAGTCCTACACTTCTACTAGGTGAGGACGCAGAAGGTGCCCTCTAGGAACCAGAAACCACTCACCATACACCGAATTTGTCAACACCTTGATCTTGGATTTTCAGCCTCCAAAACTGTGAGAAATAAATTGTTGTTGTTTAAAAGCTACCTGGTTGATGGTATTTTGTCACAGCAGTCCAAACGGACTCAATGGCTCCTTTCAGCTCCAAACGTCTATGATTCTAGTCTCCCCAGCTAGATGCTAAAACCCATGAAGAGGAGGGATGGGACAATTTTGGAATCTTCTGAAAAAGTCCCTTTGTAAACCCTAACCCAAGAAGGTTTTCCGCCAGCTAGAAGCTATCCCCTTCCTGCAACCCAGGTCTTCAGACCAAGCTGGACAGGACTGTTCTGTGTGCCAGGAGGAGGATAGGAGATGCTAACACAGCAGAGCCTGGTTCACAGATCTTGACTTTCAGAGATCTGGGTTCAAACACTGGGTCATTCGCTGTATGACATTGGGCTATAGTGATTTCACCTCTCTGAGCCTAAGTGACCTCATGGATGAAATAAGAACACTAACATCATAAGATTAAGATTATAAACAATAACATATGAAAAGCACCTGGCACAAAGAAAGCACTCAACAAATGTTAGCTTGCTTCTCCTTCCCTCCCTTCTTTCCTTTCTTCCTTCCCCCCAGAAAGTGGCTAGGACACAGAACTGGGTTATTTTGCATGCTTTGTCCTTAGGCTGGTTTTCTTACACAAATCCATGTCATGTGGCCATCTTGGTTTGCTCTCCTAGAAATTCTGTTGCTACAAATCCAAGACTGTATTTAGGCTGTTCACACCGCTGGAGCAGAAAAACCCAGCTAACTGCCAGCTTAGGGACTTTGGGGGACTCATCTTGCATTTGTCTGCATGGGGAAAACACCAATCAGCCTTTGGGAAATGGCACCATGGGTCTCCGGCTGGTAGGAGGGAGAGCTGTGAAGGAGCAAAGGGAGAGATGGCGAATTCAGCACTTCCCAAGGACTGGTAGTAGGGAAGACGGCGCTCTGGGGGTGCAGGGATGGAGTGTGGGGACACTGCACATGTAGGGAGCTCAGCTACTTTACTGGGGACCCCAGGCATGTAAAGGTTCTCTAAGCCTTGGTTTCCTCGTCCATAAAAACAGAGGAGAAAATATCTACATCAATATCTACATTGTTGCGATGATTAAATCAGATACTACATAGGGCAGTGTTCTATGAATATTCATTTTTCCTTCCTCCCTTCTCAGGAAGGAGGCAAAGGCCTCCCAAAAGAAGGAGACACATTTACATGACTGCCTTGTAGAAAATGGACCTGCAGAGATTTAAATGATGCAGAAAATACCCAGGATTATCACTAGAGTTGGTGCACCACATAAGCTATTCCCAAAGCACACATGATGAAACGGAGTTTTCTATGTAGTGGGCTGATGCTTAAAAGGCATCTGAGGAGATCAACAGCCAGTTGGATCTTAGTTTCTTATTCCATGACCACGAAATGAGTTGGAGGACGGAAGGAGTTAATTTGTGTGTCAGAGAAGCAAGGGCAACCCCACAGCTTGCAAAAAAAAAAACAAAAATAAGTGCATTTTATTTAAACAACGGAACAAACATCAGAGAGCATCCCCTGCAAAGCCCCCACCCCAGAGCCTGCTGATGGAAGCGGGGCTGCAGGACGCTCTGCCACAACGGCAGCATCTCCAACTGCACAAAGACCCCTTGCTGCCAGGGCCGGGCACCGGCCTAGCTCCTTGCCTGCCTGCCTGAGGCAGCCGTGGAATCAGGGCAGGGGTGGCACAGGTAGAAAAGACAGATGGAAACAATGCCCATGAATATACCCAAAGTGTCCCAGGAGGATAAAAGCCATCATGAGGACCAGAAGCCAACCCAGTCTTTTTTTGGCCTCCTGGAGAAGTTGTTTTTGAGACCTGAGACTCCAGCTGAAATGGCTCCCTGAGGAGCCCCAGGGAGCAGGAGGGGTGTTCTGAGGACAGCCCCTGAGGAAAACACAGTGCCTGCAGAGGGACAGCCCCCAGCACCCTCCGGCAGGGCTCTGGACAGCTAAGCCCAGTCCTGAGAGGGTCAAAAAGAGAGATGGAATGCTCAAGAAAAGAGGCATTTAAAAATTAAGAGAAGAAAGACAAAAAAGAAAGGGTCTGATCTGAGGCTGAGGTATTGGAGATAGATGTGGGCCCAGAGAAATCGGGTCCCAGGGTACACACATGCTGGGGGTCTTTGTCCTGATGAATTAAGAACCATACACACAACCTCCTTGGGAGCCCCGAGCAGTGCGCTGCAGGGCCAAGGAAACAACCAGCTCCAAAGGGACTCCCTGAGCCTCCGAAGGCAGCTCCTCTAACGCCTCCCTTCCTCCCAAAGGGCTCCCGGCCCTGATACCCCGCAGCCACCGCACGCCATCAGCTTGCCATGTCAATGACAAGAGCTCGTACGAGTCCACACATTTTAGCCTGAGATAGGTTATATAGTCACAGAATGTGTGGCTTTACTGTTCCACTCAACCCCCTGGTCCCTGGTGGCTCCTGCAAGTCAAAGGGGGAAGGAGGGTGCTTTCTCAGATGGAAGAAGGCAGGCAGCTCCTCAGGCACTTGGTCTGGGTGGAGGAGAGGCTGGGCTGCCCCAAGCCCCTGCTCAGGGCCTCAGAAGCGATACACCTTCACTCTGTTGTGCTCATCAAGGCCCAGCTGCAGGAGGCTCAAAGTAGCTTTTGGCTTGGGTGTTGACGAGAAGAGAGGTCTGGCCACAAGGTGAAGGAAAACTGCAGTCGCTGGGCATAGCCAGGCAGGGGCCATGAAAGGGTCAAAGGCTGAACAGGATCCTCCTCAGCCCCTCAGGGCACAAGCACAGTCCCCACAGCCCAGCCCAGTTTGGGAACCAGGTAAAAGGATACAACCTGGGGTCATTCTTGACACGTTCCAGCCACCTCCGGTTGGCCTCAATTATGCCCTGAAAGGTGGTGCTGCCCGCCTCAGGGACTTGCGAATGGGAGTGCTGTAGGAGCCGGAGCTGCTCACTGGGAAGGAAGAGGAGAGCATGGCGAGGGGAGAGAGGAGGCGCGGAAGTGACAGAGGATGCACAGAGGCCATCACATCTGTCACCTCCTCCCTCTTTCTCTCAGCTACCAGAGCAGCTTCTCCGAGGTCCCTAGCAATTCAAAGCTTCAAAACATCTGCCCCTCCAGAACAGTTCCCAAACGGGAAAGTGGTGGAGGCCCTCTGCCCCCTTGCTGGGTGCTACTGATACAAGGCTCTGGGCTCCCACATCCGCCTGCTCCCGCCAATCTCATCAGCAAAGCGCTCCCCTCTGTCAACTCAATCCTTGGCCAGCATCAGCTCTCAAGTTGGCCAAAGGGTTAGTGGGGGGTACTCACTGTTAGCTGCCTAAGGGAGGGAGAGGGGAAAACATTTGGCAAGGAATGAGATGAATGGAAAATTAATAACAGGTTTAAATAATTGCCCGTCTGTCTCCTCCACAGGGTGTCCCTCTCACTCCAGATGTTGCTCAGCAGGACTGGGGGAATAAGGGAGCCACAGGAAGCAAACAAGAGCTCAAGGGCAAAGACAAAGGCCAGACTCCGGGGCTGGAGGGGCTAGAGGGAGGGGCGGGGGCAGGGTCCCACCAGGGGCTGACTCCTCCCCACAGGGGCCAGAGGGCAGCTTCCTCAGGGGGTTGGCAGGGTAAGCCCAGCCCTTCCCCACTGGGACCTTGGCGGTGTGAACTTGACTTTCCCCTGGTCATGGAGGGGCGCCTCAGACCCAGGCAAGCGGGGACAGCTCTGTGGACTAGAGGCCTGCCTGATTTCTTGGGGTAAGACCAGGAGGTCTGCTCCCCTCAGAGGTCCACCTGCCCAGGGAGGCACAGTGAGCAGCTCGACTATGACGTTCCACCCCAACCAGCCCCCAGGGAGGCTCACCTGGCAGACATGTAACCCAGCCTGCTCTCCAGCGGGGTGGGGCTGTTGCTGAGCAGCGGGATGCCAGCTGGAAGAGCATGGGGACAGGACTCAGAAATGGGCAGTGGTCACCACCCTGCCCACCAGCACCTCTTGCCTCCCCAGAATAAACAATAAAAGGAAAAGCTTCAGTGGCTGGAGGCCAGAGACAGGTGAGAGACAGGAATGGTCCTATTTATTTTATTTTTAAAACTTAATCTACTTTTCAATTTGGGTTAGGGCAAAAAGAAGATATTTTGTTTCCCCTCAAATGCCTTGTTTTATGGCTTTTCATAATCCTCAGCAGGGCTGAGACCTGGGGAGGCCACCTGGCTCAGAAGCAAGAATTAGCCACACAGCCAAGAGGTTCCAAGCAGAATCCTGGAGTCACAGAGACATGGGGTCACAACTGAGTTTGTTACTCACTCACTGGGTACCCTGGAGCATACTACTTAAACTCTCTGAAACTCAGTTTCCTCATCTGTAAAATGGGGATAAATAATTACTACCTCAGAGAATTAAGAACTAAATGAAAAAATATATATAAACTGCTTGGCCCATCATGTATTGCACAAGATGGTAGCTATTAAGATAATGACGACAATGACCTTTTAGGTTCTACTGAGCTCCAGAATCCACAATAAAGGCCCCAGTCAGCCAGGCTCCATCTAAACCGTCCCAACCCATAGAACTCCTGGCTGCAGGGCCACCTGCAATGTCTCCTTCCCCAGGGACCCACAGGTAGAGTCAATGGACCAATGGACTATGGTAACGTTGGGGGAGGAGAGGTGTGGCAAAGGGATGCAAAAGAGGAAGAGGAGAAAAGGAGCAGGAGAAAGAGGGTAGAAGAAAAGGAAGGAAGAGGAGGAGGAGGAGGCAGGTGGGAAGGCTCCGCCCAGAGTGGGGCTTACATGGAAAATACTTGCGCCACTTCTCCAACAGGAAGTCGTCCACCGTTTGAGCCACAGAGGAGGGGAGCCTGGGCCCCTGCCCTGAATCCCAGGCCCATTGGGTGGACGTGGGTGTAGCAGATGATAAGGCTGAGAACCTGGCCAGGGAGCCATAGTAGGTGGGGGTGGGGGTGCTCTTAGGGTCCCGGGGAGGGAGCTGGGCTGGCATGGAGGCGAGGAGCGGCGGCGGCGACTGAGGGTTGAGGCTGTCCAGGATGCTGAGGACACTGCTCAGCTGGCTGCTGATCTGCCGGAGGGAGTGGCTAAGCCCGTGGATCTTGCGGGAGGTGAGACTCGGGGTTGAGTCGACTGAAAGAAAAGAGGTGGATGGTGGGAAGGGACTCAAGCTCAGGACCCTGGACCATTCCCAGACACAGCTGTCATGGAGGACCCTACTGGCCACCCCTCCCTGCTTCTCCAGACAACAGCCCCTCAACCTTATGAGGGGGTCAGGGATGGCAGGGCTTCTGTGTTCCAGACAGTGCAAGTGAGAAGCTGGCCATGAGAAACAGGTTTCCAGGGCAAGGTGCTGGGTGAAGGGCCCAGGACCCCAGAGAGAAGGAAGGGGAGAGGGCCCTTCTGTCACATACAGGCCAGGGCAGCTGAGAGAGAAAAGCCTCCTCAAGGAGGCCCTGGAAGAGAAGAGGCCAGCAAGGCCAGTGGTCACACCGTAGAGTGCTCTGCAGCATTCAGAGGGCTTCCCTGACCTTTCAGCCCCACGTGCTGGCAAACCTAGATGGTGTGATTCCTTCCCAGCACTGACCGAGCACCTAGTCCAGACACCGGCTCACAGAGGCCTCCCTCTGCAGGGCTGAGGGAAGAGAGCTCTTCTTCTATTCCCCAAGTTCCTCCCATTCCATGGATACCATGGTCCTCACCCCGCATCTCCCCCACTCACTCCTCTGCTGCCGCCACCACTCACGGTGAGGCGGGGAAAAAGATTCAGAACTTTCACTGCTCAGGCTGTCCATGTCACTGAGGTCGAAGGTTACTGCCTTCTTGGTGGGGGATCCTCCCAGAGTGCCCTCATCTGAGGCCTGTGGGGTAAAGTCAGCAGTTATGACCCACCTCTCCCACGTGCTTTCTACCCTTCCTTTTTCCTTCCTAGGAAGTGGCTGGGACACTGAGCTAGGTTCTTCTTTATGTTTTGTCTTTAAGCTGGTTTTCTTACGCAAATCCATGAAATATGGCCATCTCCATTTGTTCTCCTAGCAATTTTGTTGCTACAAATTCAAGGTGGTATGTAGGCTGTCGCCCTTGTGATGTGTGGGAACTGAGGACTTGGTGAGTAGACTCCTCTGGGGCCCAGAGTTCCACCAGGTACCCTGGGCGAAGCAAATCACACAGGCTGCCTCACAGCAGGGTGGGAGGGAGGCAAGGCTCAGCATATGTCCCAAATGCCTGAGACAGAGACAACAGTGCCATCAGGTCCACACAGACCCCCACCACCCTTCCCAGTAAGCTCTCCCTGCAGTGTTACTCCACCTAAGCCTCCCCCGCTACACCTAAGCCTCAGACATCTAGGAGAAAGTCCACAAGGTCCCAAGGCAGGTAGGAAAATCTATCATGTGTGTCCATTCCTGACACCCTGGTCACACCTGTCCTTAGGGACCAGGGCAGGGTAAAGGCTTGGCCCTCTTCTCAGGCACCTTTAGCAAGAGGTTCCAGGTATATTCCGGACCATTCAGCACAGGTATCCAAACCCACAGGTGTCTTCAACAAACTCAGAATTGAAGCCACTGCCACCTTCATCAGCCAGTAGACAAGCCTACTGCCCAATCCTGGGCCCTAGAGGCCCAACTCCCCCGGATGCAGGACCAAAGAACTCAACCCAATCCCAAGAACAGAAGAGGAAGGCCAGGGCCCACTGGACTATGTGGACATGGGGCTGCACCTCTTCCCAAAGAGAGGACTCCAACTGATTCAGCTTCTCCTCTTTCTTCTTCAGCAGGTTGTGGCCTTTCCGCATGGCCGACTTCATCTCATCCAGGTGCCTGGTCTCCTGCAGCCAAGGAGAAAACAGAGGAGAAATGACTACCCACACAGACGCTGGAGTCCCAACCCTGCCATTTGCTGACTGGGTGATCTTGAACAAATTACTATAGTCTGCTTTCTCATCTGGAACAGAGAACTATGACTTTTCACAGGGTCGTAAGAATTACAAGAGAAAGAGTATGTTACTATGTTACATGCTTAACACCATGCCTACACCTTAAAAACTCTCAGATGGTTACTGTTAACCAAATGGTTATTATTTATTATGATTATTGTTTTTAGAGATGAGGTCTCACCATCACCCAGGCTGGAGTGCAGTGGCCTGATTACAACTCATTGTAGCCTCAACTTCCTGGGCTCAGGCAATCCTCCCACCTCAGCCTCCCAAGTAGCTGGTACTACAGATGTGTGCCACCACACCTGGCTTTTTTTTTTCTTTTTTCTTTTTCTCTTTTTTTTTTTTTTTTTTTTTTTGTAGAGACAGAGTTTTGCAATGTTGGCCAGGCTGGTCTCAAAATCAAGTGATCCTCCAGCCTCAGCCTCCCAAAGCACTGGGATTACAGGCATGAGCCACCACATCAGCCGCAAATGGTTATTATTATCACTGCTCCAATTATGATTACTCTCATCACCACCACCACCATGGTTGAGAGGGGTTAAGCAGAGCAATGACAGGGTCGTGGGCAGCATGTATATAACCCTGGGAAGCTGCCCCTCTGTCTGTTCCAGCCCCTTGCTCTCTGCTGACCCCAAGCCAGTCCTAGGGGCCATCGGGGCCTGAGCCCCTTACCAGTTCTGAACACCATCAGAAACACCATTTCTTTTCTCTTTTTTTGAAATAGAGTCTCGCTCTGTCACCCATGCTGGAGTCCAGTGGTGCGATCTCGGCTCACTGCAACCTCCACCTCCTCCTGGGTTCAAGCAATTCTCCTGCCTCAGCCTCCTGGGTAGCTGGGATTACAGGCGTGCACCACCACACCCAGCTAATTTTTTAATTTTTAGTAGAGACGGGGTTTCACCATGTTGGTCAGTCTGGTCTTGAACTCCTGACCTCGTGATCCACCCGCCCCGGCCTCCCAAAGTGCTGGCATTACAGGCATGAACCACTGCGCCTGGCTGAGCACCATCAGATTTCTAAGGGCCCAGGTGATCCAAGAGAGCTCACCCTGCCAGGACCCTCAACTGGTCAAAGATCTGTGATCCCAACTAATAATAATGAAGTATCTGCCTTTTCATTGCAAATTAGGCTATCAGAGAAGCAGGGTGGGTAAGTAACTCAAAGCCTTTTGCTAAGTGTGTTCAAAAGACTTTCATGTACGAACAAAGTCTTTAGTGTGACAGAATGGAAAGGCAAAGCACTGGGTTTGAAAGGTTTGAAAGTACTAAACATTAGTCGTACTCTTCACCAGGAAAATGGGACTATTACTACTGCCTTGCACATTATAAATGGTTATTGATATAGTTTGGCTCTGTGTCTCCACACAAATCTCATCTTGAACTGTACTCCCACAATTCCCATGTGTTGTGGGAGGGACCTGAAGGGAAATAATCTGAATCATGAGGGCCATTTCCCCCATACTGTTCTTGTGATAGTGAATAAGTCTCACGAGATCTGATGGGCTTATCAGGGGTTTCTGCTTTTGCTTCTTCCTCATTTTTACTTGCCACCACCATGTGAGAAGTGCCTTTTGCCTCCCGCCATGATTCTGAGGCTTCCCCAGAATCATTTCCCCAGTGGAACTGTAAGTTCAATTAAACCTCTTTTTCTTCCCAGTTTTAGGTACGTCTTTATCCACAGCATGAAAACAGACTAATACAGTAAGTTGGTACCAGGAGTGGGGTGTTGCTGAAAAGATACCCAAAAATGTGGAAGCAACTTTGGAAATGGGTAACAGGCAGAGGCTGGAACAGTTTGGAGGGCTCAGAAGAAGACAGGAAAATGTGGGAAAGTTTGGAACCTCCTAGAGACTTGTTGAATGGCTTTGACAAAAATGCTGATAGTGATATGAACAATAAGGTCCAGGCTGAGGTGGTCTCAGATGGAGATGAGGAACTTGTTGGGAACTGGAGCAAAGGTGACTCTTGTTATGTTTTAGCAAAGGGACTGGAAGCATTTTGCTCCAGCCCTAGAGATTTGTGGAACTTTGAACTTGAGAGAGATGATTTAGTGTCTCTGGCAGAAGAAATTTCTAAGCAGCAAAGCATTCAAAAGGTGACTTGGGTGCTGTTAAAAGCATTTCATTTTAAAAGAGAAACAGAATATAAAAGTTCAGAAAATTTGCAGCCTGATGATGCAGTAGAAAAGAAAAACCCTGGAGTGGCTGGCAAGATGGCTGAATAGGAACAGCTCCAGTCTGCAGCTCCCAGCAAGATTAACGCAGAAGGCAGGTGATTTCTGCATTTCTAACTGAGGTACCCAGCTCATCTCATTGGGGCTGGTTAGACAGTGGGTGCAGCCGATGGAGGGCGAGCCAAAACAAGGTGGGTGTCGCCTCACCCACGAAGCACAAGGGGTCAGGGAACTCCCTCCCCTAGCCAAGGGAAGACACGAGGGACTGTGACTTGGGGGACAGTGCATTCCGGCCCAGATACTACGCTTTTCCCACAATCTTTGCAACCCGCAGACCAGGAGATTCCCTCGGGTGCCTACACCACCAGGGCCCTGGGTTTCAAGCACAAAACTGGGCAGTCATTTGGGCAGACACTGAGCTAGCTGCAGGAGTTTTTTTCATACCCCAGTGGCACCTGGAGCACCAGTGACACAGAACCATTCACTCCTCTGGAAACGGGGCTGAAGCCAGGGAGCTAAGTGGTCTAGTTCCAGATCCCACCCCAACAGAGCCCAGCAAGCTAAGATCCACTGGCTTGAAATTCATGCTGCTAGCACAGCAGTCTGAAGTAGACCTGGGATGCCCGAGCTTGGTGGGGGCGGGGCATCTGCCATTACTAAGGCTTGCCATTACTGAGGTTTTCCCCTCACAGTGTAAACAAAGTCACCAGGAAGTTCAAACTGGACGGAGCCCACCACAGCTCCACAAAGCCACTGTAGCCAGACTGCCTCTCTAGATTCCTCCTCAGTGGTCAGGCCATCTCTGAAAGAAAGGCAGCAGCCCCAGTCAGGGGTTTATAGATAAAACTCACATCTCCCTGGGACAGAGCACCTGGGGGAAGGGGCAGCTGTGGGCGCACCTTCAGCAGATTTAAATATTCCTGCCTGCTGGCTCTGAAGAGAGCAGCAGATCTCCCAGCACAGCACTTGGGCTCTGCTAAGAGACAGACTGCCTCCTCAAGTGGGTCCTTGACCCCCATGCCTCCTGACTGGGAGACACCGCCTAGCAGGGGTCGACAGACACCTCATACAGGAGAGCTCCAGCTGGCATCTGGTGGGTGCCCCTCTGGGACAAAGCTTCCAGAGGAAGGAAAAGGCAGCAATCTTTGCTGTTCTGCAGCCTCCGCTGGTGATATCCAAGCAAATAGGGTCTAGAGTGGACCTCCAGCAAACTCCAGCAGACCTGCAGCAAAGTGGCCTGTTAGAAGGAAAACTAACAAACAGAAAGGAATAGCATCAACGTCAACAAAAAGAACATCCACACAAAAACCCCATCTGAAGGTCACCAACATCAAAGACCAAAGGTAGATAAATCCATGAAGATGAGGAAAAACCAGCACAAAAATGCTGAAAATTCCAAAAACAAGAATGTCTGTTCTCCTCCAAAGGATCACAACTCCTCGCCAGCAAGGGAACAAAACTGGATGGAGAATGAGTTTGACGAACTGACAGAAATAGGCTTCAGAGGGTGGGTAATAACAAACTCCTCTGAACTAAAGGTGCATGTTCTAACCCAATGCAAGGAAGCTAAGAATCTTGTAAAAAGGTTAGAGGAATTGCTAACTAGAATAACCAGTTTAGAGAAGAACATAAATGACCTGATGGAGCTGAAAAACAAGCACGAGAACTTTGTGAAGCATATACAAGTATAAATAGCTGCATCAATCAAGCAGAAGAAAGGATATCAGAGATTGAAGATTAACAATGAAATAAAGCGTGAAGACAAGATTAGAGAAAAAAGAATGAAAAGGAACAAGCAAAGCCTCCAAGAAATATGGGACTATGTGAAAAGACCAAATCTACGTTTGATTGGTGTACCTAAAAGTGATGGGGAGAATGGAATCAAGTTGGAAAACGCTCTTCAGGATATTATCTGGGAGAACTTCCCCAACCTAGCAGGACAGGCCAACATTCAAATTCAGGAAATACAGAGAACACCACAAAGATACTCCTCGAGAAGAGCAACCCCAAGACACATTATCATCAGATTCACCAAGGTAGAAATGAAGGAAAAAATGTTAAGGGCAGCCAGAGAGAAAGGTCGGGTTACCCACAAAGGGAAGCCCATCAGACTAACAGCAGATCTCTCTGCAGAAACCCTACAAGCTAGAAGAGAGTGGGGGCCAATATTCAACATTCTTAAAGAAAAGAATTTCATATCCAGCCAAACTAAGCTTCATAAGTGAAGCAGAAATAAAATCCATACAGACAAGCAAATGCTGAGAGATTTTGTCACCACCAGGCCTGCCTTACAAGAGCTCCTGAAGGAAGCACTAAATGTGGAAAGGAACAACCGCTACCAGCCACTGCAAAAACATGCCAAATTGTAAAGACCATCGATGCTATGAAGAAACTGCATCAACTAATGGGCAAAATAACCAGCTAGCATCATAATGACAGGATCAAATTCACACATAACAATATTAGCCTTGAATGTAAACAGGCTAAACGCCCCAATTAAAAGACACAGACTGGCAAACTGCATAAACAGTCAAGACCCACCAGTGTGCTGTATTCAGGAGACCCACCTCGTGTGCAAAGACACACATAGGCTCAAAATAAAGGGATGGAGGAATAGCTACCAAGTAAATGGAAAGCAAAAAGAGGCAGGGGTTGCAATCCTAGTCTCTGATAAAACAGACTTTAAACCAACAAAGATTAAAAAAGACAAAGAAGGGCATTACATAACGGTAAAGGGAGAAGAGCTAACTATCCAAAATATATATGCACCCAGGAGCACCCAGATGCATAAAGCAAGTTGTTAGAGACCTACAAAGAGACTTAGACTCCCACACCCCACTGCCAATATTAGACAGATCAACGAGACAGAAAATTGACAAGGATATTCAGGACTTGAACTCAGCTCTGGACCAAGTGGACCTAACAGATGTCCACAGAACTCTCCACTCCAAATCAATGGAATATACATTCTTCTTAGCACCACATAGTGCTTATTCTAAAACTGACCACATAATTGGAAGTAAAACACTCTTCAGTAAATGCAAAAGAACGGAAATCATAACAAACAGTCTCTCAGACCACAGTGCAATCAAATTGGAACTCAAGATTAAGAAACTCACTCAAGGCTGGGTGTGGTGGCTCAGGGCTGTAATCCCAACACTTTGGGAGGCCGAGCCAGGAGGATCATGAGGTCAGGAGCTCGAGACCAGCCTGAAAAACATGGTGAAACCCCGCCTCTACTAAAAATACAAAAATTAACCAGGCATGGTGGCACACACCTGTAATCCCAGCTACTCAGGAGGCTGAAGCAGGAGAATCGCTTGAATCTGGGAGGCAGAGTTTGCGTGAGCCAAGATCATGCCACTGCACTCCAGCCTGGGTGACAGAGCAAGACTCTGTCTCAAAAAAAAAAAAAAGACAAGAAAAGAAAAGAAACAAGTAAGTTCTTTGAAACCAATGAGAACAAAGACACAATGTACCAGAATCTCTGGGACACAGCTAAAGCAGGGTTTAGAGGGAAACTTACAGCACTAAATGCCCACAGGAGAAAGCAGGAAAGATCTAAAATCGACACCCTAACACCACAATTAAAAGAAGTAGAGAAGCAAGAAGAAACAAATTCAAAAGTTAGCAGAAGACAAGAAATAACTAAGATCAGAGCAGAATTAAAGGAGATAGAGACACAAAAAACCCTTTAAAAAAATCAATCAATCCAGGAGCTGGTTCTTTGAAAAGATTAGCAAAATAGATAGACTGCTATCCAGACTAATAAAGAAGAAAAAATAATCAAATAGACACAATAAAAAATAATAAATGGAATATTACCACTGATCCCACAGAAATACAAACTACCATCAGAGAATACTATACACACTTGTATGCAAATAAACTAGAAAATCTAGAAGAAATGGATAAATTCCTGGACACATATACCCTCCCAAGACTAAACCAGAAAGAAGTTGAATCCCTGAATTGACCAATAACAAGTTCTGAAATTGAGGCAGTAATTAAAAGCCTACAAATCAAAAAAAGCCCAGGACCAGACAGATTTAAAGCCGAATTCTACCAGAGGTACAAAGAGGAGTTGGTACCATTCCTTCTGAAACTACTCCAAACAATAGAAAAAGGACTCCTCCCTAACTCATTTTATGAAGCCAGCATCATCCTGATACCAAAACCTGGCAGAGACACAACAAAAAAAGAAAATTTCAGGCCAATATCCCTGATGAACATCAATGTGAAAATTCTCAATAAAATACTGAATCTAGCAGCACATCAAAAAGCTTATCCACCACAATCAAGTCGGCTTCATCCCTGGGATGCAAGGCTGGTTCAACATACGTAAATCAATAAACACAATCCATCACATAAACAGAACTAATGACAAAAATCACATGATTATCTCAACAGATGCAGAAAAGGCCTTCGATAAAATTTGACACCCCTTCATGCTAAAAACTTTGAATAAACTAGGTATTGAGGGAACGTATCTCAAAATAATAAGAGCTATTTATGACAAACCCACAGCCAATATCATACTGAATGGACAAAAACTGGAAGCATTCCCTTTGAAAACCGGCACAAGACAAGGATATCCTCTCTCACCACTCCTATTCAACACAGTATTGGAAGTTCTGGCCAGGGCAATCAGGCAAGAGAAAGAAACAAAGGGTATTCAAATAGGAAGAGAGGAAGTCAAATGGTTTCTGTTTGCAGATGACATGACTATATATTTAGAAAACCCCATCATCTCAACCCCAAATCTCCTTAAGCTGATCAGCAACTTCAGCAAAGTCTCAGGATACAAAATCAATGTGCAAAAATTATAAGCATTCCTATACACCAATAATAGGCAAACGGAGAGCCAAAGCATGAGTGAACTCCCATTCACAGTTGCTACAAAGAGAATAAAATACCTAGGAATCCAACTTACAAGGGATGTGAAGGACCTCTTCAAGGGGAACTACAAACCACTGCTCAAGGAAGTAAGAGAGGACAAAAACAAATGGAAAAACATTCCATGCTCATGGATACGAAGAATCAATATTGTGAAAATGACCATACTGCCCAAAGTAATTTACAGATTCAATGCTATCCCCATCAAGCTACCATTGACTTTCTTCACAGAATTAGAAAAAACTACTTCAACTTTCATATGGAACCAAAAAAGAGCCTGTATAGCCAAGACAATCCTAAGCAAAAAGAACAAAGCTGGAGGCATCATACTACCTGACTTCAAATGATACTACAAGGCTACAGTAACCAAAACAGCATGGTACTGGTACCAAAACAGATATATAAGCCAATAGAACAGAACAGAGGCCTCAGAAATAGCGCCACACATCTACAACCATTTGATCTTTGACAAACCTGACAAAAACAAGAAATGGGGAAAGGATTCCCTATTTAATAAATGATGTTGTGAAAACTGACTAGCCATATGCAGAAAACTGAAACTGGACCCCTTCCTTACACCTTATACAAAAATTAATTCGAGATGGATTAAAGACTTAAATGTAAGACCTAAAACCATAAAAACTCTAGAAGGAAACCTAGGCAATACCATTCAGGATATAGGCATGGACAAAGACTTCATGACTACACACCAAAAGCAATGGCAACAAAAGCCAAAATTGACAAATGAGATCTAATTAAACTAAAGAGCTTCTGCACAGCAAAAGAAACTACCATCAGAGTGAACAGGCAACCTACAGAATGGGAGAAAATTTTTGCAATCTACCCATCTGACAAAGGGCTAATATCCAGAATCTACAAAGAACTTAAACAAATTTACAAGAAAAAAACAAACAACCTCATCAAAAAGTGGGCAAAGGATATGAACAGACACTTCTCAAAAGAAGACATTTACGCAGCCAACAAACACATAAAAAAAAAGCTCATCATCACTGGTCATTAGAGAACTGCAAATCAAAACCACAATGAGATACCATCTCACATTGGTTAGAATGGCAATCATTAAATAGTCAGGAAACAACAGGTGCTGGGAGAGGATGTGGAGAAATAGGAATGCTTTTGCACTGTTGGTGTAAGCATAAATTAGTTCAACCACTGTGGAAGACAGTGTGGTGATGCCTCAAGGATCTAGAACCAGAAATACCATTTGACCCAGCAATTCCATTACTGGGTATATACCCAAAGGATTATAAACCATTCTATTATAAAGACACATGCACACATATGTTTATTGCAGCACTGTTCACAATAGCAAAGACTTGGAACCAACCCAAATGCCCATCAATGATAGACTGGATAAAGAAAATGTGGCACATATACACCATGGAATACTATGCAGCCATAAAAAAGGATGAGTTCATGTCCTTTGTAGGGACATGGATGAAGCTGGAAACTATCATTCTCAGCAAACTAACACAGGAACAGAAAATCAAACACTGCATGTTCTCACTCATAAGTGGGAGTTGAACAATGAGAACACATGGAAACAGGGAAGGAAACATCACACACCGGGGCCTGTCAGGGTTGGGGGCTAGGGGAGGGATAGCATTAGGAGAAATACCTAATGCAGATGACCGGTTGTTGGGTGCAGCAAACCACCATGACACGTATATACCTATGTAACAAACCTGCATGGTCTGCACATGTATCCCAGAACTTAAAGTATAATTAAAAAATAAAAAGAAAGAAAAGAAAAACCCATTTTTTGAGGAGAAATTCAAGCTAGCTGCAAAAATTTTCATATGTAACAAGGAGCAGAATCTCCAAGACAATGGGGAAAATATCTCCAGGACATGTCATAGGTCTTCATGGGCAGCCCCTCCCATCACAGACCCAGAGGCCTAGGAGGAAAAAATGGTTTCGTGGGCCAGGCCCAGGGTCCCCATGCTGTGTGCAGCCTAGGGACTTGGTGCCCTGCATCCCAGCCACTCCAGCCATTGCTAAAAGGGGGCAAGGTACAGCTTGGCCCATGGTTTCAGAGGATGCAAGCCCCATACCTTGGCAACTTCCATGTGGTGTTGAGCCTGCGGCTGCACAGAAGTCAAGAACTAAGGTCTGGGAACCTCCGCCTAGATTTCAGAAGATGTATGGAAACACCTAGATGCCCAGAAAAAAGTCTGCTACAGGGGTGGGGCCCTCATGGAGAACTTCTGCTAGGGCAGTTCAGAAGGGACATGTGGGGTCAGAGCCCCCACACAAAGTCCCTACTGGGGCACTGCCTAATAGAGCTGTGAGAAGAGGGCCACCGTCCTCCAGACCCCCAGAATGGTAGATCCGTCAATAGCTTGCACTATGCACCTCAAAAAGCCGCAGATACTCAATGCCAGCCTCGGAAGGCAGCTGGGAAGGGTTTGCCTTCTGGCTGCATTGCTGTACCCTGCAAAGCCACAGGGGCGGAGCTGCCCAAGACAATGAGAACCTACCTCTTGCATCAGCGTAACCTGGATGTGAGACATGGAGTCAAAGGAGATCATTTTGGAGCTTTAAAATTTGACTGCCCCACTGGATTTCAGACTTGCATGGGCCCTGTAACCCCTTTGTTTTGGCCAATTTCTCCCATTTGGAATGGCTGTATTTACCCAATGCCTGTATCCCCACTGTATCTAGAAAGTCAGTAGCTTGTTTTTTATTTTACAGGCTCATAGGCAGAAGGGACTTGCCTTGTCTCAGATGAGACTCTGGACTGTGGACTTTTGGGTTAATGCTGAAATGAGTTAAGACTTTGAGGACTGTTGGGAAGGCATGATTGGTTTTGAAATGTGAGGACATGAGATATGGAGGGGCAAGGGGTGGAATGATATGGTTTGGCTCTGTGTCCCCACCAAAATCTCATCTTGAATTGTACTCCCATAATTTCCACGTGTTGTGGGAGGGACCTGGTGGGAGATAATTTGAATCACAGGGGCCATTTCCCCCATACTGTTCTCGTGATAGTGAATAAGTCTCCCGAGATCCTGATGGGTTTATGATGGGTTTCTGCTTTTGCTTGTTCCTCATTTTCTCTTGCTGCCACCATGTAAGAAGTGCCTTTCGCCTCCTGCCATGATTCTGAGGCCTCCCCAGCCATGTGGAACTGTAAGTTCAATTTTCTTTTTCTTCCCAGTTTCAGGTATGTCTTTATCAGCAGCATGAAAATGGACTAATAGTGTTATCATGAGGTTTAAATTATTTACTACTAGAAAAGGTGTTTGCATACTATGCATTGCCAAGTAAATATAAGTGACCCAGGGCCAAGGTGGCCACTCTCATGGAGTCCCGAGAATGACCAACTGAGGGGGAGCCCAAAGGACTGTTTTGCTGACTCCCCCCGCCTCCCCCACACAGGGCTGGCAGGCCCTTCCCAAAGCTCCTGACCTTCTCCAGGTTCTTGCGCATATCTTCCAGGGCCTTGATGCCTGGTGGGTCTTTGGCCACCTCCTGCGCACTGGCCAGCTCATGGCGCCAATGCTGCTGGGCAGCTTTCAGAGCTGTCTGCCGCCTCCGCATGGAGCGTGTCTGCTGCACAAGGAACTCCTTGGCACTACGGAGGGCTACCCCCTCAGCAGAGAGGAGGTGCCAGACATTGTGGGAGGACAGGCTGGAGCAGGAGAGTTGAAGAAGGAAAACAGAAGCCTCTAAGAACTCTGCTCTGGGTCACACAGCCCCTTCCCCAGCAGATGCCAACCCTGAGCACAGACCAGAGCTGCTGGGCTAGGGCTGGGCACTGTGAGTGCAGGGATGCCACTGTTCAATACCCACAGTGCGCAGTGCCTGGGACTGACAGTGCCCCCACCCTGACTCTGAGAGGGATCAGGCCTGGGGCCTCCAGATAGATGACCAAACACTTCCAGCAATCTGCTTCTCCACTAGAGGAGAATGCCATGTCAAAGGTCACAGTGGGCAGTTTCTTGGCTTGCCAGAGAAGATTCCTTAATCCTCCGGAGCCTTCCCCATGAACTAAGCCCCACTGGTGATCACCGTCTCCTCACTTCAGCTCACCCCAGCTCTATGATGCAGGTACTCACTTACCCCTTCATGGTACCCTAACCTCAAATAAGACAGGCTATGGGAACTCACCTGTCCAAGTATAAGTCCTCCTTGCTCTGGGAGAGAGAAGAAGACACCTCTTTGGTCTGGTTCTAGGGACACATGGTAGAAAAGTCCACTGAGTGTAGCAAAAGCAGACACCCTGCAGGTTCAAGACCCCAAAGCCCCTCCCAGTGGTCTAGACAAGGAAATGGCTCTCTAGCTGCCAGGCACTGTTTACTTATAGATATCATCTGACTGGTGGAGACGACTGGTAGCTGGGAATAAGAACAGACCAGGTCCCATAGAGAACAGAGCCAGCCCTTCCTGATGCCTTGGCCCACCTTATACTCCTCCCCTCCTGAGGCTCCACCCCTCCTGATGAGCTGTCCCCTCTGGAAGTACTCCCCTGATGCCCAGCCCCTCCCAATGCCCCACACCATCCTGGTGCCCCAGCCCCCAGGCCCCAGCCCCCAGCTCACTGTTCCAAGGGATTTCCTCAGGTCCTCAATATGGAGATCTGGCTCAAAATGTGGGGAAGCATTATTTTCCTCAACTGTCACTTCTCTCAACAGGTGCTGCTTCTTTTGAGCTTCAGCCTCCAGGCTGCTGTGGAAGGAAAGATGAGTGAGAGGCAGGGCAGCGGCTGGCGATGGGGGGGAGGGGTGAAGTGGGTCAGAACCATCTCCACCCCCTCACTCCCATCCGTCAAAGTCCCTGAGGAAGGGCTCAGGCACGAACAATAGCACCAGAGATCCCCTGCTTTTCACAGAATCTTAACAACCCCAACTCCCTACAAAATGTAGCCACAGGCTCTTCTGCCTAGCTCCCAAGCTGGGACTCCACCTCTCCCTATTAACTGGGCCATGACACAAGCAGCAGAGGTCAGAGGGCAGGCAGGAGGCAGCCAGCAGGGCTAAGTGCAGGGTGCCCACGCCACCTGAAGTGTTTCTGCAGTTGCTGGCTCTGAGCCTGCAGCAGATCCACTTGGGACTCCAGCTTCAGCTTGCGGGCCTGCAGCTCATCAAGAATTTCTCGGAGCTGCTGGTTTGACTGCAACAGGTGGGTGTGCTCCTTCTGTGCCTCCTCCAGCTGCTGATGGGTGGCTGTGGCTTCCTAGGGGCAAAAGGAAAGATAGAAGCACCCAGAGACAGCACAGAGAGAAGCCAGGGAGCAGACAGCACGAGAGGGTAGGGAAGCCAAAGGAGGACAGGCTGGGAATGAATTCAGAGCCACTGAAGTCACCACCTCTGAGGTCAAGAGGTCTGCAGGCTCCTGTCCTACCACAGTCCCACTCCCTTGAGGTTCCCAAGTGGGGTCCACAGAGTGGCACTATTTGTGGAATACTGGCCAACAGAGTTTGGAACCCCAGTGCCCTGGACAGATCAGATGAACAAAATGTGGGGAACAGGGAGAAGAAAGACAGGAAATGGAGGAAGAACAGGAGGGAGGACAAAACAGGGAGACAAACCTCACTCTTCAGAGCAACCTGCCTCTGCACATCAAGCAGCTGCTGCTTCTCCCTCCGGGCGGTCTCCTCCTTGCAGGGAAGAGACAGGATTTTCTGGCTGACTGCAGACCCCAGGTCTGAGGGGCAGAGCCTGCCCTCTGCTAGAGAAGCTATGACTCTGAGGTCAAGGACTCCTGCAGATCCCTCACCTGGACCTCCAGCAGAGCCAATCTGGCCTTGACATCTTTAGCTCTGGTTTCAAGGTCCAACTCTAAATCCTGGAGCTTCCTTTCCTGCCCAGAAAGGGAAACACATAAGCATAGAAAGAGTGTAAGGCATTAGCTGAGGGGCAGGAGGGGGTTCCAGAACCCACCATGCCACACCACAACCTCCACTCTGGGCTCAGGCTTCCTCGCTGTGTGCCCCTGCAGCCTCCCAGGAAGGCTCCACACCTTGTTTACTTCCTGCTGGGGCAAGGAGACGCAAAGGTGCCAACCCCAATGCCTTACAGGGGCTGACCTCTAGTTCTAATCCTGAGTGTGTTCCCTGGCCCAGAAAACAAAGTAACAAGGATGCCCCAGCTTGGAGATGGCCAGTGAGAGACTCTCACTCCAGAAGCTGTCAGGCTGCATCCTGCTGGGGCCATGCGTCTGCTCCCAGCACCTTCCTACTGTGCATGGAGGGGTCACAGTGGGCTCACCCTGCCCCAGGCCCCTCACCTGCTCCCTGTGCCGGCGCCGCAAGTCCTCAAGACGCTTGTGTTGCTCCTGCCTCACAGTCTCCAGTTCTCGTTCATGGGCCCTCTGCAGGCGCTCCAGCTCTCCGGTCAGGTGCCCCAGAAGCTCAGCCCGCTGCTTCCTCTCCTGCAAGGAGGGTGGGCCCACCGGTGGGAAGCTGCGGCAGCCCCTTCTACCACAAAAATCACAGCTCCCCTAGCCCTGCAGCCTTGCATCAGTAAGATCAGGGACACCATCGGCTCCCTAAAGCCAGCTCTTGGAGAAGAGGAGGGTTACAAGCACAGCACCGGCCCTGGCCCCAGCAAGCCTGCAGCCCTCTAGAGCTGAAGCAGAGGCTGGTCAGACACCACGACAGATTCCCTTTCTGGCTCTCCCTATGGCTCCACCATATACAACTTTTCCTCTGTAAGGAATGAGAGGTCACTGATAAATTATCACTATTCTTCAGCAAGGTCATAATTGGTTGGGGGAAGGGATATGGCAAATTTCATCATGGGACTGCTATTTCTGCCCTGGGAAAGATCCTAGAAAGAGTCTGGGATACTGGTTCCAGTTACTGGAGCAGTAGTCTTAACACCCTGCAGGGTCCCAGCTGTGGGCTATAGTCAGCCACCCTCTACCCACCCATTGTTCACCCTCAATGTGAGCAAGGCAGGCCAGCTTGGGTAAACTCAAGTCGCTGAACTTTCCTACCTTAAGACCAAAGGCTTAAAATGGGGAGAATATCAGTATTACTTGGCTCTTGCCAGTCTATTTCTTGGTGTCCCAAGATGTTGAGGAACCCTGGTGACACAGCATTGCAGTGAGGAAACTGAAGGCTTTGGAGTCAGATGGCCTGGGCTTGAATCCTAGCTCTTCTACTTATTGGCTGGGTGTGATCTTGGGAAGCTACTTAAACTCTCCAAGTCTCAGTGCCCTCATCTTTAAAATGGAGACAATGATAGTAGATCCTTCCTAAGGCTGGTGTGAGGACTAAATGAGTTAAAATAGATAAAGAGCTCAGAACAGTTCTTGGCACACAGTACAAGCTCAATGTATGGGGGTTCTTTTTACTATCAGAAGAAAGTACAGCCTGCCTGATAAAAGAGGAATTGCCCCCCATTAGGTGGAGGTTTTTCTCATGTTTTAATAAAAAAGGCAAAAAACATCATCGTGGCAGGGTACCAGGAAGGAAAACCTCCCACAATCCCTGACCACAGTTTATCCCCTTCCTCTGCCCCACAGCCAGGTGGGAAGGACCCCGGGGTGTGTGTGCATGTGCGTGCATGTGTGTGTGCATGTGTGTGTGCATGTGCGTGCATGTGTGTGTGCATGTGTGTGCATGCGCGCAGGGGATGTGGCTGAGCTACCTCAGCTTCATACTGCTCTCTGGCCTTAGCCATCACTTGCTGGTGCTCCTCCTTCATCTTGTCCAACCTCCTCTCATGCTCCCCTTCCACTTCCTGGCGCTTCTCTCGCAGGAGACTGCTGAGCTGCAGGGGAGATGGCAGGGATGTGGCATGAAGAACCGAGGCGGACCAGCACTCAGGGCCTGCTGCACCTGAAGGTCTTACACACATTTCCCCAATCTCCCCCAACACACACAACACATGCACATCACACAGCCATGACACCATGGTCAGCACACAGCCATACCCCAACACCCCCTCCCCACATGCATACAGGGGCATCAGATTGGAGGAGTACCTGGCTTCAAGGGAACTAAGGCATAAAAAGGGAACTAGAAATGCTAACCCCAGCTGAGCCATCCAAAGCAAACTGGAGGCCGCTGAGGCTAGGCCGGCTCAGCTGACTGTAAGAGAGTCCACAACAGGCGCACACGACTGTGGAAGACAGAGCAGCACTCACCTCGTGCTCATACCCAGCCACGTGATAAGACTTCTGGTGAACTCTGTGCTCCACTTGCCCAAGGCACTTCTGCAGCTGGGCCTCCTCTTTCTGTTGAGCTTCCTGTATCTTCTTCTGGAGGCTGGAGACCACCTGAGGAGGCCCCCGCACACACAGGGGAGTGTGACCCTCAGACAGACTGTACAGCTGCTGTGTGGGGATGTGTTCTGAGGACCTGGCATCCATCCCCCAGGGCTGGAGAGAGAGGCTCGCTGCCTAGTAGCCAGGGATGGGGCTGAATTCTGCTAATCAGCCATGAAGGGGGCCCAGGATGCTGCATCTTACCTCCCGGTGCTTGGCCTCCAATGAGGAGCAGAGCCGCTCCAGCTCAGCACTGTGCTCCTTCTCCAGCGTTGCCACAGCCTGGGGAGGAGCAAAGGGACTGTGAGTGAAGCTGGCCAGGTACTGATCATGGTGGGAGGCGGAGCCAGGAAGACTACCGACCCCCAAGCCCTCGAGATCAGGGTCAAGGGAAGCATGGGGAAGCACAGCACATCTTTGTTCCTCTGAAATAACTCAGCCCCTGAAGTCTACAACTGGCAAATGAACAGGAACATGAAGGTCAGAGGAGAGGGGCATTTCAGTAAGTTTCGGCTCTCTGCTCCCACCCCCTGCCTTTAGACTAGGCCACAGATCCACAGATGGTGCTCATGCTGGTAAATAAGATCCAAGCCAGGGGGGCCAGGTTGGATGCTGTCATTAAGTCGGGCCATGTAGAATTTTCTTTTTATTTTGGTGAGGTGCAAAGCTGCAGCTATTAGACAAGGAAAACACTACAGCAGGAGTAGGGAAGTGCACTGTACTACAAGTGCTCAGAGAGACTGTGCTAAAACCTTCAGAAGCCCACCATCTGACTGGAGTAGAAGAGGGAGTATGGACAAAGAGAAAATCCTTGCTATATTGCTAGCCTCTCATCCTAAGAAAGGAGAGAAAAGTGGGGAGTGAGGCCCTTGCAGCTGTCCCTCAGAGACAGTGAGGGACAGAGCGCCTTTGTCTCAAAACCTCTGGTCTGGCTAAATCTCTTTCAGTCACGAACTTTCTCAAATCCACAGGACGCTCTCCCTCAAGCCTCTGAGGGTTCTCTGCTTGACAACCTCCAGCCGCCACTGCCATCCAGCCTGACCCTGGAGGAGCCTTGTGATGCCTGCTGCATCCTCTGCCCTGTCATGAGCCGATTCGGTCCATATGGAGTAATGGGCCCAGGTGGTCATCTCGCTGTCTCCCATGCCTGTGTGTGTGAGACCTACTCTCCACCTGGCTCCCCAGCCTGCACGCCCACCCGAGACTTGCCCTTCTTCTCCTTGTGCACTCAGTCCCTCCCCAGGCAGCCCAGACACAGGTCAGAGGGTGAGGTCCCCACTTGACTAGCTCACTTCTTTCCTCTCCCCTTCCAGCTGCTCCCTCAGCTGCTGCAGAGCCTTCTCCTTTGCAGCATTCAGGGCAGCCTGCTCGCTCTTCTCCGAAGCCTCTATCTCTTCCTTGAGCTGCTCCAGCATTTGCCTATTTTTCTGTTCCAAGCTGGCCCTCTCAGCCTTCTGTTGAGACTCCAACTCTTCTCTCAGTTTCTGCAGGGAAGCCTCTTGCTCAGCCCTGGGTGGACACAGTGGAATGGTAACGGGCCTGTGCACCCTGGGGTCGCCTCCGCAGGGCTGGGCAGCTCACAGGTAAGCACACACTTACCTGATTTGGTCCTCATCTGCTTGTGTGCTGGACTGGACCTGAGCTCGGAGCCAGGATAGCCTCTGGCTTTCCTCCTCTCTCATCCGGGCCTCCTCCTCCTCAATGGCTTTCTGCAGCCGCTCCCTCAAGGAACTGAGATGGAAAGGAAAGGCTAGGTTGTCAGAGAAACCACAAAGGTCTTTCTTCTATTCATAAGCTATGGCTCTCAGCCTCCAATAGCCCTGTTGCCTGCCTAAGAAACTTCCTAAATCTTTTTTTTTTTTTTTCTTTTTGGAGACAGGTTCTTGCTCTGTTGTCCAGGCTGGAATGCAGTGGTGTGATCATGGCTTACTGCAGCCTTAAACTCCTGGGCTTAAGCAATCCTCTCGCCTCAGCATCCCATGTAGTTGGGACCACAGGCATGCACCATCAAACCCAGCTAATTGTTGAGATGGAGTCTCGCTATGTTGCCCAGGCTGGTCTTGAACTCCTAGGCTCAAGTGATCCTTCAGCCTCAGCCTCCCAAAGCACTGAGATTACAGGTGTGAGCCACTGCGCCCAGTCAAAGCTTCCTAAATCTTAAAGATGAGTCTAACCTTAGCCTCTAGGTCCACTGCTGCCTCCCTAATACCTCCCAGGATTACGAAGGGACCATGAACTCCCCTTTGCTTCAAGAAGCAAACTAATGGCCGGGCGTGGTGGCTCACACCCGTAATCCCAGCACTTTGGGAGGCCGAGGTAGGTGGATCACTTGAGGTCAGGAGTTCGAGACCAGCCTGGCCATAATGGCGAAACCCCGTCTCTACTAAAAATACAAAAATTAGCCGGGCATGGTGGCGCACACCTGTAATCCCAGCTACTTGGGAGGCTGAGACAGGAGAATTGCTGGAACCTGGGAGGCAGAGGTTGCAGTGAGCTGAGATCACACCACAGCACTCCAACCTGGGCAACAGAGCAAGACTCTATCTCCAAAAAAAAAAAAAAAAAAAAAGCAAACTACTGGCTTCTGGGTTTTGGTAGTACAGCACTTCTTCCAAAGGCTCCCCTCTGTCAACAGCTTCACCTCAGCATGGCACTCACTCAAGGATAGCTATAGCCACCCAACCAGATTCCACATTCTTTCACTCCGACAGACTCTGTTCTAGCCACATCAGCTGAGTCACCATCCCTCCATTCTACCACACTCTTCCTTCCTAGGTTCTCTGCCAAGAATTCCCTTTTCTATCTGGCAAACCCATATTCATTCCTCAACACTCAGCTCCCTCTCTGGGAAGTCTTTCCAACTCCCTACAAGCTCATCAATTCATCTTTCTGTTCCCATCACTTTACATGTGGACCTTTCTTATCCCATGCTACTCTGCACCATGCGTCACATGGCATCATAATTCATCTTCTGTATCTCTGTTTTCCTTGCAAGTCTGGGAGCTTCTCAAGAGAAAGAATCTTGTCTTAAAATCTGTTATATCCCAGGTACCACACATAGTAGCTGACATAAAGTAGGTGCTTAATAAATTAATTGAATTTGAACAGCATCATCCAGCCCCAAACTATAAGCAAGCCGTGATATCTATGAAAGGTTATCTTATTTACACACCAACAACAGTGGCCATTTCATCCTAAGCAGACATCCCCCTGCTTACACAAACCACATCCTTTTTGGGTAACTCCTCACACAGCCCCACACGACCAGGGGATGTGTGCTGTGCGCTCAGGGAATTCAAACCTAGGAAAAACGTGATTCGGAAGACAATTCCTTTGAAAAGCTTCTGTAGCAAATCCTAAAGCCAAAAAAAGACTTAGGATTCTTTCCTATTTCAAGATACTAACATCATTACTTTTTTCCATTAAGAGAGAAAATTTGGCCGGGCACAGTGGCTCACGCCTGTAATCCCAGCACTTTGGGAGGCCGAGGCAGGCGGATCATCAGGTCAGGAGATCGAGACCATCCTGGCTAACCCAGTGAAACCCCGTCTCTACTAAAAATAAAAAAAAAAAAATTAGCCAGGCATGGTGGCAGGCGCCTGTAGTCCCAGCTACTTGGGAGGCTGAGGCAGGAGAATGGCGTGAACCTGGGAGGCGGAGCTTGCAGTGAGCCGAGTAAGCCACTGTACTCCAGCCTGGGCGACAGAGCAAGACTCTGTCTCAAAAAAAAAAAAAAGAGAGAAAATTTGAATTAAGTAAAAATCCTTCCTTCTAGATTCCCCAGAAACCTTTTCTCTTTGTCCTATGGCTAAATTTTACACACAGCAACACAGTGTTAGAGCTGGCAGGGACTTTAGAAGTTTTAAGTCCAATCCCTTCATTTTACAGTGAAAGAAGCTAAGGGCCAGCCTGCCTGCCTTCTCATTCCAGAAATATTTGTTACAAGATCAGCTGTGGCTTCCAGAAATTTCTACCACATGGAAGTTCCCAGCAGACGGAAGGAGAGCCCATTCCTCAGAAAGGCTTGGGCATAAACAGAAACAGGTTCTGGTGATGAACTAGTTTGAAGAAAGCCAGGCCTTGAAGGCAGTGTCCACAGAGAAATCACTTAGTCAAGAATGCCTGAATATGCATTGATTTCCATTGAAAAGTAATTGCTACCATTTGTTCAGCAACTGCTATGTTCCAGGCCATGAATCAAGACACTTCTAGCATGCCAGTCTTCCCCACAACCTAAGAGGGCCTCTGGAGTCAGGGGCCTCGGGAGAGAGATGGAAAGCACAGTCAGCCAAGCTCAGGGTGGCCAGCAAGAGGGGAGGAGACTGGTGGGCTGGCAGGGACACAGCGCCAGGATTTCCTCCAAGGTGCTGCACCTTAAGGTGAGTCACATCCTGCTTGGGTGGGCCCCTGCCCCAATTCTCAGTTGGCTGGAAGAGGAGGATGCTAGGGGGTTGGAGGATGCTAGGGGGTTGGAGGTGTCTGTTCTTTGGGATGCTCCCTGGTGGAGGACCCACAAGGATGTGATATAAGGACAGACCCTATGTCAGTGCTTCCTGCGCTGGACTCATGAGAGATTGCTCCAACCTTCCCAGTACTTGTATGTTGGTTTTCTGTTTTATATTCTCTAAATTAAGCATAAATGTTTTATATATACTTTGCTAGGTATCATCTAAAAATAATAATTTTCTACCACTCTTGGATGTTCTGTACAAGAGGACAAGACTTAGCCTTTAGTTAAATTGCCAAGTAAATGAAATATGTTAACACCTTTTTGTAGTACCTTTCCCAACCTGGGACTGTGACAGATGGCTCATTAACAGCTCAATATCCATTCTCCCTTTCTTCCTTACCAACAGAACCCTGCTTTTATTCTACGGGGTAAAGAGGTCAGCTAAAGGACTACATTTCCGAGTGTTCTCTGCAACTAGGTGTAACCAATGAGATATAAGCAGAAATTGTTGGGTCAAGTTTCCCAACTTTAGTTGGTCTTAGTAGAACCATGGGCATCCCAGTGGTCCCCAGGCTAAGAGGGTGTCCCTGGCTCCTCACATCCCTGAAAGGCCCCAGGAAGCATGCCTAAGGGGAAGGGCAGGACCTGAGAGATTGCTCTTTCTGCTGGTGAAGCCGGAGGATCTCCTCTTCCTCCTCTTGGCACAGCTTCTCCCGCAGTTGCTGCATCTTCTCTTGCTTGGATTCCAGCAGGTGCCTCTGGTCTTGCTCGAGTACTTGGGCCACTGCCTCTTCCATGGCCTTTAGTGCAGCCTCTGAGAGCTGCTCTGGGGGAGCCACAGGCTCTGTGGATCGCCTACCATGGGTGGGGAATGGCATATCATCACAGGGTTAATGTCCACCCACCTCTGCATCCAGGTTAGAATGGATACGGAACATCACAGATGGAATCCTAATGGAGGGCCCACAATCAGGAGTCAAAGAGGTCACCCAAGGGCAGGCCAAGAGATACAGTCAATGCTTGTTCCATAGGACAAGCCCCATTGTGGCTGTTTAAGGCCCCAAGAGCCTAGGGAGAAGGGTAGCCCATAGCAGGCTCTCAGCAGACTTACGAGGTTATGGCCCAAGATCAAAATCTGAAGCTGCGGCTCAAGAGCTGGCAGCAGCAGGGAGAGAGTGAAGCTCTGTCCCTAATGGATTCCTTCCTAGAATGGCTCACAGCCCCGTTACCACCTCCCCGCTAGAGCTCTGCCTGCTACTTAAGGCTCATGCCAGCAATTTGTGAACAGTCCCCAGAGATTGCTTTCTGCCTCCCAAACTGAGTAGTGGCCAATGTATATGGGCCCATGAAAGAAGCAGCAGCAGGTATCCCAGCTCTGAGAACTACAACAGTCCAGGAAGGCCCAGGAATAGGAAGCTCCCCTATCACACCACCAAGGGGGCCAGGAGGAGATGCTCCCCTAAGCCAAAAAATGTAGCAAGCATGCACATGAGTGCCATGTTCCCCGTCTACCCATGGGGGCACGTTTTCGTCTGCTTAGAGTTAATTAAATGTTTAGAAATGAATAAAAGGAATTCAGAGCTGACCTGGATACATAGGAGGGTGGTGAGATCAGGAATAATGGTATCCATTAAAAAGATGTGTATAAAGTAATAAGGACTGTTATTTTGCTTGTTTTCTGGTTCTTCAACGAAATGCCCAAAGAGGAATCCTGAGAACATTCTGAGCAGGATAAAGCATGAGCAGGATAAAGCATGAGGAAACCATGAGCAGGATAAAGCATTTTGTCTCCCAGAGTGACTTTCCTAAAGGCCAGAATGTGTCTCCACGTCCAGGTCCCTCAATCTTACGGTGGAAAGTGGCCTCACCACACACCCTCCTCGCACAGCACTCAGGCTGTTGCAGGCCTGGCATGGTGGCTCAGTCAACCTAAGCGGAAAGTGTGGGCATGATCCAAAACAAAGAGGGCTGGGCAAGAGTCAAACAGGGGAGCTGGTCCTCCCTGCTGTGGACTCAGAATCCCTTCTCCCTCCAGCTCGAGCCCCGCTGCAGATGGAAAGCAGCGGGCAGGACCGGATTAGAACAGTAGAGGAAAACAAGGGCTTACGAATCCCATTGCAGCACCTTGAGACTATAGAGAGAGGAAGACAGGACAGGCTACTGTCATCTCTGAATTACCATAAAGACCTTTCGTTTCCCCTTTCCTAAAATCATAACTCGGACCAGAAATGATCTTCAGCCTATGCCTTCAATTCTCTTCTGCTCCCAACTCCATCTTCTCCTTCCTTCCAAAGCCTGGCTTCCTCTCAGTCCCCTGACACAGCCCAATTAATGCATATATAAGACATGTGGCTGCCACCTCCTCTGAGAATCCTGCCCTCAGAAAGAGGCTTCCCCCACAGCTCTCCGCCTCATCAACCCTCCAACTCATTTCCAACCTTGGCTGAAAACATCTTTTTTCCCTGAGATGGTACCTTTTAATGTCTCTCTCTCCTGCAGGCTGCAAGCTATGTGGAGCCCTAGGGATAATGCTGTGGAAAGATGGGGCATCAGACCATGTGGGGCATGTGCCCAGGCTATGAGCACCAGTGAACTTGCACAGAGGCAACCTGGGCTGTCTGTCAGTGGACCTCTTCTCCCTCGCACTGTTTTAAAGGTCTAGTAGCCCAAACTGCTAGCTCAGTTCCAAGGCAGTAAACAATGCCTGAAAGGTCCATGACATGATTGGGAAGTTGAGGACTCCAGGGGAAGAAACAGCTCTGATTTCTAGGCCAACTCCTCAGGTATCAGAATCAGTGGGACCCAGTTTCCTACAGTGAGTGACAAAGGGGAGGCTCTGCAGGAGCATAATCATTTCAGGCTGGCCACCAAGTAGCTCAAAGATACGGGAGAGAAAGCAAGAAGGGAAAGCAGGGAGAGACAGGGAAGAAAGAGAGCGGAGGGCGGGGAAATGGCACCTAGAAACACTGTGAAATGGTTTTCATGGTACTACCACAAAAGTTATGTCTCCTCTCATACTCAACTTGGTGGTTTGGATTCTTTTACCCTCTTCTCTGGAAATCCTCACGAAAGATGCTGGCATGACACGGGGAGGACCTTCCTGTTTCCTAGCCCTGGCCTTGGCCAGAAAGCATTCGGTGAGTGGCACATGTTGCCTCCTGGACCTACCTGCTCCCTCTAGCTTGCCCTCTGCTCCTAACCCTTCAGATCCAGCTTGACTACACCTTTGGAAGCTGACAGACACAGAGCTACTCCCACAAAACCTAGACAACCCATCCATTCCTGATGCCGCTGTAAAGATTAATAACACGGAAGCGATGGGGCCTGAAGAGACTCAGGAAAGGAAGAGAAGGCATTTCCTAAGGGGATGGTATAAACTGAAACTGCGTGGTCAGGTATTTCTCAGACCCTAGCAGGGGCAGCCTCGCTGGGATGGCGGGAGAAACACAAGACAAAGGAATGAATCGGCCAAGGCAACTGGGGAGGAGCTGGGGAAGCCAAGGCCCCAACTGAGCCCGGCTGCCCAGGCTTCCCTCTAGAGGTCCTGGGAAGACATCCCTCTGACCTCTGCCCAATCTTCCTCTCTCTGAACTACATCCACCTCCTGTCCTCACAGAAAGCATCCTGAACTGGCTAACCACAGCCACCAAGGTGACAGGAAAGCCATATAATTCCTCCAGGTCACAGTTTTCACTGTAGGATGTATCACCATCTGAAAGACATGACCACCCCTTCCATACACCACTCCTGCAATGTTATGGTGACAACATGAGATCCTGAGCTCACGTGCCCTGCCAGCTCTCAGTGAGTAATGTGTGCATGAACTTGCTGTGAGTAATGTGTGCATAAACCTGTCTCTGCTCATGAGTCAGTCCCAAATCCTTTAGACCTGCTCAGTTCACAGAAGGGAAAATGTTAAGTCCTGATCCTTCTCTTTCTCTATGCAGAGAAAAGGAACAGTGGCTGCAGACTAAAGTCAGAAGTCTAGGGCTCTAGTGACTATAAACTAGTGTTTTTATTTGAGACAGAGTTTCGCTCTTGTTGCCCAGGCTGGAATACAGTGGCACGATCTCGGCTCACTGCAACCTCCACCTCCCAGGTTCAAGCAATTCTCCTGCCTCTGTCTTCCAAGTAGCTGGGATTATAGGCACCTGCCACCACGCCCAGCTAATTTTTGTATTTTTAGTAGAGACGGGGTTTCGCCATGTTGGCCAGCTGGTCTCAAACTCCTGACCTCAGGTGATCCACCTGCCTCGGCCTCCCAGAGTGCTGGGATTACAGGTGTGAGCCACCGCGCCCGGCCTATAATCTAGTTCTAATTCTGCCACTGACTAGCGATGTTACCTTAGATGAATCCCTTCACTTCTCTGAGCCTCAGTTTCCTCGTCTGAAAACTGAGTAGGAAGGGGAAGGGTAAGAATGGAAGGAGAAAAGCTAAATGATTTCTAAATTTTAGAAGTACTTGGTTCAACAACATAGGTGAATCAGAAAAACACACTGAGCTTTGAACACAAGCACAAAAGATCAATCCTGTATACTGTATAATTCCATGTATGTGAAGTAGAGAACTGGAAAAATGACCCTTTGGCCAGAACTTGGAGCTCACAGGCCAGAACAGTGAAGATCTGGGGTGAGTGGTTTGAGAGGGGCACGAGGAAACTTCCTCGAGGGATGGAGACATTCCCTGTTTGAGTGGCCATTATACAGTGTGCACAGATGCAAACTTTCACTGAACTGTACACTTTAGGCCTATGTACTGCAGTGTACATACATACCTCAACAACATTTTTGAAGAGAAAAACAGTGCTTGGTAGACAGGAAACATGATTTAGCAAGTTTAGCAAATGAGCCAGGAGGTACCCCCTCATCTGCCCTTGTACCTCAAGTCCTGACCAGGAGCCCCAGAGACCAAAGCTAACCCCAGGTAAGGATCAGTCATGCCTGTGTGGGGCTCTCAAGGCTGCACACAGAGCACCAAGGATATGCTTAATCTCCCTACACTCTAACCCTTGGCCAGAGCCTGAGCCCCACCTCCCACCACCCAAGAGTGAATAGGCACTGAAGCAGCCCACACGCAGTGGAGGTCAGGGACAGACACACAAAACTGGCCCTTACACCTCTGGAGAGACTGGCGGGGTGGGGCTGACCGCCACCTTCTCCTCAGGATCCTCTGCCTCTTCCTGCCCAGGGCCCAGCTCCTCGGCCTGGGAATGCTGCTCCTTGCCCTTCTCACAGGCAGCAGGTGGGCTTGGGGCCTGCTCCCTTGATAGCAGTAAGGAAACAACTGTGTTAAAGCCAGTAAGAAAGCAAGAGGCTTAAGATGTACGCCATTTGGGGTCAAAGAGCTATGACAGAGACAAGAGAGACAGCCCAACAATTTCCCTACCTCGGGTCTTAGACCTCCCTCTCCCCGCCCTTCCTCTCCCTGAATTATTTGCATCAAAGACTAGAGACTCCTGCCTCACAATGGAAGCAAGATGGTTATGGTACCCCAGGAGCTCCGTACACAGCAGGTGTTCAGTGGATGCTGTTGATTGCACATCGATGCTGCTCAGGTTCCCTAGTGACTCATTCCAACCCAATGAATTCTAAGACCAGCATGTTTCTCTTGCTAGGGGGACAGACAACTAGCAAATGTCCACCACGCTCTTGACTAGGCTAAGAAAAAAGGTCCTCTCAGCTGGACCCAGAGTTATCTGGGCTTCCCTCTCCCTGGGCCGAGCACATAACAGGGCTCCAGCTGGGGTTGCTGAATGACAAGAAGTAGGATGACTATTGGAAACAGGGGTGCTGGTAGGGAGGGGACTAGAGAAAGGGCTTCCCTGACAGGAATGGAGCAGCCAGGGTGATACCAGTCTCTGCTCCAGCCCCTTGCAGGGAGGCAGCTGTGACAAAAGAGACACCTCCTTATTCAAGAGTTTCTAAGTTCCTCTAATCAGACCACATACCCTGATTTCAGCTGTAGACTGAGGACTAGGAAGAGGCACATTTCCTCATATCCAGATCCCATGGGACACTAAGCAGAGCCTCTGCTGCTGCTGCTGCTGAGGCTACAAACCCGCCCCAGCTCCCCACTCCCTCCCCAAGCCAACCCCACCCCCATCTCTCTCAGCACTAGCACACATACCCACTACACACAGAGCAGCCACCAGCCCTCATCCTCATGAGGATGCTTCCCCTCATCCTTACCTCTGGAGGGACAGCTGCAGGCTGAGGCTGGCTGCAGAGTCCTCCCCAAGCTCCTCTGCCTCCTTCCACTCGGGCTGCCCCTCGGGGCCCTGGGGAGGCTCTTCTTCAGTGGCCAGGCTGCGAGGGGGACTCTGGGCCCGCTCCTCGTGTGGAAGTGGAGGAGATAACCTGGTCAGGCCGGGCAGAGCAGCAGAGTCAGGCCCCTCCATTTGGAGAGCGGGAAGAGAACTGGGGAGTACAGTGTGTGGACCTAGGTCATTGCCTCCTCCTGGGTTATGCTCCAGCCCCACCCCCACATCCATCCATGGAGAGCCATAGCAGGGCAAGGCAGCCACACATGTGGGAAGGATAGACTCCCTCCTGAGCCCTCCTTTTACCTAGACTGGAGTCAGGCTCCACAGGGGTCCCTATACTGCCTCTGCTTGGTTCAGGAGTAAGAGCAGGACACACTCACAAGTATACCCATCCCCAGAGCTCACCAGCACTGGGGCCAGGGAGGGGTGGAAGAACTAAGTGGGGAGAAAAAGAGAAGCCAGACTCAAGAGGTCAAACTAGAAAAATGCATGAAGCTGTCATGGATAGTTTTTGCAGGTCCAAAAGTGAAATGACCATTCTCCTTCCCCTTCTAGGGTGGCAGCCCTTGTCATGGGGCTCAGGCCGGAGAAGCTGAGAGCCCCTGTCACATCACACACAGTTGCACTCTCACAGATAGCTACAGCCATTTCTGATGTGGCAGGGCCCTGGCTCAGAACTCTTGAGCTGCAGTACCAACCCTCCAATGCGACTCCTCCAGACCTCCACAAGGTTTCTTCAGCCCTGGCCCATAACCAGGCACACACACAGCTTCATCAGCCCTGGCCCCACAATGGTGCCCAGAGTCCTGCCAATTGTACCCAGTGGCACTTCACATTCCCATCTTGGTGAAGAAACAAAGGGTCTGCTCATGCATGCAAACATATACACACATTGCCAGTACACACACGTGCACACACATATACACACGCATGTGCACACACAGACCCTGCAAGGCCATCCAGCCAGTTCATCACCTGCTGCCAAGCAACTGTACACTGAGCCAGGCCGGCCACCAAAGCCAAGAATTCTGCCCAAGTCCACACCACCCTGAAGGCACAGCGCTGGGGATAGCCTCCCACCTATGGTACCTCTCCTCCAGGCCTTTGGACTGCTTGCTCTGCAGCTCATCTTGGCTGGACTGGCTGTCATCCTTGTCTTCTATTCCCAGTGGTTGCTGGGCCTGTAGGAGAGAAGCAATAAAAAGTTTGTGTTGGAGGGACTGCATTTGGGTCCCTCCATCCTCCTGCTGGCTCTCAAGCTTAGACGAAAGCACTGAGAAGTTGCTCTCCAGAAGATGGGACCATACGGGACGTAGAACAGAAGGTTGATCTACTGCACAGTGAAGCTTCCCCAAGCTTTGGCTAGGTTCACAGCTGCTCCCTGGGTCAGCCTTGAGGCCTGGGGAAGATGTGGCAGAAGACCACAGCCACTACACAGAGAGTCAGGAGCCAGAGGCTGAAGGAGAACACACAAGAAAAAGAAAATCCTGCCTCCTGCTGCTGGAAGCCTGCACTGTGAGCTGTGCAGAGAAAGCAGAGAAATCCATGAGTACCCCAAATCCACAGAGGCCCAGATTAGCAGTGCCAGTGAATGACAAGCGTGCTGAAATTACGAGGGCAGAATCGGGGGCCACAGGCAAGCACATGAGAAAGGATAAGTCCTGGAGAGATGGAGTCCTGGTAGAATGAGAGAGACAGCTGTGCCAGAGACAAAAAGGGCACCACCTGGCACCTGGAGGAAGGAAGACAAAGTGCTCCTTCGCTACATTCAGGGTCCCCGCAAGCACCCTGGCCCCATCAGCAGACAATGATGCCCCCTTCCCAGTCAGCAATTACATCATCCATCAAAAACAAAACAAAACAGAACAAAAATCTCATTTTAAAGCTTGGGTGACTAGTGACATTTAGCAAGTTGGTTTAAAAAAAAAAAAAAAAAAAAAAAGGAAGAACTATTCTTTGAGGCAAGGTCTCACTTTGTCACCCAGCCTGGAGGGGAGAAATATTCATGATCATTTCAAATATTTTCCACAGAGGTACAGTAGTGTAGTCGGCCTGGGGTCAACCCTTTGTTCTAGCTCTTCCTGCCTAGGAAGTCTGTCTCCTCCACTGTATAAAATGGGATAGCAAACTGCAACTCACAGGGCTTCTGGTGAGGATTAAATCAGCTCATATACGTAAGGCCCAGCTCGTGACCCAAAGAAGGCACGCCATCAATGTTAGCTCCTCTTCCCACATTCCTCTCCCTCTCCCCCAGCCTAAGGTAAAAAACAAAAAGAAAAGACTCTGCCAGTGCCAGTCCCCATCCTAGGACCTGCACTCCTTCTGTCACACCGACAGGAGCCCCGTCTGTTCTGGGACACAGGGTCAACAGGAGAGGTGGGGCGGGAGACAGCTCACTCCATCTTTCCCAGTAGGGTCCCCAGCCCTGTGCCCACAGCCCCCATACCTCTCCACTGGCAGCCTAAGCCCCAGCAGCTGTGGCTAACCCTGCCATCTGGATGGGTGAGGAAGGGCAGGGCTTGAACTAAAACCCAGCTCCCCCAAATTACATTAAAAATAGAAATGCTGCCTGTGAGTACCTCCCGGTGCCTGTAGCAGAAGGGCTCCCTGCCAGGGCTGCCACTCCTCATCACATCAGCACGGGCAGAGCCTGCAGACAATGGCAGGGCACGCAGCCTTTCCTGCCCCACCTCTTTCCCCTTCGAGGGTGCAACTCACAACTTGTCTTCCCCCACAGACCACACCATGCTCATCAAATATCTCCCTCTCTCACCTGTCGAGGTGACAGGCCCACTCCATTTAACAAACTAAAATATAAGATGAGTAATGAAGTGGGGGTGATAGTAATAAAAATAGGGGGACTGAGCCCTGAGTCAGAAAGGACTCCGGGGCTATCAGCCATACACCATAAGAAAAAAGGCAGCAGACAGGAGGGCTGGCTGCAGACCATGGCTTTCTGGCCTCTGCCTTCTTGTTTCACCTATATTTCTGTGAGAAACTGAACTATCCCCCACTGACAGAGAAAAGGGGATCCTCGGGGAAATACCCAGATGGACGGTCCTCTTGATAGAGAGGGTCCTCTTCCTTAACTTTTTTGCTCCAGAAAAGGAAGCAAAGGATCCAGATGAGGAAAGCAGCCAAGGTCAGCATTCTTCAGAAAGGGGAGACAATCGCACATCCTAAGCCTCTGGCCTAAAATACCATTTCCCTCTCCTTAACTTGGCTCTAGGGTCTTGTTTTCATTTAAGATGCAGTCCTCAGTTAAATAAACCATGGTGTATTCATACAGCAGAAGACTGTGCAGCCAACAAAAAGAATATGGTAGATCTAAATGAAATAACTCAGAAATAAGTCAAGTGCCTATTCTCAAATTTAAAGAGCACATCACCATGCAGTTTAGGTAGCACAATCCCAATTTTTATGGGAAGAAAAAAGATAAGAGAAAATAGATATATGCTTATATGTACACAGAAAATTTTCTGGAAAGGTACATGAAAAATGTGAATGGGAACTATCCATAGTCCCTGCCTGTGTAAGGCTACAGGAAGCTGAGAACTTGGATCTTCTGTATTACTTGAAACAATTTTATAATCACTTTTCTAATTCATTATGAAATGTATTATGTTTGCCGAGCACGGTGGCTCATGCCTGTAATCCCAGCACTTTGGGGGGCCAAGGCGGGCAGATCACCTGAGGTCAAGAGTTCGAGACCAGCCTGGCCAACATGGGGAAACCTCATCTCTACTAAAAATACAAAAAAAAAAAAATTAGCCGGGCATGGTGGTGGATGCCTGTAGTCCCAGCTACTTGGGGAGGCTGAGACAGGAGAATCGCTTGAACCCAGGAGATGGAGGTTGCAGTGAGCCAAGATCATGACACTGCACTCCAGCCTAGGTAACAGAGGGAAACTCCATCTCAAAAAAAGAAAGAAAAGAAAAGAAAGAAAGAAAGAAATGTATTATGTCTAATTCATTATAATCGTTTTTTGTGGTGATGGTTGTGAAGGTATATAATACGGTAAAACTTATCAAATAAATGTGCAGTTTATTGTATGTCAATTTTATCTCAATAAAGCTGCATTGCAAATATTTTAAATGAACAAAAACTAGTATAGCTCAGTTATAAGCCTTCTGCCCTGGTCCTGCCCTTGAGAGAGACATGGAAAATACGGCAAAATGGGCAAGAGCGCACAGGAAGAACAGAAGATGGCATCTACAGTTCTGTCCCATGAAGGGGCTGCTGCTCTCTCCTCCAGCTCCACCTCCCCATCTCGACCCCTCCACCCCCAGAGATGGCAGACAGCTGGAAGCTGAGCCTGCAAAGGCTTGGCTACTTGGTCAGCCACACTGAGCACTGTTACCCACATCACAACAGGCAGGTCACAAGGTATAGCTTAGGGGAGGGGTCCCCAACCCCCAGGCCACAGAGCAGGGGGTGAACAGTGGGCAGGCAAGCAAACATTATCACCTGAGCTCCACCTCCTGTCAGATCAGCAGTGGCACTGGGTTCTGACAGGAGCATGAACCCTATCGTGATCTGTGCATGCAAGGGATCTAGGTTGCGCACTCCTCATGAGAATCTAATGCCCCCACCCCTGGCCCCATCTGGAAAAACTGTCTTCCAAGAAACTGGTCCCTGATGCCAAAAAGGTTGGGGACCGCTGGCTTAGGGCTTCCTCTGCCAGGGATGGCCACCTCAGGAGGCTGCACTTCGTGAGAACCAAAACCAAGTCAGGTCCTGCTACTGCGTTACAGCAAGTGGCATAGCCCAAAAAGAGGCTGCTGGCCACATCAGGTCTTAGGTAGACCCAGAAATCTGTCTTTTTTTCAAGCTCCCAAGTAATTCTGATACTGGCCAGGTGTTGGACCCCAAACAATGGAATCCACCTCCACTGCACTGACTCAGTAACTTTCCCACTCACCTACTGCCAAAGGAGCCTCACAATTCGCCTGCTCCAAACCTTTCCTGACTAATCCCACCTTCCTTTGACTGTGCCTTCACATCTCTTTAGCACTGCAAACAGGATGACCAAGATCCAACAAGGACCTGGTAGCTGGACAGTGGCCCAGAAAGGTTTTATCAGCCAGAGCTGAGAGGAACATGTTGGGCTCAAATGCAACTGGCCTGCCTCTAGCACACATTTCACTAAAGGCTCCAAGGCTGCCTCTAGCACACATTTCACTAAAGGCTCCAAGGCTGGGTTCGTATTAAACATCTTGTTTGTTTCACCCAACAAATTTCCATTTTGCCCAAACCAAATGTTCCCTTACACTTGCAGAGATCATGTGCCAGAACTGCTCTTCTAACCAATCCACAAAGAAAAAGAAAAGTCTTCTTGGCTTGAAGCTCCTTAAGGACAGGATCTCTGTTTGAGCCATCTTTGTACCACACATGGGTCAATCATCATCCATGCCCACACAGAGCTAACATCTGGCAGGGGAGACAGACAAACAACCATCAAACAAAACAAGAGTGACTAAACGGAGCAAAGAAAGGGAACAATTCATCCCATTTGAGGAGGAGGTGTCAGAGGTGAACCTCCAGGACCAAAAAAGAGCTTGCTGGGAAAAATGGGAAAGCAGAGTGGCAGGCAGAGGCGTGGCGGAGGTGGAGTGTGCCCCAGCAATAGCGAGCAGCAGATCCAGCTGGTGAGCAGCAGGTGGGCTGGGCATGTAAAGAGGATGAATGGGCCAGGATGGGAAGTGCCTTGAAATCTACAATCTACACAGCGCTTTGCACATGAGCAGACAGTCCACTCTTCAGCTGCTGAATGAGTGGATAAATGGATAAATACATGGTGGAAGAGGGCTTTAATTTATAGCAACAATGCAGGAATGGTCAGAAGCCCCGTGAAAGGCAGTCAGGACCATGCCTTAATGAATTAGAAGGGAGAGGACTTACAGAAATGCACCCTGTGATGGGCAGGGCTCAGTTCTGGGTCATCCGAAAAAGTTGTGAGGGAAAATGAGGCCCCAGCTCAGCCCACCACCCACAGAAACTCACCTGCCGACAAGCTCCACCCAGGACTGGGGAAAGCACATCAACATCCAGCAGGTGCTCCGAGATCCGGCTGCGAAAACCGAAGTCCTGGAGACAGTGGAGATGCAAAGGTCAACTCTGCCTCTGTCACAGTCAACACCCACCAGGCCTCTTCACTACCCCAACTCCACTTTCCAGAAAGATGTCTATTATGTGCCCAGCTCTGTGCCAAACATTTCAACATCTACTAATTTCATCTTCAAAATGACACTGTGACTCAATGGAAAGATATGTCAAGCAAGTATGGTAAAATGTTAATTGTGGCCTATAGATGGTGAGTATGTGGGTATTCACTGTACAATTTTTTTAATTGTTCCATATATTTGAAACTTTTCATAAGAAAATTATGGGGAAAAAATAACCCTGTGAGACTAAAACTCTTTCCCTCATCCCACAGATAAGGAAGCAGGTTGGAGAGCACATATAACTCGCCCAGGGTCACACAGCTGATAAGCAAGGGGCCTGGGGGTCAGATGGGGCCCCGCACTGACTCCAAAGCCCAAGCTCTTTCCATGACACATGCTGCGAAGGATGTCACTTTCCAGCTGTCTCTCCCTCTCCGTGGTGCCCAACCAGGCATGAGAAGAGATGCCAACATCCCCAGAAAACCTGTGGGCAGTTTGGAAATGAGCCTTGGTGGGCTCTTTCCAGCTCGTTCCATCCCCTTTCCATACAGGTTCCCCTCTGGACAATGAGAGTTAATTAGTGATGATTCCTGCACTGGCTTCTCTTTGGGACAGGCAGCAAGTGCCCACACTGGTGCCAGTTTGTTGCTGTCCTTTGGCTGCCACAGGCCCACGATCCCACCCTCTCTGAGCCTAAGATCCCTGCTGGGCTAAGTGAAGGACTGCTACCCAACAGCATGTTAATGGGGAGAGTTCTGTCACATCAGCCCTGATTAATGGTGGGACGCCCAGACAAAGTCTGGTCCTGCTGTCCACAGCCTCCTCCATCTACTTCCATAGAGAAGAAAAACGCTGATGGGCACGTTTCTCCACATGGGTGACTGCTTTAGAAGAGCCAGCCCCCTTGCTTCCGAGAGAGCTGTGACATGGCGATTCTTCATGGACAGTTTTTGCCAACAACGACTTTTTGCCTTCCCTTTCTAGCTTGTGGGTTTTTCTTCTTTTTTGGTGACATTTTCCTTTCAGTTTGAGTTCTACTTCACTTAATGCAGCTGCCATCTGCCTTCTAAGCCCATGGCTCAGTGAGAGGCGAGCACACACAGCTTCCTAATTCTTCTGCACCCCCTCATATCATTACTGTTCATCCCTGACCCTCTCCCACTAATCCCTTCCCTTTGATCTGCCTCCTCCAAACAGATGGAGGATGGCTTCTGGAGGTAATGCTCTGCCAAAAAGCACCCTGAACTATTCCCCTTAGGTACAGACCTGGCAAATGAAACCAGGATACAGCAGGCTGGGTAGAAGGTCTGGGACAAAGAAACCATGGATGCCGGCATTCCAAGACAAAGCCTTAACTTTAGAAATGAAGCCATGGCATCCCTCCTGGCCTGAGCCTGGGGACTGTCCTCGCCACAGCTCAGTGATCCCATAAACACAAACACACCAGTCTCTAACCTCCTAGGCTCATGGTAACTCACATGATCACACAGGCAACTCACACAATAGTGAGAGTAATAATAGCTAACATTTTAATGTTATTATATATATAATTATATTATTAATGTTTATATGCTAACATTTTACATTCTCTGCCTCACTTTCTTCTCACAACAAACCTATAAAATAGGAAGTATTACCCTTAGTTAATGGGTTGAGAAACTGGAGCTAGACAAGACTCAAGCATGAGTTCGAAATTCTCCCACTTATAAGCTGCGTGATGCTAGGCAAATTACTTAACCCTGGAGGCTCACAAATCTATGCTCTTCACCACCACTCTACTGCCCTCATCTCAAACTCACCAGGCCATGGAAGGACTTGGGGTCAGAAGCTATGGAGTCTGAGAGCTGTGGTTCCTTCATGTGTTCACTAATTTCCAGTTCCTGGAGAGACAGACCCACAGAGAAATCCCTCAGAGCAGAGCACAAAGAGTCATGGTCCCTACCCAGGGAATTCTGTTCAGGCCATGGGGCCAATATAGGGCTCAGGTCAAACTGAAATCCACTCTTCTTGAAAACCTAAACGAGGCCTGTGGACCCCGCCATTCTCTCTGGACATGTGCACAGCCTCCGCCCCACTGGGGCTGGGCAGCCCGCTGAGTAGAGACAACCACACTCTGAATCAGATCAGCAAGGACTTGCATGAGTAAGGGGAGCCAAGAGTAGCAGAGACGGTTAGAAAGGTGGCAGTACCGAAGTCTGATGCTATCCTAAAAAACAGAAGGAGAACATCTTTCCCAGGAAATAGATAAAAGCTCTTTTTTTTTTTTTCCGAGATGGAGTCTCGCTCTGTCCCCCAGGCTGGAGTGGCGCCATCTCCACTCACTGCAGCCTCCACCTCCCGGGTCCCAGCAATTCTCCTGCCTCAGCCTCCCGAGTAGCTGGGATTACAGGTGCGCATCACCATGTCCAGCTAATTTTTGTATTTTTAGTAAAGATGAGGTTTCACCATGTTGGCCAGTGATCTCGAACTCCTGACCTCAAGTGATCCACCCGCCTTGGCCTCCCAAAGTGCTGGGATTACAGGCATGAGCCACCGTGCCCGGCCGATAAAAGCTCTTTAAATGAATTCCCTCATCATCTACCTGGAGGAGGAATAGGACTAAGGGTTGAAAAATCTAAAAGGCCAAAGGATCTCCCCATTCAGGCTTACTTCTGTCCATTTTGGTCACTGACCTGATCTTGCCAAAGCAACCACTCCCATGTCTTGGGATCATTCAGAAAAAGCCACAAAAATGGACGAGAAGGGTCTTCTTGTCACCTAATCTACCTACGCTGGGGCAGAACACAGCCAAATGTGGTACCTACTGCCCCGACCACCCCCATCTCGTCACGACACACAATGTTCTCTCTCTATAGAAACTCAGACTGCTGCAACCACGACTGCCCCCAAACTGATGTCAAGAAGTACAAGGGAAGGCTGGGCACAGTGGCTCACGCCTGTAATCCCAGCACTTTAGGAGGCCAAGGCGGGCAGATCACCTGAGGTCGGGAGTTCAAGACCAGCCTGACCAACATGGAGAAACCCCGTCTCTACTAAAAATACAAAAAATTAGCTGGGTGTGGTGGCGCATGCCTGTAATCCCAGCTACTCAGGAGGCTGAGGCAGGAGAATCACTTGAACCCGGGAGGCGGAGGTTGTGGTGAGCTGATCGCACCACTGCACTCCAGCCTGGGCAACAAGAGTGAAAATCCATCTCAAAAAAAAAAAGAAGTACAAGGGGAGCCAGATGCAGTGGTTCACGCCGATAATCCCAGCACTTGGGGAGGCCGAGGCGGGCAGATCGAGGTTGAGCTCAGGAGTTCAAGATCAGCCTGGGCAACATGGCGAAACCGCATCTCTACTAAAAAATGCAAAAATTAGCCAGGAATGGTGGTGCATGCTTGTGGTCTCAGCTACTCAGGAGGCTGAGGCACGAGAATCGCTTGAACCTGGGAGGCACAGGTTGCAGTGAGCCAAGATTGCACCACTGCACTCTAGCTGGGGTGAAGGAGTGAGACTCTGTCTTAAAAAAAAAAAAAAAAATACCCTGAACTATGATGAGGTGGGCAGATCACTTGAGCTCAGGAGTTAGAGACCAGCCTGGGCAACACGGTGAAACCCTATCTCTACAAAAAATACCAAAATTAGTTGGGCATGGTGACATATGCCTGTGGTCTCAACTACTCAAGAGGCTGAGGTAATGCTCTGCCAAAAAGCACCCTGAACTATGATGAGGTAGGAGGACTGCTTGAGCCCTGGAGGTCAAGGCTGCAGTGAGCCAAGGTCACGCCACTGCACTCCAACCTGGGCTACAGAGCAAGACCCTGTCTCAAAACAACAGAAAAAAAAAAAAAAAGTACAAGAGGGAGGTAGGAAGCAGGAGAGGATGTAAGCAGGAGAAAAGAAAATGAACATTCCAGGAGGGTGCCAATGGAAAAGCAAATTTCTTCTCTCAATTTCGAGTGCCAGCAGGTCTGCAGCTTCATTCCGGATTTTACTGCCTGCTGGGTCTGGGCATATTTGTCACAATTAAGGGCTCTGGCTGATGCTGACAGCCCAGTGCAGGGACACGCAAATGAAGCTCCTGACTCAGTAATAAAGATGTGGGGATAGGACCCTGCCCAGGGCTGAACAGAGCAGCAGAGGGCTACAGCCAACCCCTGCCTATGGGATACAGTGACTTACTTGGCTGGCGTCTGAACTGCCCTCTTCCAGAGCAGAAGCCTTCTTCTTTGGCTCCTTGGCTGCCTCTTCCCTCCTGGAACCCTCCTCTCCTGCATCTACTGTGTCCTCTGGTGCTTCCTTTTCAGAGGCTTTGGCAGGCTCACTGCCTGTAGGGTCTGCCTTGGGGGTCACCAGATTCCTGCAAATCTTAGGTTCACTCTTCTCATTTTCCTCTTTTTCTGGAAGACCAGGTCTTGCTCCACTTCCCTGTCGCCCTTTGCCAACAGCACTGCTCAGACTGCTGTCTGCACCTGGGCTGGAGGGCTTGCAGGGAGTAGGGGGACCGGCAGCATCTGAATCCAGAGAAACATCCTTCTTCTCCTCTGGCTGGCTTGTTCTCAGAGACTCCTAGGGAGCAACAGACCATGTTAGAAAGGAAGACAAAAGGAATGTGCAAAAGGAGTTGAGACATGCTACAAGATGGAAATGCTATTCCCTGACTCCCACAGGCCAGTGCCTGAGTTCTGCCCCAATGGTTATCAATCACCCAGTTGTTAATTTTTTTTTTTATTTTTTTGAGACAGAGTCTTACTCTGTCGCCCAGGCTGGGGTGCAGTGGTGTGATCTCAGCTCACTGCAACCTCTGCCTCCTGGGTTCAAGCGATTCTCGTCCCTCAGCCTCCCCAGTAGCTGGGACTACAGGTGTGTGCCACCACAGCTGACTATTTTTTGTATTTTTAGTAGAGATGGGGTTTTGCCATGTTGGCCAGGCTGGTCTCAAACTCCTGGCCTCAAGCAATCCACCCGCCTCAGCCTCCCAAAGTGCTGGGATTACAGGCGTGAGCCACCACACCCAGCCCACCCAGCTTTTTAAAACACAGATTCCTGACTCCACCCCAGATCTACAGAATCAGAATTTCTATAGTGATTTGGATATACCCAAGCTGATCCCCATCCACTGGTGGGCCTGGAAGTCACTACACTGGACGATACAACTCTGTCACCACCTGTCATGTCCTCAAGTAATAAATCTGTCTTGCTCCAGCCCCATTGGCCACATCAGAAGACTGCAGACTCCAAAGCCAGTGTTTATTCAAGATGATGATGGAACATCATGTGACAGAAAGGCAGCAAAGTCTCAATTTTCTATTTTTCATGTTTAATAGGCAACAGGGGAAAAACTATCAGGAGAGTCCTCTTCGCCCCTAAAGCCTCCTGGGTACATGCTGATCAGCAGCAGCCTCGGAGACAGCATCCTCACCGAGCACTGCCGACTTGGGTCCCTCTGAGAAGCAGATGCCAAGTTAGGGTTAGATGTACAAGAGATTTAAGGGAGATGTCTATAAAGGATAAAGGAAGTGAGCAGAGCCTCCAGACTTTCTCTAGTTCTGGGAAAGTCTTGGTCAGCCCAGCAGAGTCGCCTAGTAGGCTGCCATTAGAGGAGTCCCATATCTGCAGAAATGGCTCTGCTTTCAGACCCCTGTTGTGCCCATCACCAGTAGGAAACACTTCCATGAAGCAGGGTGGATAGAAAGGTCAGTGCTGGAGGCTGTCAATCTGCTAAGCTCCCCTTGGCAGGGTCTGAGCAGTGCGTCTCTACAGTGGCCAAGCCCTGCTCCTCACATACAAACCTCACTTTAAAGACTAGTAAAAACCCAAGGCTGCTTCCACTAAATTCCTTAGAGTCAGTCAAAAGAGAAAAATAAAACCCTCCCTTGGAAATACAGCCAATAATCTCTGCTGGGCTTGGGCTGAGAAGCCTTCCTCCTAGAAAACATCTGTGCTAACACTTGGGCTGCCAGACTGAATAACTTCCAATGAGGGATTTTTAAGACTTCCTGATTCCCTGTTCTGAAGACTCAAGGACCATGATGACTAGAGAGTGGAGAGGTCCAAGAAGAAGCCCTAAGCATGGCATTTATTGATGCTCTGTTAAAGTGTCTGCTGTGCCCAAAGAAATGACCCTCTCCCTGCAAGCCTGAGAGCCCACTGACAAGCTAACCCAGGCTTCCTAGGGATGATTACACAGGTCAGTAAAGCAGAGTCATTCAGAGCTCAGCTTTGGAGACAGAGGCTGCCCAGGCTCAAATTTTGGCTCCACACTTACAGATGTGTGACCTTAGGCAAATTATTTACTTCTATGTGCCTCAGTTTCTTTCACTAAAATACTGGGATGTAGTAGTGCTTACCCCATAAGGAGCGTTGTTGGGAAGAATAAACGAATTAGCACTCATCAAGTGAGTTAAGGAACTCAGAGTTGTGACTGGCACACTGTCAGTGTCCCACGAATGTTAACTTACGTTATGTAATGAGACTTACACATTCATTCACTGAGCACATTCTATGTGCCAAACACTGCCTTGGGAATCCAAATATGGCCAAACCATAGATCCTGCCCTCAAGGAATTGAGCTAATATTGAGAAAAGTGAAATGTTCCCAATGGCTTTGGTTATGAGCCTTGACTGCCCAAAGCAAAGAGGCCACTAGACACAGTGGTGATACTGTCATCAGGCCCAACCCTGTCCCAGAAAGAAGTGCAGAAGGGAAAGTAGAGAAGGCACGAAGGAAGCTCACGCCTTGGCAGCATGCATGCAGGTACCCGCCAGTGCTACCCCTCCCAGCATCCCTAACCTCCAGCATGGAATAAATCTGCCAGGACCACTGGGCTAAGAGAAGGGAGACAAACTTCTCCTCTTCAAGTGAAGCAGCTTCAGGCTGAGCCTAATGGCCTTCTCATCTCTATACAACCAAAGGCCAATTCTCAGCAGAAGCTCATATCCAGTCTGTGGGGTTCTAAGGACTCCAAGAAGGAGGTGGGAGTTGCCTGGGGTGGGCAAAGGGTGCCGGGCCAACCACACCCCCTCACTCGGCAAGCAGGGCCAACCCACCCTGGCCAGGCTCATCCCAAGATTAAAGAAAGGCTCCCCCCGGCTTGAAGTTGGGAGTGAAACCTGGTCCTAAGAGGGCTGCCTACCAATACACCTTAGATGCGAGGGCAAAGGAGGTATCAGACCATAAATAGTCCCTACTGCCTTCAGGATAAAATTTAAACTCCTACTTGGCCCACAGCCCTTAAGGCCCAGCTCCTGCCTGCCTCTCATGGCTCACCTCCAGGCAAACCCTCAGACACCCTCTCCTCCCACCTGTGGATAAACATCACACTAACTCAGTACTTTGCCATGCAATTCCTAAAATACACATACACACATACTACCCCGACACACTCCCCCTGGTCCTCACCACATCACCTCTTCCAGGATGCCTTTCTTGATCCCTGGGTCAGCTGACCTGAAATGAGCCTTCCCCATCATATACTTTAATAGCTATTGTATTTGCTAATTTCCTTATCTGTTTCTGTCACCAAATTAGCTCCCTATTGTCCTCAGTACTTAGTTTCTAGCACATAACAAGTGCTTAGTAAAGGTTTGTTGACCAAACTGTTAAATATGAATAAGTGTGTCATAAAAAGATCGGAGCTGAGGCTTCCCTTCCTAGCCTGCAAAAAGGAGATGTAATATTTACTTTACACGGTTATATAGGGATTAGACTATATTTATTACAGTGCTTATTAAATGAAAAATAGCTAAGCAAATGTTAGCTATTAATTAACTATTCAAGATGATGGAAAAACAAGTAACCTATCAAAAATCAGAGAATACAGGACACAGGTAGAGATTCCCATCTTTGAGAGGATCAGGAAAAATAACTAACGGGTACTAGGCTTCATGCCTGGGTGATGAAATAATCTGTACAACAAACCCCTATGACACAAGTTTACCTATGTAACAAACCTGCACAGGTACCCCTGAACTTAAAATAAAAATTAAAAGGAGAGGATACCTAATGCTAAATGATGAGTTAATGGGTGCAGCACACCAACATGGCACATGTATACATATGTAACAAACCTGCACGTTGTGCACATGTACCCTAAAACTTAAAGTATAATAAAAAAAAATTAAAAAGAGAGAGATTCCCATTCTTACACGTGAGAGAATATAGCCAAATTGCAATAATCTTAGGCCCAGCTCAATTCTTATGCTTAAATTCTTCAAAAGAAAATTTTCACATGATGGGCTCATGCTAGTCTGCCTTACCTAAAACAGTAAAACGTGGGTAGTATTAAAATGAATGACCTTGCATTCTCTGCACCATGTTGACTAACTGCAACCACAGGACAGCACCTCAAGGGTGGGGAAAGCAGAAGGAGGTGAAGCATTTGTTGTAGATTATCCACAAATGGATGTACATGAGCTGAGTGTCTGGAGAAGCCATCCAACTCCATGAGCATCTCCCTTCACCTGGCCCCTGCCCCCTTGTCTCCTGGCCCAAGGCCTGAAGCTCCAACCAGGTATACACTCTGGGCACCCAAGTCCAGTCTCCTGCCCTGGGCTCTGTGGGAAATGCAGGCAAAGGCGGGGCCTCAGTCTCAACACAGCGTTGCCCTCAGCTCATCCCTGCTCACATTCCTTCTGTCTCCTCCTTTCACAGCCCCAGGTCCTTGAGCATCTCAAGGCACATTTCTGCTGCTTTTTCAAAAAAGACTTTACCATCTGCAGGAGGAGAGAGCAGGAGAGAGCTTATAAGAATCATTTCATGAATATTTAACATGCCCCCCAAAAGCCATGAGGTTCTTCTGCCCAGAGCACAAAGACAAGGACCCCTGTAATCCACACAGCACAGGGGACAGGGCATGAAGGATAAGGAGCTGAACCTATGTCTGTGCACTGACCGTGTTCTGCAGAGACCCCCATCAAGCTGATCATCAGTCCAATTTATTTTTCAGATTTATTCCTGCCCAGTTGGTCTCAATTCTTTGCACAGCTCCCCAGTGTTGTTAGCACTTTCCAATCGCACTGACATCATCCTGTTATTTCTAAGCCCAGGCTCCCTCCTGCTCCTTTGATCCACTGATGGGCTTTTCACCAGCACCACATGGCCACATAAAGTCTGCTCGCCTACCCTTCAGCCTCCTGGATTTGCTCGCCCTGTTCAGTGTCGGTTCCATGAACCTCTCTCTCTTCAGTCTGTAATAGACTTGAAGTGGGTTTAAGTTGGAAAGCAGGAGAGGAGGGAGGAGACGAGAAGAGATGCATTCTTGCCATCCTACTGCCCTCTCATGGAATCATGAGCAAAGTGACTGCTCAGTGAGACAGGCTAGAACTAACCTCAGAAGTCCATCTCCATCGTAAGCTGTCTGGGACACTCAGGAGTGGGGAAAGGTGGGCAGTTCAGAGAATCCAAAGACTGTAAACTGAGACAAAAGCCATTTTCAAAGAGCAGGGACCAAGCAGAGGCAGCACTGGCTATCCTGAAACCCCCCATTTACCCCCACCACTAACACTCCCAACAGGAAAAGCCCTGATTCCTGCCTTAAGTTAGAACATAGGAATCCAACACTCCATGTGACAAAAAGAACTAAATCTGCGGGGATGCTAGAGACAGGGGTAGGAGGTGTATTTAACACCACCCACTCCAGACATTTCCCCTCATCACACTGGGGTGCCTATTTATATTAAAGAGGTTATAAAAATGTTTAAAAGTCCCCACTCCCCCCAAAGAAGCACATAGTCATCAGAAGGAAAGCTTTTAGAAATCCACCCTTCAGGCTGGGCACGATGGCTCACACCTGTAATCCCAGCACCTTGGGAAGCCGTGGCGTGCAGATCACCTGAGGTCAGGAGTTCGAGACCAGCCTGGCCAACATGGTGAAACCCCGTATCTACTAAAAATACAAAAATTAGCCAGGCATGGTGGCGGGCGCCTGTAATCCCAGCTACTCAGGAGGCTAAGGCAGGAGAATCCCTTGAGCCCAGGAGGTGGAGGCTGCAGTGAGCCAAGATCATGCCATTGCACTACAGCCTGGGGGACAAGAGTGAGAGACTTCATCTAAAAAAAAGAAAGAAAGAAAGAAAGAAATCCACCTTTCAAAGAAGAAAAAGCCTTTTTTGTTGACATTTACAATCCATTATGAAGTAAATGTTAACAAGCCCAAGGTCAAAGTAAATCATGATCAATCCACATCAGGATCTTCCATCCACCAGCTGACAGCAGGGACCAAGTACCCACTCTATCCAGAAACTGGAAAAGCCAAGTGAAGAAAAAAATATGACACAACCTGCCTGGACACTCTCTCTGTCCCGAGGTGGCTCATTCACTCATTCACAAGTTCACTCTCTCGATTGTTGAACAAAACATACCCAAGCACTTCCTATGTTTCAGAGGCAGCAGGCTAGTTGCTTCCTGGCCATACAGAAATGAATAGGGCAGAATCTCCAGCCTCAACTTGCTCATTCTCATAGAGATTGTCTTCTTCCTCCACAAGCAAATAAGTCCTCTGACACCCCTAGTCCTATACATGGTCAACCTTCTAGGCACAAAGCCTGAGCATCTCCTTTGATCAATATAGGTCTTACTGGTGGTGGAGAAGAAAATAAAGTTGTCATTTCAGGGAACTAAACAGATTGAAGGCTTTAGATTTAATCCTTCCAGACTAGGCCCCACTCAGAAGGAACAGTTTCAAAGCAGACCTATATCAGCTTGATAATAAAAACGGGACACTTAGAAAAAAGTGTCACATTTGGCAAGAAATTGTAAAGTCATAATCAAAAGGTATCTGACTGTGCAGAGCCAAAATGCTGAACAGTTTCTGAGGTTACAGGCAAAGTCTAACTACAAAAAGAGTCCTAGGCTGGGCACAGTGGCTCACGCCTGTAATCCCAGCACTTCGGGAGCCCAAGGTAGGTGGATCACTTAAGCCCAGGAGTTCAAGACCAGCCTGGGAAACATAGCAAAACCCCATCTCTACAAAAAATAGCCGGGTGTGGTGGCGGGCGCCTGTGGTCCCAGCTACTTGGGAGGCTGACGTGTACTCCAGCCTGGGCAACAGAGTGACACCCAGTCTCAAAAAAAAAAAAAAAAGCCCTGTCCAATGGCTAGACTTGGGTCACCCACAACTCAGGTCTCAAGTACCAAATCAGGGGCTATCAGCCAGCACATCTGAAACTTCAAGTGGCCTGAGACACCAATCCTGGCTCTTAAGGTAAAGTGATTTCCAAGAAACAAGTCAGAAATAATAAGGGATAATGAGAAAACAAATTTAAATTCAGGATATAAGCACTTCTAAAGTTTTACAGGCCAGTTTTGTGATCTTTCTAATAAAGTGTGAGTGACTTGTTTGATGTTAAGGTATTGAAAGTATTTAAAAGAACTTGATATATTAGACTTGTGAAAAGTTTAACTGATTGAGCCTGCAACAAATATTTAAATATTTGGGGAAATCTAATTGTTGAGTTCATGATTCATTGGTTGTATAAATACTTAGGGAATATTTAGAGAAATGTTATATTTAAATGAATACACTGGACACTAAACAAAGGATACATGGTAGGGAAAGCTCCTTTCTAAGTACAAAAACACATAGCTGGGCACAATGGCTCACACCTGTAATTCCAGCACTTTGGGAGACCAAGATGGAAGGACTGCTTGAGACCGGGAGTTTGAAACCAGTCTGGTCAACAGAGAGACCTCATCTCTGCAAAAAATGTAAAAAGTAGACAGGCATGGGTGCGTATGCCTGTAGTCCTAACTACTCAGGAGGCTGAGGCAGAGGATCACTTGAACCCAGGAATTCAAAGCAGTGAGCTCTGTTCACACCACTGTACTCCAAGCTGGGCAAAAGAGTGAGGCTCTGTCTCTTAAAAAAAAAAAAAAAAAAAAAAAAAAAAGCATTGGAGGTTTTAGGTATTACAATAACATAATGAGTGTTGATGTTTGTTTGTTTAGAGGCAGGGTCTGGAAGGGACAGGAATCCATTCATTTATTCTTGTCCTTCCCCAAACCCCAGAAATCTCATCTGGAAGGACTGGGACAAAATGGTTCTTTTTCCAAATATGCATTACAACAAAGTAGCAGGGCTTAATAAAAACAGGAGGGATATGCCAGGCTGACACATGTGCCTGTAGGGATTAGGGCTCTTACCTCATACTCAAAGTCACCCCCCAGTGCCCCAATGTCCAGGTGTAGGTTCCTAAGAGGCTCACTTGAGCTGTGGACACTCTAGAAACAAAAATGATGACAAGTGGTAACTCTGAAGAAACTGGTCAACCCAGGGTGAGGGGTGTGCAGAGGGAAAAGTGGGGCACTGCTGAGCTGACAGGCGGGCCCAGGCAGGGCTTCAGAGGACTCAGAGCAGGACCACCACTGAGGCAGCCTCACTAAACGGCTCTCCATCCAGCGCAAACTATGCTGTGCAACAAGCAAGTGGCCAAGGTGCTTTCTGCTGGCTGTACTTTCTGGATCAGATCTAGAAGACATAATAGACTGCTCAAGAAATGAAGCTGTAGGCCAAAAAAACTTCTTGCTTTTTTAAAAAGTAGCACAGAGATCAGCCAAAGGTGGAAACAACCCATATATATTCATCGACAGATGAGTAGATAAACAAAATGTGGCATATCCATACCATGGAATATTATTCAGCCTTAAAAAGGACCAAAGTTCTAATACATGCTACAACATAGATGAAGCTTGAAACATTATGCTAAGTGAAATAAGCCAGACACAAAAGGACAAACATTGTATAATTCCACTTATATGAAGTACCTAGAATAGGTAAATTCATAGACACAGTAAGCAGATTAGGTTTCCAGGGATGGAGGGAGAGGGAATAGGAAGTTATCATTCAATAGGTACACAGTTTCTATTTGGGATGATGAACAAGTTCTAGAAATGAATAGTGGCGGCGGGGGAGTGCAGAAAAAAAAAGAAATGGATAGTGGTGTTGGGTGCACACATTGTGAAGGTAATTAATACCACTGAATTTTAACTTTAAAATGGTTAAAAGGGCAAATTTTATGTTACATATTTTTTCTATCACAGCAAAAACATTTTCAAAAGGAAAAAATATGGCACAGAGGGTTTCCAGGCCAGGGAGAGGACTTCATCATTACCTGGTTGTCACTTTCCTCCTCATCCTCCTCATTGGTTTCTTCTCCTAAACCCAAGAGGCTGAGAGCAGTCTTGTCCTCATATATGGAGCCCAAGAGACCCTTTGTATAAGCAGAGGTCTTGAGACCCTGTGAAGGCTTCAAAATAGAGAAGGACAGTCAAAGGACTCACTTGGAAGACCTTTGGAATGACCTTTAGAATGCTCCTCCCCACTCTCTATGTCAATGTCTCCCAGATCAAGTGCCACCATGTCCATGAAGCTGACCTGGCGACTGCAGCTCACATCAATGACTCCCTTTGCCTACTCCTACTGCCTTGGCTGCAGAGACTTGGAAATCAGCACTGATGTCCCTACAGCATGGGTCTATCCTCCACAGCCCAGAGTCCACATTCATACAGGTGCGAATTACATTTTCCCAACTGGATTACGAACTCTGAGGACTCCACCGATTCTGTCTATTTCTCACCCCTAGGCCATAGTTCCTGGTATGGCACACGGGAGGCCCCACAGGAACTACAGACACTGAACGCAAGAGAACGTACTTACCAGCATGAGTTCTCCAAGCTGACGTCCAGACTCCACTGAGCTCCCCAGGCTCACGCTTTGAGATCCACGAAGAGCAGAGGGTGGGGTATCCACAAGACCTCGTAAAGGAGCCAGGCCCCCAAGAGGAACATGAACTGGGGCTAATGAGGAACCCAAGGCCTGTGCAACAGAAAACATCTTGTTACAACTCAAGAAACCAGGTGGCTCTGGGAGTGTCGGAGACAGATATAAAAATAAAACATCTAAATCCTGCACGCTCAAATTTAAACCACCTCCGCTCAGAGGCTGCTAATGAAACACAACATCCAGAAATTACCATTGTGCCAACTGTGTGAGAAATCACAGGCTGGTTTCCTGATTCTCATAAGTCTCATGCTGTCTCACAGTAAACAGTTCTTTTACATCTGGCAGATGCTGCGTGGGGTTCTGCTCTCCTTTCAGAAGCCATATAGGAGGCCGGGCTCGGTGGCTCAGTCCTGTAATCCTACCACTTTGGGAGGCAGAGCCGGGTGAATCACGAGGTCAGGAGTCTGAGACCAGCCTGGCCAATATGGTGAAACCCTGTCTCTACTAAAAAATACAAAAATTAGCCGGGCGTGGTGGCGGGTGCCTATAGTCCCAGCTACTCGGGAGGCTGAAGCAGGAGAATCACTTGAAACCGGGAGGCAGAGGTTGCAGTCAGCCGAGATCACGCCACCGCCCTTCAGCCAGGTGACAGAGCAAGACTCTGTCTCAAAAAAAAAAAAAAAAAAAAAAAAAAGCCAGGCGCAGTGGCTCACGCCTGTAATTCCAGCACTTTGGGAGGCTGAGGTGAGTGGATCACCTGAGATCAGGAGTTCAAGACCAGCCTGGCCAACATGGTGAAACCCTGTCTCTACTAAAAATACAAAAATTAGCTGGGCGTGGTGGTACATGCCTGTAATCCCAGATACTCAGGAGGCTGAGGCAGGAGAATCACTTGAACCCGGGAGGCGGAGGTTGCAGTGACCCGAGATCACACCACTGCACTCCAGCCTGAGCGACAGAGCGAGACTCTGTCTCAAAAAAAAAAAAAAAAGCCATATAAGAAGGATGCGGGAGGGGAAAGCAGAGACAAATCCTCATCTACCAGAAGAATTCTCAGTTGATAAAGTTTAAAACTGATGAGTCAAGAAAAAGCAGTCTAAGTGTATTATTTACAAAGATGGATGTAAACACCACAACAGAATGGTTGCCTTTGAGGAGAGCTCTGTACAGTGAAGTGCTATACTTTCTTATATGCCTTTTAGTACTATTTGACTTTTTTAACTACGGACATGCACTACTCTGATTAAAATCTAAGGCCAAGGCATAGTGGCTCACATCTGTAATCCCAGCACTTTGGGAGCCCAAGGTAGGAAGATCACTTAAGGCCAGGAGTTCAAGACCAGCCTGGGCAACATAGCAAGACCCCATTTCTACAGAAATATTTTAAAGATTAGCCAGATGGGGTAGCATGCACCTGTAGTCGCACCTACTCAGGAGGCTGAGGAGGATGGACTGCTTGAGCCCAGGAGCTGGAGGCTACAGTGAGCTATGATGGCACCACTGTACTCCAGTCTGGACAACAGAACAAGACCCTATCTCAGACCAGCCTAGGCAACACAGTGAGACACTGTCTCTACAAAAAAATTAAAAAAATTTGCTGGACATGGTGACACACGCCTGTGGTCCTAGCTACCTGGGAGGCTGAGGCGGCAAGATCAATTAAGCCCAGGAGTTCAAGGTTATAGTGAGATAGAACCACTGTGAGATATAACCACTGCACTCCAGGCTGGGAGACAGAGCAAGACCCTGCCTCTAAAAAATAAAAATGACCCTGTCTGGAAAAAAAATCAACACTAACTACAAAAAAAATACACATGAGCAACAAAAGAAGGACTCTCTCCCCTCTCCACTGATGAGGAAGGTGGCTGAAAGGAGCCTTGCCGAAGGGCAGTAGTGGGGCTGACCAGGTCCCTTCTTTTCCCTGTTCTCCTTCCTGCAAGCAAGGGCTGGGGAAAGAAATCAGGCTACGAGTCAGAATTCGTGAGACCTCCCGCTACTCACAGACTCTCCAATTCTCAGTTTACTCATCCGCAAGATGGAGATGATGTGTGCCTTGCCACCTGACTAGGTGTGCAGAGAAGCTCAAGGAGATGAGTGCTAGGGGCCTTTGTGAGTGGCCCAGGGCTACACCAGCATTATAAAATTGCCACCATCACAGGGATTCACATTACAATAATTTAGGCTTATCAGAAGCAAGGATGGCAATCTGGTGACAATTTACAAAGACCCCTTCAAAATTCATTTCTCAAACTTAAAATGTCTAAGATGACACAAAAATTCCAATCCTCCCTAATCCCACAAAGACTGAAGAGAGAAAAGGAAACCCAGAGGCGGTCAGGCTGAGGTTCAGAAGATCCATCTTCTCACCTGTAGCCTCAGCCTAGGGGCCAGACCGGTGGGTGGGTTCCCAGCAGGGCCCATTTCTGCATCAGATGCTCATCAGGAAAGTAAGGTGAGAGACACTCCTGAGCTTCTGCAGGTCCACAATCATCTGGCCTGTTGTAGAACATGTTTGTGAAGGAGAAAACGAGCTGATAATCGTAACACCAGCCAGCAGTGCACTGGCTAAACACCTTCCGTACAATGTCTTATTTTACTCTCACAACCACCTGAGACTGGCTCTGCCATTATCCACAGTCCCCATACGAGCAAACGGAGGTTGGTGAGGTCAAGAACCCTGCCCAGGCTGGGCGTGGTGGCTCACGCCTGTAATCCCAGCACTTTGAGAGGCTGAGGCAGGCGGATTACCTAAGGTCAGGAATTCAAGACCAGCCTGACCAATATGGTAAAACCCTGTCTCTACTAAAATACAAAAATTAGCCGGGCATGGTGGCAGGTGCCTGTAATCCCAGCTACTGAGGAGGCTAAGGCAGGAGAATCACTTGAACCTGGGAGATAGAGGTTGCAGTGAGGTGACATCATGCCATTTCACTCCAGCCTGGGTTACAGAGTGAGACCCTGTCTCAAAAAAAAAAAAAAGAACCCTGCCCAAAGTCACAGAGCCAGTGAGGGGCAGAGATGGGATTGGAACCCAAGGCTATCTCTAAGACAGTACTTTATACCAGCTCTGGCTGTGGCAGAAAGAAGAGCCTAGGACATACATGGTCCCTGACACCTATAACCCCAGTACTTTCGGAAGCCAAGGCAGGAGGATCACTTTTAGGCCAGGGGTACAAGACCAGTCTGGGCAACACAGTAAGACCCCATGTCTACAAAAAAATAATTTTTAATTAGCTGGGTATAGTGGTACACATCTGTAGTCCCAGCTACTCGGGAGGATTGCTTAAGCCCAGGAGCTCAAGGCTGCAATGAGCTACGATCACACCATTGAACTCCAGCATGGACAACAGAGCAAAACTCTGGTCTCTTAAAAAAAAAAAAAAAAAAGGCCGGGGGAGGGGAAGAGCCCAAGAAAGCTTCTTCAAGGTTAACTAGGCAAACCAGGCATGCCCCTCCTGGTTTCAGCCCTTCAAACCAGCCTATGTATCAGCAAGCAAAATTATCCCCACACTGTATTTATGGAAATACAGACTCCTAACATGGCTGGCTAATTTGCTAACATGCTGGGGGCTTGAGGGAGGGAGACAAGCATGCTGAGGGCTTTGTTCTCCCAGGCCTTGACCAAATCAGCGATTAGTGGAGAAATTATACATTCCTGGCTCCTAGCTGATCATCTTCTATAGATGGCCATTAACTCTGAGTATGGGGCTATGCGTGGAGTTGTCCTTCAGAGCAGATAGACTTACTGCCACTGGGCTAATTAAAACTTTCAGGATAATCTGCAGCTTATCCGATATTTATAGTGCTACAGTAGTTATTAAAGCTAACAGAGAACCAGTGCAAGCCAGCAATTAGGAAGCAGAGGGAACAACTGGATAAAGCCACAGCTGGGCAACAACAAAAGAATAGCTGGAGAAATTCAGATTGATCCCCATGGTCTCTGATCCAACTTGACTTCTGAATGAAGAATATAGTGACTCTTTAAAGGGACAAAGGTAGAATGATAGGGCAAGGTCAGCCATTTGATAAATCCCAGTAGAGGAGGAAGTGAACTCAAGAGTGACGTCACAAATATGGTCTACACAAGCCTGACACAGGTTATCCATGTGGTTTTCTGGGGACCCTAGGAGGCAAAGAGCAGAAGCAGCTCACTGGATGGCAGAGAAAGGTTCTGGCCTCCGTCTCTCATAAGAATATTAGCTCTCAGCCCAGGCACGGCAGTTCACACCTGTAATCCCAGGACTTTGGGAGACTGAAGCAGGCAGATCACTTGAGGTCAGGAGTTTGATACCAGCCTGGCCAACATGACAAAACTCCGTCTCTGCTAAAAATACAAAAATTAGCCAGGTGTGTTAGCACACGCCTGTAGTCCCAGCTACTCAGGAGGCTGAGGCACAAGAATAGCTTGAACCCAGGAGGTGGAGGTTGCAATGACCTGAGATGGCACCATTGCACTCCAGCCTGGGCAACAGAGCAAGACTGTCAAAAAAAAAAAAAAAAAAAAGAATATTAACTCTCTAATCAGGTGCAGTGGCTCATGTCTATAATCCCAGCACTTGGGGAGGCCAAGGCAGGTGGATCACTTGAGACCAGGAGTTCGAGACCAGCCTGGCCAACATGGCAAAACTCCATTTCTACTAAAAACACAAAAAAATTGGCTGGGAGTGGTGGTGAGCACCTGTAATCCCAGCTATTTGAGGGGCTGAGGCACGAAAATCACTTGAACCTGGGATTCAAGCGATGGAGGTGCAGATTGCAGTGAGCCAAGATCCACTGCACTCCAGCCTGGGCAACAGAACAAAACCCTGTCTAAAAAATAAAATAAAAATAAAAAATAATATTAACTTTCTAGTTCTGTCTGATTTCGAGAAGAAATAAAGTTCAGAGCTTTGGGGTAGGCTGCCTATTTCCAAATAGGAAGGACCTCTCTCTAGAATCAGCTGATAGGAAAAACTTCCCAAATCCCAGGAAGGTGTTTATATCCTGCACGAATGCCAGGATTAGCGACGTTCTGCTCACCCGCAAAACTGATCATGTTCAAAGCACATGAACCACCCATGAATTACAATTACAGCCAGGGAAGGGAAATCAGAGATACCCTCAGCCCTATCTTGCAGGTGATGGAGTAGAAGAAACTTCAAGTATGTGTCATTCCATAAAATGGCCATTTGGGTAGTTAAAGGGCCAATAGTTACCACGGTAGGGTGGGTAACAGGAATGCAGGCCTGATGGCTGTGGTAAGACATCAACTCCACCTGCTCCCTCCCTGCCAAGTTTAGGCCTTTAGGCCATGCTCACTAAGAAGCCTACCTGGTTGAGATGCTGCATCTTGCCTGGCTCTGTAGTAAGCCCTCTGCTGGAGCTCTGCTGGACTAGCCCCTGCCTGAGGGTGCTGCTGCTTGGCTGGAAATGGGCTTGCTGAGAGGCCTCTTGCCAAGCAGGGGCGAGGGCCACCTCCTGAGGATGTTCCAGCAGCTCTGGCTCCCATGACAGAAACCTCGAGTCCCTCTCCATGACTCTGATGGCCTCGTGCTCACCCTCACTAGACATCCTAGAAGACTCAGCTGCCATGCAACAGACTGTGCTGGCGCTGTGTCTGCACGGCATGTCCTGCATGCTCTCAGGCAGCCCCAGGCCCTCCGGCCACCTGGAGATCTTGACCATCTGCAGGATGTGCTGGTAGAACCTCTGGTCCTCAGAGTAGTCTTCACTTTCTGACTGCTCCTCGTCAGGGCTCTGCATGTGGGACATGTGAGGATCTAAGAAGGGGCTGAAGTGTTGATCTCTGAGACCCGAGTCTGACTGAGCCATACCCTCCTCAGATCCCCGTGAGCTCTGCAGGTTCCAAGGGAAGTTGTTCACCTCATCCAGGACAGGAGAGCCCAGGTGTGAGGCCAGGTTGCTGTTGCTGCTGCTGCTGCTGCTGCTCTCCAAGTCAGGCCCAGACAAGCTAGGCTTCTGATCTTTATAAGGGAGCTCTGCAGACCCTAGGGCCTGTCTCTTCTCACTGGCAGGAGGCTCCTCGGGAGCCCTCCCTAAAAGGGGATTCTGAGCTGGTTCTGATGCCAGGGTTTCAGGTGGTATTAGCAAGAGACCCTGAGGTAGATCTTCAGCTGAGGCCCCTAGAGCCTCAGGGTCACTGGGCTCTGTTTCCTTGCAGCTTCCTGGGATATCCTTATTGACAAGCTTGGAGACCTGTTCCATCCACAGTCCAGGAGGTTCTCTCCTCCTCCTCCCGCTGCCTATGCTCCCACCTTCCCCAGGAACTCCCTGCCAGCTCAGGTCTTCAGTAGGGCTGCTATCTAACAACAACTTGCTCTTCCTGGCAGGCAACATGTGGCCGGAAGAACAAGAGGACAGGGAGGGCTCCTCCTCAGGGGATGACATGGGAATGGGGCTTTGGCCCTTGTCCCCTCCAGGGCCAGTGGGGCTCAGTTTGGCTAAGCTGTGGCTGTGCTGCTCCCCTTTCAGTGGCAGGCCTTTGATGGCTTCAGAAAGCTTTGAGTGGACAGAGGCCTGGTTCCTGCTTTCTACCACATCCTGCATATTTTGGAGAAGCCCAGTGTTCTGAGGGGCTGGAGTGCCCAGTTTCTGCTGCCTGCTTCTCATTTCCAGCTCTTCTGTTTCAGGATCTGAAAACCCCAGGTAGATTTTCTCTGTCGCCTTCTGGAGTTTCTCCAGACCCTGCTGATCACCTAATTCTCTCCTGCATTGGGCTGGGGCCCTGCCTAAGATTTTCTCCATGTCAGCAAAGACCTGGTGGATTTGGGAAGGTTGGCCTTTGGAGAGTGGCTGCAGCTTTCTGGGAAGGGCACCCATGAAACGCCAGGGAGTGTCACCCAGCATGCCTGGGCTCTTTCCTTTGTTATAGGATCCCTCACTTATAGCCTGCATCTCTTGATCTAGGTCCAGATCAGCAAGCCCAGGTGCTGACGGAGGAGACAAGCTGCAGAGAAAGGATGAAGGAGGCAGAAGTCCCTCCTCAGGCTGCGTTTCCTAGATGGGTATATAAACATGCAGAGAAAACGAAGACAAAGCACTTCTGATTTACACTTGCTACCTCAGCCCTGGGCAAGCCCTCAGCAAAAACCCACCCTCTATTTAAACCCTAAAACTTAAAGTATAATAAATAATAAATAAATAAATAAATAAATAAATAAAATCAATAGCAAAAAAAAATAATAATTTAAAAAATTAAAAAACTAAAAAATGAAGTAAAACACAAACTGAAGAGGGAAGAAAAGATAAAAACTCCCTTGGGCTGAAAATATGTTGTTTTCTAGGCTCCAGTTTCCTTATCTACAAAGAGGAGGTTCGACTAGATCAATGGTTTGCAAACCTTGCTCCATGGAACCTGGGAAGTTCAGTACCTCGGGGTACTATATTGTGCATGTGACAGAGAAGAGGCGTCACAAAGACCCACACTGCCAAGTTCAACCAAAGAAGCTCCATTTCTTTTTTTATAAGCTGGACCTCTATAGAGGAACTGACTTGAAAACAGGGCTCTACCACAAACTACAGTCTGAAACTCGCCAACCAGATTATCCCTAAGATACTATCCAGCTCTCAGATTCTGTGATTGATTAGTTTTATAAAATGCACCAACCTTGAGCCGTGTGTGGTGGCTCACACCTGTAATCCCAGCACTTTAGGAGGCTGCGGCGGGCGGATCACTTGAGGTCAGGAGTTCGAGACCAGCCTGGCCATCATGGTGAAACCCCATGTCTACTAAAAATACAAAAAATTAGCCGGGCACGGTGGTGGGCGCCTGTAGTCCCTGCTCCTCGGAAGGCTGAGGGACGAGAATTGCTTGAACCCAGGGGGCGGAGGTTGCAGTGATCCAAGATCGTGCCACTGCACTCCAGCCTGGGCAACAAAGCAAGATGCTGTCTCAAAAAAAAAAAAGAAGAAGAAGAAGAAGAAGGAGAAGAAGAAAAGTCCACCAACCTTACCAAGGACACCCGGAAATTTTTTAACAGGGCGCGAAGAGAAGCATAACAAATGACCCGAGACTTGAAAACTCAGTCTAGCATTGTCTACCAAAGGAACCAGTTGGTATTGCTTGAGAGACCGCCACATGGTCACAGACCCTCTGAGCTAGAAAAACTTCTAAAAAATCAACCACTCCTCTACAAACATTCACACTGAACCCCACCTGACTGTGAGTGCACACCTCCAGACAGTCCAAACCACTTGCATCCAGGCTGCCTGCCTGGCTCAGAGCTGTCCCCTGGACAAACTCACATTTGAGGCACCTGTCCTGAGCCCTAAGAACCAGACTGACAGCCCAGGGCTGTCCCATTTTCTTCATTTCCTGAAACCACGGAGGGAACTCTTTTTAACAGAGGGCTCTAAGAATCCAATCACACATCTACATCTCGGTCCTTTACCCAGCTCTCCACCCCAGAACCCTCACTTCATTCCGTCTCCTGCCTTTCGTCAAGCCACAGCCTGCCCAGATGCCTGACTACCACTTCAAATAATCCTGGGTCCATGAAAAGCCCTGTGGCCACCTTTTGCCATTCAAACACATGACATTGGAAAATCCAGCCTAGCTGGAAATTATCTGCCCTCTTTTCTCCATCTGGAGGAATGGGCTTGTTACCATGTTTCTCAGAACCGTGAGTAACATGTCAGGGAGGGGAGGGAAAAAAGAAGTGTCTGTGGAGCTTGGACAAGAGGAAGCACAAGGCTCTGGAGGGAAACAAAAACTATAAACAAAAGAGCAAAACAACTGGACAACTGAAGAGGGTTGAAACGATGTTCCCAGTGCTCCCCACTGGCTGAGCTGAGTTCCTATGTCCCTCCCTCTCTTCAGCATGCCCCACCTGCCCCAGGCCTGGGGAAAGGGACCACCACAGCGTTCTGGGAGAGCCTGGGCCTCACTTTGGTATGGCTCCAGGTCTTAGTTGCTCCACCTAAATCATGTGGGCAATAACTCCACCTCCTAGACTCAGTTGTACTAAAGGGACAAATAAAACAATAATTAATATGAACACTTTGAACTGAAATACAAAAGCTACTTATAACCAAGGAAATCAGGCTGGGCGTGGTAGCTCATACCAGTAATCCCAGCACTTTGGGAGGCTGAGGCGGGTGGATCACTTGAGGTCAGGAGTTTGAGACCAGCCTGGCCAACATGGTGAAACCCCAACTCTACTAAAAATACAAAAATTAGCCAGGCGTGGTGGCGGATGCCTGTAATCCCAACTACTCAGGAGGCTGAGGCAGGAGAATTGCTTGAGCCTGAAAGGCAGTGGTTGCAGTGAGCTGAGATCACGCCACTGTACTCCAGCCTGGGTGACAGAGTGAGACTCTGTCTCAAAAAAAACAACAACAAGGAAATCACATTGCAGTTAAACTTCAGTTACCCACCACTCACTGAAGACACTGGCAACAATCTAGATGAGTAGATAAAGCCCAAGGCTTTTCTTTCAAATCTTGAACGCACTGGTGTTTTGACAACTAAATTATGGCTACATCTGACATCTAGGAATTCACACCACTTTAAGACAAAAAAGGAACCCACACTAGGGAGGCCTGACTCTGAATAAAGAGAAAGGACACTTCACTCAGCTCACTGGCCTCTGCCAACTGCTTTCAGTCCCCACTCTCCAGAGCAGCAGATGCCATTACTGCTACTACTACTGCAAAAAACCATTCTCAGAAGAGCACTCTCTCTCATCAATCCTATTAGGTAACATGCACTTCCCAAGTGGGGAGAAAGGAAATGTGTAGACATGGCAACAACTTCCAGAATACCAGAAGCTGAAAGAAAAATCAACCAGAAGACAGGCAAAGTTTAGATGATATACTATCAAGAATTTACCATATTCTGACTGTTGTCTTCAACCTCCCAGCTGCAGACACCTAGAGGTTCCCAACATCCCTCCAGATTTCAGCCCTGGCCTCTCTGGGAGGAGGCATCCACTGACTCACCAGCGAACTTTTGGGGGGGTCTCTGTCCTTCTTGTCTTTCTTTTCCTTTTTTTTTTTCTTCTTCTTAATGGCCCCAGAAGTTGACAGCTTTGCCCGCTCTTGGATCACCAAGCTCCGATAGTGTTCGTCACATGGATGGTCCCACATAGACTGCCCGTTGGCGAAGTTGAAATAGTAAATGTCACCTGTGATGTCCTGGCTGGGGATGGGCAGAGTTCAGAAGTTAGTCCCTGCTCAGATACAAAAGAAGAAAAAAAAAAGAGGGGAAAAAAAGAAAAAGGGAGAGGAGGTGAAAGAGGAGGAAGAGAGTGGGGTGGAAAAGGGAGGGAGAAGATGGAATGAGAGGGGTTAAGAGTGGAGGGAAGGAAAGGATTAACACAAAATCAAAGGGTACCATTTGGCTAAGAAGGAGTTAGCTTAGATATAGGAAGAAAGGATTGGGATACCTAATCTCTAGATGTTGATGTATAATCACTGGAGTTCTTGAGAATGCAGGCTGGACTAGTGTAGGAACAAACTTGGTTTTATTTAGATGGAGAAGTATAAAAACTATGGTATGTTGAACGTAAGTGCTAGGATAAATCTTAATATTTTAATAAACAGTCTAAGGAAGAATAATGCATTGTGAGAGCTCTGGTTTTACAGAAGACTCTAAACTCATAAGAAGTAATAATCCTGCCGGGAGCAGTGGCTCACACCTGTAATCCCAGCACTTTGGGAGGCCGAGGTCGGGAGTTCAAGGCCAGCCTGACCAACATGGAGAAACCCTGTCTCTACTAAAAATACAAAATTAGCCGGGGTGGTGGTGCATGCCTGTAATCCCAGCTACTCAGGAGGCTGAGGCAGGAGAATCGCTTGAACCTGGGAGTCGGAGGTTGCAGTGAGCCAAGATTGTGCCATTGCACTCCAGCCTGGGCAATAAGAGCGAAACTCCATCTCAAAAAAACAAACAAAAAAAAGAAGTAATAATCCAAGCTAGTGTGGATGATGGTAGAAGAAAATAATGCAGGAGGTATATTTCAAGAATCTGTTTTTCAACATGGACAAGTCCAAAATAAACCACTCATCTCATCCACCATTAACAACAATCTATTAGGACAGCTAACAGGAAAAGAGTAATGCAAAATATTTTATATTCACACATAAACCTAAAATGTGCAAAATCTTTATAGAGTTTTACTGAAAAGTCAGAAAAAAAAAGAAAAAGAAAAAAACCCACTGGAGAGGCATTCAGTATTCCAGAATAGAAAGACTCAAGTCTGTAAAGATGCCAATAATCCCAAAATTAATATATAAATCCAATACAATTTCAATCAAGCTCCTTATGAAATCTGACAAGCTGAATCTCAATTCAAACAAAAGAGAAAATGAAAAATAGATAAATGAGAAAATGAGCAGAAATAAAAAAATATCGGGGTAAAAAAGGACAGTGATAGAAGATATGCAAATGACCCATAAGCACATGAAAAGATGTCCCACATCACTAAACACTGGGAAAATGCAAATCAAAACTATTATGAAATGCTACTTCACAACATAAGCATGGCTATTATCAAAAATCCAAAAAATAAGCCTGGGCAACACAGTGAGACTCTGTTTCTACAAGAAATAAAAAAAATTAGCCAGGCACAGTGACACACGTCTGTAGTCCCAGTTACTCAGGAGACTTGAGGTGGGAGGATTGTTTGAGCCCAGGAGTTCAAGGCTACAGTGGGCTATGATCACACCACTGCACTCCAGCCTGGGTGACAGGGCAAGACCCTGTTTCAAAAAAAAAAAAGGCTGGGTGCGGTGGCTCACACCTATAATCCCAGCACTTTGGGAGGCCAAGGCAGGTGGATCACCTGACGTCAGGAGTTCAAGACCAGCCTGATCAACATGGTGAAATCCCATCTCTACTAAAAAATACAAAAATTGGCCGGGCATGGTGGCTCATGCCTGTAATCCCAGCACTTTGCGAGGCCAAGGCAGGCAGATCACGAGGTCAGGAGTTTGAGACCAGCCTGACCAACATGGTGAAACTCCGTCTCTACTAAAAATACAAAAATTAGCCAGGCATGGTGGCGTGTGCCTGTAATCCCAGCTACTCAGGAGGCTAAGGCAGGAGAATCACTTGAACCCAGGAGGTGAAGGTTGCAGTGAGCCGAGATTGTGTCATTGACCTTGAGCCTGGTAGACAGAAGAACCCTTGTACACTGCTGGTAGGAATGTAAAATGGTGCTGCCACTTTGGTAAATAGCATGGGGGTTCCTCAAAAAAATTAAATCAAATTTAATATAAGATAAAATTTAACTTAAATATAAAATAGATTTCACAATGGATTAAGTAATTTTAAAATAGCTGGGCACCATGGTGCACACCTGTAGTCCCAGCCACTTAGGAAGCTGAGGCAGGAGGATCCCTTGAGCCCAGCTGTTCGAGGCTGCAGTGAGCTATGGTTACACCACTGCACAGCCTGGGTAACAGAGCAATACCCTATCTCTAAGAAAAAAATTAATTTAATTTAATTTAAAATAGAATTACCATGTGACCCAGCAATTCCATTTCTGGGCATATACCCAAATGAATTGAAAGCAGGGATTCAAACAGCTATTTGTATACCAATAATCACAGCAGCATTATTCACAATAGCCAAAAGACAGAAAGAAGACCAAATGTCCATTGATAGATAAATTGATAAACAGGGCTGGGCACAGTGGTTCACACCTGTAATCCCAATACTTTGGGAGGCAGAGGTCGGGAGTTCGAGACCAGCCTGGCCAACATGGTGAAACCTCGTCTCTACTAAAAATACAAAAATTACCCGGGCATGGTGGCACGTGCCTGTAATCCCAGCTACTCGGGAGGTACAGGCAGGAAAATCACTTGAACCCAGGAAGCAGAGGTTGCAGTGAGCCAAGATCGCACCACTGCACTCCAGCCTGGGTGACAGAGCGAGACTCTGTCTCAAAAAAAAAAAATTGATAAATAGAATGTTGTATATACATGCAATGGAATATTATTCAGCCTTAAGAAAGAATTCTCACGCATGCTACAACATAGATGCACCTTGAGGATGTTATGCTAAGTGAAAGAAGTCAGACACAAAAGGACAAATATTGCATAATTCCACTTATATGAAGTACCTAGAATAGGCAAATTCATTGAGCCAGAAAGCTGAATGGTGACTGCCAGAGATTAAGGAGAGGGGAAAATGGGGAATTAATATTTAATGGCTATAGAGTTTCAGTTTGGGGATGAAAACATTCTGGAGATGGATGGTAGTGATAGCCATGCAACATTGTGAATGTACTTAATGCTGCTGAAATGTCCACTCAAAAATGCTTAAAATGGTAAATTTCATGTTATATATATTTTACCACAATTAAGAAAAATACAAATTTATTGACTTCAGTATGACAAAAGAAAGTATAAACCAAATTAAAAGACATGTGACTGGGATAAAATAGTGGAAATAGTGGTAAGATACCACTACTATTACCCAGAATACCCAGAATAATCAAAGAGTTCTGCCACCTTAACAAAAATAAAAGATAAGCAGTCTACTAGACAAAAAGGCAAGAGATATAAACAGGTAAATCACAAAAGATCAACAGATGGCCAATTCAACTCTACAAACAACTTGGGAAATGCAATTTAAAATGATCCGTTGTTATTTTTTGCCCTTGGATTGACGATTTTTTTTAATTGACAATTTTTTAATTGATAATATTTCTAGGCTGGGCGCTGTGGCTCATGCCTGTAACCCCAACACTCTAGGAGATCAAGGCAGGCAAATTGCTTGAGCTTAGGAGTTCAAGACCACCCTGAGCAACATGGCATAACCCCATCTCTACAAAAAAAATACAAAAATTAGCCAGGCATGGTGACATACACCTGTAGTCCCAGCTACTCGGGAAGCTGAGGTGGGAGGATCGCTTGAACCCGGGAGGTAGAGGGTGCCGTGAGTCATGATCATACCACTGTACTCCAGCCTGGGCGACAGAGCAAGACTCTATCTCAAAAACAACAACAACAACAACAACAACAACAAACCAACTTCAGTACAGAAAATTGAATAAAAAATTGTCCTTATTTGCAGATTACATTTTTCTACAGGGTAAATATGTCCTAGAGACATTTAAAAAAACCTAAATACTGCAAATGAAAACAGACCATGTTCATGGGTTGAAAGTATTGTTTAAGATGTCAATTTTCCCCAAATTGATTTACAGAGTCAATTCAAGCACAATAAAAATCCTAATAGGAAACTGACAAGCTATTCTTTTTTTTTTTTTTGAGATGGAGTTTCGCTCTTGCTGCCCAGGCTGGAGTGCAATGGCACGATCTCGGCTCACTGCAACCTCCACCTCCCGTGTTCAAGCAATTCTCCTGCCTCAGCCTCCCGAGTAGCTGGGATTACAGGCATGTGCCACCACGCCTGGCTAATTTTGCATTTTTAGTAGAGACAGGGTTTCTCCACATTGGTCAGGCTGGTCTCGAACTCCCAACCTCAAGTGATCCGCCCACCTCGACCTCCCAAAGTGCTGGGATTCCAGGCATGAGCCACCGTGCCCAGCCTTGGAAACTGACAAGCTATTCTAAAATTCATATGGAAATACAAAAGACCTAGAATATGACTTTGAAAATGGAGAACAAATTTGGAGGATTTACCTTTAAATGATTTCAAGATTTATTATAAAACTACAGTAATCAAGACAGAATGGTACTGGTGTGAAGACAGACAAAGAGCTCACTGGAAGAGAGCAGAGGATCCAGAAACAGCCCTCACTTCATGGCCAATTAGGAAAATATCTAAATGTCCTTCAATATAAGACTAGTCAAATAAATCAAGATTTTTGAAAATTGTGCTACATCTCTACACGGGAAAGTATGCAGCTGATACAAGAATGAGTAGGCCTACACAAACAGACAAAGAAGAACAGTGTATATAATAAAGTGCTTATGTTTAAAACCAAACCATTGTTGGGGAGGGGGTGCATACATGTATATTAAAAGAGTCTAGAGAGAATTTACCAATTAATAGTAATTACCCTTAGGAAAAGAAGAAGGTTAAAGGTGGGTAAAGAAGAAGAAGGGTAAAATATATATATACCTACATTTTAATGACTCATTTTATTTGTTTTTGAGACAGGTTCTCTCTGTCCCCCAGGCTGAAGAGCAGTGATGCAGTCTCGGCTCACTGCAGCCTCAACCTCCCAGGCTAAAGCGATCCTCCTAACTCAACTTCGGAAGTAGCTGGGACTAAAGGTGCATGTCATCACCCCCAGCTAATTTTTGAATTTTCTACAGAGACAGAGTTTCGCCACATTGCCCAGACTGATCTCAAACTCCTGAGCTCAAGCAATCCTCCAAACTCGGCCTCCCAAAGTGCTGGGATTACAGGTGTGAGCCACCATGCCTGGCCAACTTATTTTAAAAAGTGAAAAATAGGCCGGGCGTGGTGGCTCACGCCTGTAATCCCAGCACTTTGGGAGGACAAGGCGGGCAGATCATGAGATCAGGAGTTCAAGACCAGCCTGATCAACATGGCGAAACCCCGTCCCTACTAAAAATAAAAAAATTAGCCCGGCGTGGTGGCACACACACGTAATCCCAGCTACTCAGGAGGCTGAGGCAGAGGCTGCAGTGAGCCGAGGTTGCAGTGAGCCAAGATTGCGCCATTGCACTCCAGCCTGGGCGACAGAGCAAGACTCCATCTCAAAAAAAAAAAAGTGAAAAATAATTCACACTCTCCTTACAGGATAAAAAAGGGTGTTAGCCACCACTAGCAGGTATATAAAGGCAGCTGGCATAAAAGCTGGTATGCAGCTGGCCCATAACCAATGACAGTTTCCTTCCATCCATCAAGCTAGGTACTGGAAACAGAAGCCACTCCTATAAATTCATCCTACAAACATGACCAGAAGCCCTCAGCACCTCAAACATTGTGTGAAGTCCTGACAAATTTACTTCAATAGAGGTGGGAGAAGGTTAAAGGAAAGGCGGCTAAAAAGATCAAGAGAACAGGCCGGGCTCTCACGCCTGTAATGCCAGAACTTTGGGAGGCCGAGGCAGGTGGACAACCTGAGGTCAGGAGTTTGAGGCCAGCCTGGCCAACATGGCGAAACCCCGTCTCTACTAAAAATACAAAATTAGCCAGGTGTGGTGGTGCATGCCTGTAATCCCAGCTACTTGGGAGGCTGAGGCAGGAGAATCGCTCCACCTCCGGGAGGTGGAGGTTGCAGTGAGCCGAGATCGTGCCATTGCACTCCAGTCTGGGCAACAAGAGCAAAACTCCATCTCAAAAAAAAAAAGATCAAGAAACAAAAAGCCTGCCACATGAGGAAAAGCTAGAAGGACTGTGATTCTTCAGCTGACAGTAAGGCGACAACTGTAATCACTTTGAGCTATGGCCAACACAGTGAATGGTATGAACAAGAACAGGATGATTACGCCTTGTCTACAAAATTGCACAAAACCAGCAGAAGAGGGGACCCCTAAGATACCTGAGGACCAGTTTGGGATAAGCATAGGGAAATACCAATCTAAGGTAGGAAGTAAATTCATGGCACTCACTTTAGGGAGACAAGCTGGAGAGAGCTCTATGCATGTGATTAGGAAGAGCAATGCAAGACAGGAGGACAGAGTAGACATGGAGAACACGGAGAGCAGTGTCACCACGAGCAGGGAGCACTGCAGTCCTCAGGAGGAGGAGGAAGACAGAGGCAGTGACATGGCTCCTTCTAGCTCCCCAACCTTGGCCACTCTGTCTTTCCTCTCCATAAACCTCTGTTTCCCTGAGACAACCACTGAGTGAATCACTGAGTGAATCACTGCTCCTTCCAACCCAAAGAGCTCTAGCCAAAATTGAAAATATCAATGAATCCATGAATGTGAACCTATTCATGAATAGGTTACATCAATTCAGATATGGCAGAGCCAAGTGTTCCCAAGGGACACAGAAACCCTTTGCTGGTCTGCATGGCCTCACTGCAAACCTCTTTAACATCAACATCCATTTTATTTTATTTTATCTTTTTAAGTAGTAGTTTTATTTATTTACTTTGGTTTTTTTTTTTGAGATGGAGTCTCGCTCTGTCGCCCATGCTGGAGTGCTGTGCCGCAATCTCGGCTCACTGCAACCTCCGCCTCCCAGGTTCAAGTTATTCTCCTGCCTCAGCCTCCTAAGTAGCTAGGACTGCAGGTGTGCACTACCACACCCAGCTAATTTTTTGTATTTTTAGTAGAGACGCGGTTTCACCATCTTGGCCAGGCTGGTCTCGAATTCCTGACCTCAAGCAATCCACCCACCTCGGCCTCCCAAAGCACTGGGATTACAGGCGTGGGCCACCGTACCCGGCAAGACCAGCATCCAACTTAGACATGCTAAGGAGGTAAAGTTGTCACTTACAATATCAGTCTGCAAGGAGTAACAACAACCCCTCAGCACATCCTAAACAGATGCTTGTGCTAGAGAACCAGACCCAGGGCAGTAGCTCCTGTGGCCTTGGATATAAGCATTGAACCCCATCCTAGGGACCAGGGACCATTCAGTCAGCCTACACTGAAGCCTGAAATAGCAGGCAGCATAGCAGAGGGGTGGCACAGTACTGTCCCTGACTGTACAGGATAGGCTTGGAAAAGCTGGCCAGTTCAAACCGATCTCCAGTATTAGCTTCCCTCTGCCTCTGCTAGGCCAAGTCAGTGGCCGCACCCCCTGCTGACTTACCATGGTTTCCACTCTCCAGGCAGTGGGGCCACGATGCCCTCTCGCGCCAGCCACATCAGTTCTGGTTCCTTGATGGGATCAATACCAATCTCCCGGGCAAATTCAAGAATTTCTGCAAGGAGAGGCAGAGGTGGGAAAGTAAGAGAGATGAAAAGAAGAAAAAAACTCACAATCTTTTTTCTACTTTGTCTTTTCTCTCCATCAATGAGAAAATCGTATTCTTTAAATTATAAACAATAAACATATATAATTGTTTCCTTACAATTTACAAATAGTACACTTGAATCCAAGCATGCTATCTCCACACAATGATATAATCCGAAGCCAAGCATTAAAAAAGCAAAAAATAGGCCAGGTGCCATGGCTCATGCCTGTAATCTCAGCACTTTGGGAGGCCAAGGCAGGTAGATCATCAGGTCAGGAGTTCAAAACCAGCCTGGCCAACATGGTGAAACCCCATCTCTACTAAAAACACAAAAATTAGCCCAGCGTGGTGGCGCACATCTGTAATCCCAGCTACTCGGGAGGCTGAGGCAGGAGAACTGCTTGAACCTGGGAGGAAGAGGTTGCAGTGAGCCGAGATCACGCCACTGCACTCCAGCCTGGGCAATGAGAGCAAGACTTCGTCTCAAAAAAAAAAAAAAAAAAGGCAAAAAATAAAATAAAACCAAGACTTCATTCCAGCAGGGGCCTCAGAGGGAAGAACCCCCAAACCATAGGCAGAACCATCCAGGATGAGCACAGCCTTACCAGAAGGTAGTAAGCTCTCCCAAGATTTGCAAAAGCTTGGTGCAAAAGCACTCATCATTCAATCAACAAGCATGTACTGAAAAACTACAAGTGACTAAGCTCCTTGAGGACATTACAAACACACAATTAGAGTACAACCCAGGTGACACGTGCTGTAATGAAGACATGTCCTGTATGCTATGGGAGCAGAGAGAAGGCAGTGATTGATTCTGCCTAGGGGCAGGGAACTATCTGAGCTGAGAAAGTGGATGATACTCAAGCAGGCTGAACTCCCACTCACTGAACCCTCCCTTCCATTAAGGGAGTTGCCTCTTTTTCAATTTTACAATATATTATGGACCCTAATACTTTTGTTGTGGCTGGGTGCAGTGGCACATGCCTGTAATCCCAGCACTTTGGGAAGCCGAGGTGGGAGGATTGCCTGAGTCCAGGAGATCAAGACCAGCCTGGGCAACATGGTGAGAACCCATCTCTACAAAAAATATGAAAATTAGCATGGTGGCATGTGCCTATAGATGCAGCTACCCAGGAAGCTGAGGTGGGAGCTTACATTCTAGTAGAAGAGACAGCCAGCAATGAGCCTGAGAAGGTCAAGGCTATACTCCAGCCTGGGGGACAAAGCAAGACTTCATCTCAAACAAACAAACAAACAAAAATTTTGTTGTACTCTGGAAATCAAGAATTTCAAAAAGCTCTTTTGCCACAGAACTGAAGGACAGTGGAGATATATGTACTGACTTAAGAGCTATCTCAGCCAGGCATGGTGGTTCATGCCTGTAATCCCAGCACTTTGGGAGGCCAAGGTGGGCAGATCACTTGAGCTCAGGACTTTGAGACCAGCTTGGGCAACATGGAGAAACCTCGTCTATATAAAAAATACAAAAAGTAGCCGGGCATGGTGGCATGTGCCTATAGTCCCAGCCACTTAGGAAGCTGAGGCAGGAGAATCGCTTGAGACAGGAGGCAGTGGTTGCAGTGAGCTGAGATCCCACCATTGCACTCCAGCCTGGGCAACAAGAGTGAAATCCTGTCCAAAAAAAAAAGAGCTATCTCACGTACAGGAAAAAAGATAAATGACATAACCGTTGGAACATGTCACCAGAACCCCCAGAAATGATTAAATAAATATTCAAATGACATCAATGCTTAAGCTGGTAATAGCCCAGGCCAGAAGGGCATCACCAATGAGCCATCTCAGTGGAAAATCTGGAGGTTGACATACCCGGGAACTAGGAAAGAAAAAATATTTTTTCAAAGGACTGCCTGGAACTTGATTGGCCAGAGACTAATTTATTCATTTTTCACAAATATTTTTGAGTGCCTCCTATGTACCAGTCACTATGAGCCATGAGTAAGAAAAAAACTAGTCACTGCCATTATGGAGCTTACATTCTAGTAAAAGAGACAGCCAGCAATGAAGTAAACAGATAAATATACAAAAAATTAAAGCTTCTGATAAATGCAAGAAGGAAGTAAATGAGGTAGGAGCTAGAGAACATCAGGGTGGAAGAGCATTCCTCTAGAAATGATGGTCAAGGAATCGAGCTATTGCACTCCAGCCTGGGCAACAAGAGTGAAACTCCATCTCAAAATAATAATAACAATAATAAAAATTATGGCCAAGGAATGCCTCTCAGCAATGTTGACAGTTAACTGAAACCTGCATAAGTGAAAGGAGGCAGCCATGCAGAGCACTGGAGAAAGAGCATTCAGGCAGAAGAAGCACAGGTGCAAAGGACCTGTGACAACCAGTAGCTCTGGGGACTGTCAGAAAGCCAGTATAGCCAGGTATGGTGATGCACACCTGTAATCCCAGCACGTTGGGAGACTGAGGTGGGTGGATTGCTTGAGCCCAGGAGTTCAAGACCAGCCTGGGCAACACGGCAAGACCCCATCTCTACCAACACAATACAAAAATTAGCCAGGCCTGATGGTATGCACTTGTGGTCCCAGCTACTTGGGAGGCTGAGGTGGGAGAATCACTTGAGCCCAAGGGGTCAAGGCTTCAATAAGCCAAGTTCACACCACTGCACTCCAGTCTGAGTGACAGAGTGAAACTCGGTCTCAAAAAAAAAACAAACAAACAACAAAAAAAGGCCAATGTGACTGGTAGAAAGAGCCAGGTCACAGAGCCCTGCAATCCCATCAAGGGTGTTATGTTGAGTATACTGGGGATGCGGGGGGACTAAAAGCACAGCCCTGACATGATCTGCTTTATAAACAGTAAGGCTAATTAGGAAGCTACTGAGATAGCCCAGGAAGAGAAAATGGTGGCTTGAGGTTAGAATGCCTACACCTGGACTGGGCCGAAGAAAGTTTTTATAAACATCCTTAGAAAAACCTTTGACTCCATTTACAACAGCAACCAAATGTATACAAATTTAAGAAACAGGCCATTCATGGCTAGGTGCAGTGACTCACACCTGTAATCCCAGCACTTTGGGAGGCCGAGGCAGGTAGATCACCTGAAGTCAAGAGTTCAAGACCAGCCTGACCAATATGGTGAAACCCTGTCTCTGCTAAAAATACAAAAATTAGCTGGGTGTGGTGGCGTGCACCTGTAGTCCCAGCTACTTGGGAGTCTGAGACAGAAGAATCACTTGAACCTGGAGGTTGCAGCGAGCCGAGCTCACGCCATTGCAGTCCAGCCTGGGCGACAAAGTGAGACTCCGTCTCTAAAGAGAAAGTAGGAAAGAAAGAAAGAGGCCAGTCGTAGTGGCTTATGTCTGTAATCCCTGCACTTTGGGAAGCCCAGACAGGAGGATCACTTGAACCCAGGAGTTCAAGACTAGCCTGGGCAACACAGTGAGAGCCTATCCCTACAAAAAAATTTATTTTAATTAGCCAGACACATGACATGCACCTGTAGTTCTAGCTACATGGGAGGATCACCTGAGCCCACGAGTTCAAGGCTGCAGTGAGCTATGATGGAGCCACTGCATACTAGCCTGGGTGACAGAGTAAGACTGTCTCTAAAAACAAAAATATGGAAAACAAAAAAAACACCCTATGCTATAAGCAAAGTCCAGCATTTAACATGAGATCCATGTATTCCTAGAGATGCAAGAATTGTGAACCCTGCTCTCAAGTCCATGAACCACCTGAATTATAAGCAAACTTTGTATGCCTAGATCATAACTCGTCAGAATTTCAAAGAAACTTTCACTCCAAATAATTGCATAGTGCTTCAAAGTGCAGGCCCTATGGCCAGGCACAAGTGGCTCATGCCTGTAATCCCAATCCTCTGGGAGGCCAAGACGGGGAGATCACTTGTCAGTTTGAGACCAGCCTCGCCAACATGGCAAAACCCCGTCTCTGTTAAAAATACAAAAAAATTACCCAAGCACAGTGGCACGCATCTGTAGTCCCAGCTACTAGGGAGGCTAAGGCAGGAGATTCACTTGAACCTGGGAGGCGGAGGTTGCAGTGAGCAGAGATCCCGCCACTGCCCTCCAGCCTGGGCGACAGAGTGAAACTCCATCTCAAAAAAAACAAACTAACAAAAAAAAACAAAGAACAAAGTACAGGCCCTAGAGCTTGAATACCTGGAGGTGGATTCTAGCAACACCACTTAGAATAGAACTGTATATCCACAGGAAGTTAATCTTTCTGTGCCTTGATTTCCTCATCTGTAAAATGGGGATAATAATAGTACCTAACTCATGGAGTTGCAGTGAGGGTTGAAAAGGTAATACATGGGCCAGGCATGGTGTCTCCCGCCTGTAATCCCAGCACTCTGGGAAGTGGAGGTGGGAAGATCACTTGAGGTCAGTTTGAGACCAGCCTGGCCAACACTGCAAAACCCCTTCTCTACTAAAAATACAAAAATTAGTTCCCCAGGTGTGGTGGTGGGCACCTGTAGTTCTAGCTACTCAGGAGGCTGAGGCATGAGATTCGCTTGAACCCGGGAGAGAGAGGTTGCAGTGAGCCAAGATCATACCACTGCATTCCAGCCTGGGTGACAGAGTGAGACTCTGTCTCAAAAAAAAAAAAAAAAAAAAAAAACAAAAAACAAAGGAAAAGGTAATAAGGTAATACATGCAAAGTGCTTAAAACAGACGCTGGCACATAATAAGTTATGTTGTTATTGTTACTAATAATGTTATTGTTGTTTAAAAAAACACTGCTCTAAGTTCGTGCTTAGGAAATTGGGTTTCCCCTGGTCTCAGAACACACTGTATTTAGATACCCCCTACTATGTTTCCATTTAAATCTAATCACTGCTCTAACCCAAAGACAGCAAACTTTTTCTGTAAACAACCGGAGAGTAACTATCTTACCCTTTGTGGGTCATATACCTCTCTTAACAGCCACATATCTCTGCAGCTGTAGCATAGAAGCAGCCACACACAATACATAAACCATTGTGGCTGTTTTCCAATGAAGGTGTATTTACAAAAATAGGCAAGTAGCCAGGCAAGGTGGCTCACGCCTGTAATCCCAGCACTTTGGGAGCCGGAGGCAGGCAAACCGCTTGAGGTCGGGAGTTCGAGACCAGCTTGTCCAACATGGTGAAACCCGTCTCTACTAAAAGTACAAAAAATTAGCCAGGTGTGGTGGTGCACGCCTGTAATCCCAGCTTCTCGGGAGGCTGAGGTGGGAGAATCACTTGAACCTGGGAGGCAGAGGTTGCAGTGAGCTGAGATCACGCCACTGCACTCCAGCCTGGGCAACAGAAAGAAACTTAAAAAAAAACAGGCAAGAGGCCAAGGTAGGCTCACATTTGATCTAACCCGAATATACTAAGCAACTCTGTACATGTACCATACTTTGCACTGAAAGAATAAAAATAAACCAGACAATCCCTGTCCTCAAAAAACAAACACAATACACCACAGGCCTCTTCACAGACTTGTTACCTTGCTCACTAGGAATGTAGGTCTCATCATAATCTTCTTCCAGAACCAGCTGATCTCCTATGCGGAGGGGTCGTCCAGCCATGACTCATCTGGGCTCAAACACCTAGATCCCAGAGGCCCCCACCAAAAGAGAAAAATCAGTGACCAAGCTTAACAGGGGAAAAGTTGGCACTGGGTCATGGAGCATCTGGGTCAAACCAGACCCTGCAGAGCAATTTGGCCAGGGCCTTCCCAGGCGCCAGGTATAGTGGAGGGTGAAACCAACAACTCAAGGCTCACAGGCTCTGCACCTGGCAAAGGTCTCCCAAAGGCTTGATGAACACCTGGTGAACCACAAAACATCTTCAAGCCTGGCTCTGTCAAGAGTTTGACTTTGTGCCTCCCCCAGATAGAAGAAACAATTATAATACAGAACCACCAAGTAAAAATCCTAGTGACACCAAAATAACCAGCAGCACAGACCCCCATACACCAGCACATCTCCGTGGCACACCCCCATCTCAACACATATGCCCATCTGGATGTCCCGATTCATATCCAAAATGCCCTCAGGAAGCTTACAATCCAGTGGCGGGAACGACCTCAAGAGCAGCAGAAGGCAGAAGGGAAAAAAACTTCCTGTTCTGAGAGTGCTAAGATAAGGGCAAAAAATTTCCCCAAAAAAAGGAAGGAAGGAAGGAAGGCTGGCAAGAATTCTGATGGGGGAGAAAGGCATTCTAAACAGAGGGAGCATCTTGCACAGACAGGTGTTCCAGAGTGGGGATACCAACATGTGTGACCGGCTGGTCACAGTGAGCCTTGCAGACCGTGCTAAAGAGCCTCCACCCTGTCCTACACCAGAGGGGAGTCACTGAGGGCTCTGGTGAAACAAAGTATCACAGGGTGGCCTTTTTTTAGGACAAGAATTCTGGCAAGACTGGCATGGCTGGATTGGAGAAATGAGAGACTGGTGTCAGGAAAACCACCTGAGGAGGCTGCTGCCCAGGGGCGAGATGATAAGGACTTTAACTAGGGCAGAAGCAGGGGAATGAAGAAGAGACAGTCAGAACAGACCCAGTGATGTTAAGCTTAATAGGACCAGGATATGGGGGAAAAGTGGAAAGGAGCTACATCCCTTCAAAATTCACATATGTATATATTTTACTTTTTTTTTTTTTTACAGAGATGGTGTCTCACTATGTTGCCCTGGCTGGTCTTGAACTCCTGGGTGCAAGCAATGCTCCCGCCTCAGCCTCTCAAAGTAAGAAAAATACACATATTGAAGCCCTAATCCACAATGTGACTGGTTCTTTAGGAGGTAATTAAAGTTAAATGAGGTCATTAAGGTTAAATGGCCTGATAGGATTAAAAGGAGAGGAAGAAAGGACCAGGAACCAGGGCAGCAGATGGGGCCCACTGTCTAGTGGCTTAGAGGTCTCTCTCTACCATCTGAGGACACAGCAAGAAGGCAGCTGTCTGCAAGACAGGAACCAGCAACAGACTTTGATATGGGCCTTCTAGCTTCCAGAACTATGAGAAAAGAGATTTCTGTTGTTGGAGCCCCCCAGTCTACGGTATTGTGTTACGGCAGCCCAAGCGAAGACAGAAGTCCAGCTTGAATCCAAGGTTTCTAGCTCCAGGGATGGGGCGGTGCCAAATTCTTCAACTGAGAAGCTGGTGCACTTCTAGAATTGCTCCTCTCTTCCCACCCCTACCTCAGGACCCCAGTTCCCACCAACTCTCCCCATGGCAGCTCCCATGCTGCAGCCTGATGAAGGAAGTCGCCTGGGAAACTGCTGCCACACACAGACCTGCTCAGAGCACCTCCCCAACCTGCAGAGCAGTTGGCCACACCAAATGTGACCAACAGGAGTCTGGAGCCACAAGTCCTGACCTCTCCAGTCCCCACTTCCTCAGAAGCTGCCACTGTTCCTCCTGGAGCAGCAAGGATGAAACGGCCCTCTTCAAGCAGAAAGGCCCAGCCATTAAAAACATCAGGATCTGGTAGAACGCATCAAGCCCAGGCAGCCGTGGAAAGGCTGGAGGACACACCTAAACATGTGGAATCCCAATGCCAGACAGCCAGGGCCAAATCCATATCCCCCAACACTGGGTGCCCTGGAGGTTCCAATCCTGCCCACCCACCACCTATCAATCCACCCTTTCCCCCAGGCCCCTGTCCTCCTCCCCTAGGAGTTCCCCAGGGCAATCCAGCTTTCCTCCCAGGTGGGGCCCCTCATCCTGTACCACAGCCAGGGTATCCAGGATGCCAATCCTCGGGTCCCCACCTTCCTCCATACCCACCGCCTGCCCCTGGAATCCCTCCTGTGAATCTCTTGGCTCCTGGCATGGTCAGACCAGCAGTGACAGCGGACAAGAAGATGCAGAATAAAATGAAGAAAGCTCATAAAAAGATGCACAAGCACCAAAAGCATGGCAAGCATTCCTCCTCCTCTTTCTCCTCCTCTTCCAGCAGCGATTCTGACTGAATACAGGCCCTGGACCCTTCCCTCAAGTCTCACCAGTTCTGCTCTCCCATCAAGCTTCAGAAGCCATGTTGTACTGGGGGAAAGTAGCCCTTGTGCTCCCCCCACCCCACCCCCAACCTGAGCCTCACCCTGCTGTTGAGCCCTGAATGGATAGGGAAAATGGGAAGAGGATTGCCATGGCCTGGCCATCTTCTTGCTGCTTGGATAGATCAGATAGCTAATGAGTTTAGCAGGGGAGCTATTTTTTTGAAGATGATGAACTAAATATTGAAGACAAGTTTGAGATCTGTAAAATGTGATTTTTTTTTACTTCTGCTTATAATACTTGTGATTGGGGAGGTTTGTGGAAATTTAATTATGATTAGAAACCTCTATCTTTTTTGTAATGTTGGCATACTTGGGGAATTTAGTGGCAAATACATTCCCCAGCAGGCCTTTTGTTGGTTGCACTAACTGCAAGTTTGGTGGGAAGTAGAGTCCGTTTAGTCGATGAGCTTTGACCGCCGTTTTGGAACCTTACCTCTCCTCCTTAGCCCAATATACTCTCAGGTCCTATTCTCATTCTCCAGCTCTCAGTCCAAATAAAGTTATTTCTCCTGGTTGAAAAAAAAAAAAAAAAAAGTCAAGATCTGGCCTAGAAAGGAAATGGCTGGATCTGGAGACTCTGAACCTATTCCAAGGTTCCTAGAGACCCCTGACAAGCAACAAAGGATCCATCAGGGATTGTTTACTATGGCCCCCCTCTGTACCATGACAGCTAACGGGTGGGCAACAGAGGAGTCCTGCCTTAGGACTCACAAGACATGGTTCCCTTTGTCAGTGCACTGAACCTGAAGGGAGCCAGCTTCTGCCCCTCATTCCCACCATGCCACCTCCAAGCAGGAAGAAAACACCAAAGGAAAAGGGCTTCTTTCAACAGTACATAAGCTGAAGTGGGAATGTGCTCCCAACCCTCAGAAGAACCCGTAACATCCTGCAGACATGATGCCCCACTGTGCTACACACACAGTCAGAGGCGACGCAGGCCTGACCACTGCTGACTAAAAAGCTGAGCAGAAAAGGACCAGGAACCCGGGTGGCAGATGGGGCCCACTGCCTGGTGGCTTACAGAGTCACCTGAATCTTTAATCCTCTTAGGGAGAGGAGAAGAAAAAAGGAAAGGATCCACGGGCAGGGAGGGCCCAATGGTGGCCTGAACATTAGGGTGAATAAGCACTTCCCAAGCATGTGCTCTATACGAGGTACTATCTTAACTACCTCAGAGAATTTGAGAAATTCTGCATTTGAGAAATGTCATCCCCTAGATGCATCCCATCTCCAGCAAGCACAGGACAGGTAGTCTCTGTCCACATGGCAACAAGACTAATTTGCTATATACATAATGATCTATATTTACCTTTTTTTTTTTTTTTTTTTGAAACGAAGTCTCAGTCTGTCACCCAGGCTGGAGTGCAGTGGCACGATCTTGGTTCACTGCAACCTCTGTCTCCCAGGTTCAAGCTAGTCTCTTGCCTCAGCTGCCCGAGTAGCTGGGATTACAGGCACCCCCACCATGCCTGGCTAATCTCTGGATTTTTAGTAGAGATTAGATTTCACCACATTGGCCAGGCTGGTCTCAAACTCCTGATCTCAGGTGATCCACCGGCCCTGGCCTCCCAAAGTGCTGGAATTACAGGCAGGAGCCACCGCACCTGGCGATATATTTAACTACTTAAAGATCAGGAAAACTCTGGGAAATCTGAATTCATGGATCATCCAAATTCAAATAAATGTTCTGCCAGAAAAAAATTAAAATATGGGTGGGTTGTATTCTACCTTCTTTCCTTACCTTATCAGGCTCTAGAAAAGATGTGGGCAAGGACAGGTCCAAAAGGCCAATGAGTTAAAGAAAAAAGGAACGTGGGAACAGAAGTCATATCTATTTGTCTGTATGTAGTAGCAGGATGGCTACTAAAGATCATCTACTCACTCGAGGAATATTTATTGGGCACCTACCACGTGCATTTATTTCTAGGCGCTAGAGATGCAATCGTGATTAAAAACAGATTCAGCTGCTGCTACTCTTGAGCTCGTCTGGGAAGGGAGGGAGACAAACCAATCAGTCACAGAGAAATGTATAATTAGAACCGAGGGAAGTGCTCTGAAGGAAATAAGCCTGATTTAGATGATGCCTACACTGAGAACTGAATGATGAGTAGGTATTCACTAGACAAAGAAAAAAAGGAAAGCGTGTTCTAACAGATGCATGCAAAAGTCCTTCAGCAGAAGGCAACACGAGGCAAGAAGCAGCACAGTTGGATAGGATGCTGGGGAGGCCAGTGGGAGCCAGGCCATGCAGACTTGCCCTTTATCATAACAGAACTAGGGCTGGGCACAGTGGCTCACACCTGCAATCTCAGCACTTTGGGAGGCCAAAGCAGGAGGATCGCTTGAGCCCAGGAGTTCAAGACCACCGTGAGCAACATAAGACGACCCTGTCTTACCCTGTACAAAAAAAATTAAAAATTAGCCAGGTATGGTGGTGTATACCTGTAGTCCCAGCTACAGGGGAGACTGAGGCGGGAGGATCACTTGAGCCCAGGTGGTCAAGGCTGCAGTGAGCCTTGATTGTGCCACCACACTCCAGGCTCAGTGACAGAGCAAGACCCTGTCTCAAAAAAGAGAGAGGAATGGAAGCCAGGAAATAGTTTTTCCAGATACACATTTTGAAAAACTACTCCAGAAGCTACTAGGAGTACACCCTAAAGCGGAGGCCAGATTGGAAAGAAGAAAATCAGGGCTGATGCAGAGAAATAAGGTAGAAAACCATGAGCTAGGCTAGGTAAGAGGCAATGGTAACCTGAGTTGGAGTGGTAACAGAGGATGAGAAGTCTAAGAATGCAGCCCTTGGGCCAAGCACTGTGGCTCACACCTGTAATAACAGGGCTTTGGGAGGCTAAAGCAGGAGGATCACTTGAAGCCAGGAGTTTGAGACTAGCTGGGTCAACATAGTGAGACCGTCTCTACAAAAAATTAAAAATATCAGCCATGCATGGTGACACACACCTGTAGTCCCAGCTACTTGGGGGGCTCAGGTGGGAGGATCCCTTGAGCCCAGGAGTTCAAGGCTACAGTGAGCTATGATAACACCACTGCACTCCAGCCTGGGTGACAGGGCAAGACCTGTCTCTAAAATAAATCAATAAATGAGAATGCAGCCCTTAGATCTGCCATGGCAAACAAATAGGACATGTCCTACTATTTTCCTCCAGGCCTAAAACTGTGAAGGACATCACTAGTCAATTATGGCACCCTAGACATGGCCTCAGAACCCTCAACATTGTTCACTACGTAGCAGTTACCAATAGATGAGATGAAATCCAGTGAGATCTACTTGCTGCCTAGCCTGAGACCTTCTGTGAGCCAGAGTTAGGAGGGGTCACCCAACTGCACTCATGCATCTCCTACCAATCTCAGAATCAGGCAAAAAAGGAGTGGCTCACACGTTTCCTCCAGGAAGCCTTCCCAGCCAATTTTATCCTCTCCTGTCAACCCAGAACCACCTTAGCACTGAGCTCATAATTTTCATGTGTTCCCAGACAGATTTCTCTCAATATTATTATTTTTTCTTTCTTTCTTTTTGAGACAGAGGAGTTTCGCTCTTGTTGCCCAGGCTGGAGTGCAATGGTGCGATCTCGGCTCACTGCAACCTCCGCCTCCTGGGTTCAAGCGATTCTCCTGCCTCAGCCTCCTGAGTAGCTGGGATTACAGGTATGTGCCACCACGCCTGGCTAATTCTGTATTTTTTTAGTGGAGATGCAGTTTCTCCATGTTGGTCAGGCTGGTCTCGACCTCCTATCCTCAGGTGATCCACCCGCCTCGGCCTCCCAAAGTGCTGGGATTACAGGCGTGAGCCACCGTGCCTGGCCAATATTACTTTTTTTATGAAAATGTGTCTTCTTACCTCTCCTGTTAAACCACAAACTTCTGAGGGCCATGTCTCCTCCTCTGGAATTTTCCAACAAAGCCTAAAATAAGCCTATGTAAGCTGTCGGAGCTCAGTTACTGCTGTAACTGCTAATATAAAACCAAGGAATAGGCCGGGTGTTGTGGCTCACACCGGTAATCCCAATACTATGGGGGACCAAGGCCTAGGATCACTTGAGCCTAGAAGCTCAAGACCAGCCTGAGCAATATAGTAAGACCCTGTCTCCACAAATATATATATATATATATATATTAGCCAGGCATGGTGGCGTGCACCTGTGGTCCCAGCTACTCGGAAGGCTGAGGCAGGAGCTATGTGATCAGATGGAAAGGAAGACAGAGTTACATAAAGAGTGTAAAGTGGGGAGGCAGAGGTGGGAGGATCACTTGAGACCAGGAGTTCGAGGCTGCAGTGAGCTATGATTGTACCACCATACTCCAGCCTGGGCAACAGAGTGAGACCCTATCTGAAAAAAAAAAAAAATACACCAGCAATCTCAGAAGCTAGGAAGACCCGCAGTAGTTTTGGTCCACCTTCCTTCCCATGCCAAAATTTTCCTCTCTGTGCTTCCAGTGACAGGCGGCATAGTGGTCAAAGTACCAGCTTTGGAGACAGAAGACCTGGATTCAAATCCCAGCTCTCTCACTTAGCAGCTGTATGACCTTAGGCAAGGTGCTTCACCTCTCTCAGCCTCAATAACTGCATGTGTATAATTAAAACAATCTTAACAAAAATCAAAAAGCCTGAAAGTAAAATGAAACAACACTTATAAAGTGCCTAGCACAGTCCCTGTATACAGAAAAGTTACACAAATTTAGCTAGTATTACAGATTCTATTTTCAATTCCATAGTTAGATAATTCTTAACTATTAGAAGGTCTAATAGTAAGCCAATAATCAGGTTCTAAAAAAATGTTCCCTGGTATCTCAAGTCTGCCTTCTGCTCATCTGGGGACACCCTAGGATTCTCTAGCTAAGGTAGGCTAAGTATTCCCAGTTCTCTTCCATTCAGTACATATCGTTTCCCAGTCCTTCAATATTGTGGCTACCTTGCCCTGTACTTTGTCAGCATAGCTAGAGTTTTGCACATCTGCACACTAACAGAGAATATACACTCACAGACATAATGAGGGTTCTCTGTATATTTATTTCTTCCACCCTGCTCCAACAATTACAAAGAAGGTTGACCACAGAAAAGATTGACTGGAGAAGGTAAAGGGGAGAAGGTGGAAGATGTCAGAGTTGATTACGCAGTGGTAATGAGCAAAAGCTTTGGAACATTCTTGGCTTTCAATCCCAGCTCTGCCTCTTACTAGCTGGACAGCCTCAGTTTTCTCATCTATAAAATGAGAGTACTAACAATATCCATCACAATGTGTTGTGAGGCTTATATGATTCAATACATGTAAAGTGCTTAAAATATACTAAGGTCTCAATAAATGTTAGACATTACATTATTATGACTGCTATTCACCTATTTAAAAGGGTTTATTCTACCTTGCTCCAAAGGACATATCCAGCACCAGGCAATATAAGTTAAGGCCATTCAGACATTAAGTAATCACTTTTTCTTTGCTTTTTTTTTGAGACAGAGTATCATTCTTGTCACCCAGGCTGGGGTGCAATGGCACGATCTCTGCTCACTGCAGCCTCTGCCTCCCAGGTTCAAATGATGCTCCTGCCTCAGCCTCACGAGTAGCTAGGATTACAGGCGCCTGCCACCACGCCCGGCTAATTTTTGTATTTTTAGTAGAGATGGGGTTTCACCATGTTGGCCAAGTCTCGAACTCCTGACCTCAGGTGATCCGCCCGCCTTGGCCTCCCAAAGTGCTGAGATTACAGGCGTGAGTCACCGCGCCAAGTAATCACTTACTGAACACCCACCATGGGCCAGACATTGTGCGACGTGTTAGGGCTACAAACCTGATTACACATGGCCCTGAACTTGAGCTCAGCCTACCTGGAAAGCCAAACACGTAAACACATGACTACAAAATGTGTTACATGAATTAAAGGAAGTAACATAATATATAACAGAACACAAAGGTAAGGGCAAATAATCTTAGGAAGATCAGGGAAAGCCTCACAGAGGACAATTGAGATAGTTCTTGAAGGATAAGCAGGTGATCCCCAGGATAAGCGGAGTAAGGGAATTCACGGCAGAGGAACAACATGCACAAAGGCAAAAAAGAAGAAAATCATAAGGTGGGTGCAAAGAATTAATTATGACAACAAAAGCTTATAGCCACTGAACACTTCCTATGTTACAGGAACTGTACTGAGTGCTCTATATACATCATCTCACTTCATCCACTCAGCAAAATAGAATTATCTTCACTTTTCAAATAAGGAAACTGAGGCTTAGCAAAGTTAAAAAAAAAAAAAAAAAAAAAAAGGCCAGGCGCAGTGGCTCACGCCTGTAATCCCAGCACTTTGGGAGGCGGAGGTGGGCGGATAATGAGGTCAGGAGATCCTGACCAGCCTGGCCAACATGGTGAAACCCCGTCTCTACCAAAATACAAAAAATTAGCCAGGAGTTGTGGTGCCCACCTGTAGTCCCAGCTACTCGGGAAGCTGAGGCAGGAGAATCGCTTGAACCCAGGAGACTGAGACTGCAGTGAGCCAAGATCGCACCACTGCACTCCAGCCTGGGCGACAGAGCAAGACTCTATTTCAAAACAAACAAACAAACAAACAAACTTGCCCAAGGTGTCACAGCTAATAAACGGTAGAGCAGAATATGTAAGTATCCATGTCTGACTCCAAAGCCCAAACTCTTAACCATTCTGACATGACCAGAGTGCAAGGGACAGTGGGAGGAGTGGCAAGACAGAGCTCTAGAATGAAAGGCAAGAGCATATTATAAAGGGCCTGGAAGAACAGAGGCTCTATCCTGTAAATGATGAGGGGCCATCACAGGATTTCACAAAGGAGACTGGCATGACCAGATCTGTAGGTCAGATAGACGATTCTAGCCAAGAATAGTGGTGCATGCCTGTAGTCCCGTCTACTAAGGAGACTGAGGTGGGAGGATGGCTTGAGGGCAAGAGTTCGAGGCTGCAGTGTACTAGGGTCACACCGGTGAATACCAACTGCACTCCAGCCTGGGCAACATACCAAGACCCTGTCTCTAAAATAAATAAATGATTCTGACAGCTGCATAAGAACTAATTACAGGAGGACAAGAACTGAGGCAGAGAGACCACTTAGGAAGTTATCCTGAAAGCACAAGCAAGAAATTATGAACTAAGTCAGTGTCTGTGAGGATGGAAAGGAAGCGCCAGATTCTAGGGGAATTAAGAGGCAGAATACAGGACTTGAACTTCGGGAGAGAGGAGGGAAATCAGAGCACTAAAGCCAGAACACTGTGACTATCATTTCTAGATGTGTTCATTTCTATGCCTCGTCCAATAGGCAGCCCCACCTACTACACTGCCTAGAAGACAGGGCATGTCCGACAAATGTTTGCTGTATTTATTAGATGAATAAATTAAAGGGACAGACTTGGCTGAGTGAATGGTGAAGCCCTTCATTGAGATAAAAAAATACAAGAGGAGAAACAGATCGGAGGGACCGGGGAAGGCTGACGATGACAGTAAGCAGGTCTGAGCTCAGGAAAGAGGTCTGGCTGGAGTAGTTTGGCGAGTCAACGCTGAAAAGCTGATAACGCAAGAGATGGAGTGCGCCGAGTAGAAGGGAGCTTTCTACTGCCAAGGACTGAGTTAGGAGAACGGACAGGGAGTCGCTGAAGCCAAGTGAGGAGAGCGGTGCCAGAGGTAGAGGGACATTTTTAAATCCAATGCAAGAAAAGGAAAAAACAAAAAAGCTTTCCAACTTTCCCAGCTGGCCAAAGATGGCATAAGATTGGGCTAGCCCCGGATTTGGACCCGGGGGGAAGCCTGCCACAGAAGTATCCCAGCAAGCTTCGGAAGGCCTGGCCTCACTCGCCAACGATGAACAGAGCAAGCAAACCAGGGCCCCGTGCCCAGTGCCCCTCTCCCGCGTCCCGACCCGCTGCTCACTCACCCGCCAGACCCCCAGCCCGGGCCCGGTGGCCCGCTCAGGAGCCGGCGAGATTTCAAACGGAGGAACTGTCGCCTGGCAGTCCGATTTTCACTTCTTCCCTCAGTCCCCGCCCACACTCGAGCGCATCACGCTCGTTGGCTCGAGAGCGTGCCTCGGGTCCCCCGCCACGCTCGCTCCCTTCCCCGCCGCCCAACCCCTCCCTCGATGAGGTCCTCAACTATCCCCCACCCCGGAAGGCTCCGGGCGAGGCTCCGGGCGAGGCTCTGGGCGAGGCGCAGCTCCCCCAACGCCACCCAACACCCACCCGCTCCCCCAGCTTCCAGGGACGCCGGGGTGTTGCCCTGCAGCGCGCAACAAACACTTCCGGAAAAGGTACCGCCTAGCAACCGGGAGTCCCGCCTCCAGCAGGAGCCAATAGGTCGCCGGCTGAGAGCTGTGACAATGGATTGGCTCGAAGTCCCTTCGGTGCACGCAGGAGCTCTGTCCGTTTTCCGTTGCACGATGGGAGTGTAGTTTAAGATAGATAATGGGAATCCGCAAGAGGTTGAAAGAGTGTAGTTTAAGATAGATAATGGGAATCCGCAAGAGGTTGAAAGAGAACCTCATCGGCTGGGCGCGGTGGCTCACGCCTGTAATTCCAGCAATTTGGGAGGCCGAGGCGGGTGGGTCACCTGAGGTCAGGAGTTCGAGACCAGCCTGACCAACATGGTGAAACCCCTTCTCTACTAAAAAAAAAAAAAAAAAAAAAAGAGGACCCCGAGTTTAGACGTGAGGATTTCTGCCAGGACAGAGAAGGACTATTTAGAGTATTTATACTAATGTGAATTATCTAATTATCTAATTGATCATTTGTTAGGAGTATGATTAACATCAGGTGAATAATACAGTGGTCATCAATAATCAACCCATTGTTACTTTAATCAACAAAACAAATGTGAATGTAAGGTAATGGAGACGCGTCCACTCCCCATCTCTCCCCGCAAAAAAACTGGCTCTCCTGTGCTCCTATTAAACCAGTGAGCACCTGACCAGGAGTTAAACCTATTTTCTACTATCCATCTTTTCACCAAAGCCCAGGGTTCAGTTTGTATGTCTGCAAGATGGGGATAGTAATGTCTGTCATAACTATTTCAAAGAGTCTATTGAAGAAGAAAAAAAGTGACACAATGTGTAGCTCCTCCACACACCCTGTCGGGCAGAAAGGTTGCTACTAATATAATTCCGAAGAGTTTTAGTTTTGCTTGCACGGAGGGCAAATCTTCCTTTCTCTCATATGTCTCCAACCTCCTAGAGAAGTTAAGAGGGGCAAAGAAAGTTCTGGCCATTACATCAATAGGAAAACTGAGAAACAGACAAATACAGATGCTGCTAGTTGAGGAGGAAAATGATGAGGCCAAGCTCATAGAGCCGCTCCTGATAGGTTCTAGAGATGTAGCTGACTCAGGATAGTCCCAGTGCCACTCAGAGGCTGATTCCAGGATGAGAAACTCAGATTGTTGGAATATACAGAGCATATTCCTTGTGAAAATTATCAAAATCAAAATAGAGTCATTTGTTTTAAAACCCTGACAAATGGAGCCAGGGAAGACCATGAAGAGAGGGTTCTCACGCATGAATACCTGATAACAAAAACTATCGACCGGGCCTGGTGGCTCATATCTGTAATCCTAGCACTTTGCCAGGCACAGTGGCTCACACCTGTAATCCCAGCACTTTGGGAGGCCAAGGCGGGTGGATCACCTAAGGTCAGGAGTTCGAGACCAGCCTGGCCAATATGATGAAACCCCGTCTCTACTAAAAATACAAAAATTAGCTGGGCATGGTGGCACACGCCTGTAGTCCCAGCTGCTCAGGAGGCTGAGGCAGGAGGCTGAGGCACTTAAACCCGGGAGGTGGAGGTTGCAATGAGCCCAGATCAAGCCACTGCACTCCAGTCCAGCCTGGGTGACAGAGCAAGACTCCGTCTAAAAAAATAAATAAAATAAAAATTCCTACTTGAGCCAGGCACAGTGGCTCATGCCTGGAATCCCAGAACTTTGGGAGGCCAAGGCAGGTGGATCACCTGAGGTCAGGAGTTAAAGACCAACCTGATCAACATGGAGAAACCCCATCTCTACTAAAAAATACAAAATTAGCCAGGCATGGTGGTGCATGCCTGTAATCCCAGCTACTCGGGAGGCTGAGAGAGGAGAATCGCTTGAACCCAGGAGGCGGAGTCTGTGGTAAGCCAAGGTCTCGACATTGCACTCCAGCCTGGGCAACAAGAGCGACACTCCGTCTCAAAAAAAAAAAAAAAAAAAAAAGGTCCTACTTGCCCAGCCTCTATGGCATGTGTATACCTATTGCAATGCTACTTCTAAATAAATATCATTTTCTTTTGGAGTTTCCCTCTCTGTTATTTAGATTGACGTCATCATGTTTAAATTTAAATCCTTCTGCAGCAGTTATGCCTATACTTCCTTTATTCTTACTGTAAATGACAAATCATCGTCCCCTTTCCTCTCCATCTTCTTTAAAAGTCTTGGCCGGTCACAGTGGCTCACACCTGTAATCCCAGCATTTTGGGAGGCCGAGGCAGGCAGATCGCCTGAGGTCAGGAGTTTGAGACCAGCCTGGCTAACATGGTGAAACCCCATCTCCACTAAAAATACAAAAGTTAGCTGGTTGTGGTGGCAGGCACCTGTAATCCCAGCTACTCGGGAGGCCGAGGCAGGAGAATCGCTTGAACCCAGGAGGTGGAGGTTGCAGTGAGCCGAGATCTCGCCATTGCACTCCACCCTGTTTGACAAGAGCGAAGCTCTGTCTCAAAAAAAGAAAAAAGTAGGCCAGGCTGTGGTGGCTCACACCTGTAATCCCAGCACTTCGGGAGGGTGAGGCAGGTGGATCACCTGAGATGAGGAGCTCAAGACCAGCCTGGCCAACATGGCAAAACCCTGTCTCTACTACAAACACAAAAATTCACTGGGCGTGGTGGCACACACCTGTAGTCCCAGCTACTTGGGAGGCTGAGGCAGGAGAATCGCTTGAACCCGAGAGGCAGGGGTTGCAGTGAGCCAAGATCACGCCACCGCACTCCAGCCTGGGTGACAAAGTGAGACTCTGTCTCAAAAATAAATAAATAAATAAATAAATAAAGGTCTCACTGAGGGGCCAAAGGGACCAGACTGGGAAGGAATTCTGGGCTCACCAGCTCATCTACCACAAACCTGCACAAAACAGGGATTCAAAAAACCATTTGTAGACTTGGTCCCTATATCTAAGAATTTGCAATCTTTGCAATCAATCTGGTTTTTTGTTTGTTTGTTTGTTTGCTTTTTGAGATACAGTCTTACTCTGTCACCACCATGCCAGGCTAATTTTTGTATTTTTAGTAGAGACAGGGTTTCACCATGTTGGCCAGGCTGGTCTTGAAATCCTGACCTCAGGTGATCCACCCACCTCGGCCTTCCAAAGTGCTGGGATTACAGGCATGAGCCACCACGCCCAGCCCTGTTGATTTTAATTGCCATCCAAATGCTTAACTCTTGTGCCTTAGCATGGGTTCCTTGCTCTCTCATGGGAAGAGCTAATAAAATAAGAGATACTGTGGGATTAACAGGATTACCTTCACACAAATCAACAATTTGCATTTTATCAGGTTTCCCCATAGGTTTGTACTCAGAAATGCAAGCCAATTTATAAAATGCCCCCAAGGCAAACATAATTTAAAAAGTAAGACTTTGGGGGGAAAATAACAAAAATGACACACAAATTTTTTTTTTTTTTTTTGAGAGGGAGTTTGTTGCCCAGGCTGGAGTGCAGTGGTGCAATCTCAGCTCACTGCAATCTCTGCCTCCTGGGTTCAAGCGATTCTCCTGCCCCAGCCTCCCAAGTAGCTGGGACTACAAGCATGTGCCACCACACCGGGCTATGTTTTGTAGTTTTAGTAGAAATGGGCTTTCATCATGTTGGCCAGGCTGGTCTTGAACTCCTGACCTCAGGTGATCTGCCTGCCTTGGCCTCCCAAAATGCTGGGATTACAAGCATGAGCCACTGTGCCCATCCTGACACACTAAATGATATACCAGTAATATACCCAATGAGTGAAGAAGAGAGAGAGGACTTCACTCATAGGTTGTCTTCTACAGTAAGGATGAACATTTAGGGGTCATATTTCAAAGATGGGAAAGAATTGATGACAAATTTTTTCCCTACTCCTAGGTCAGAAACCACTATTAGAACTTTTTCTTACAACTCAACAGCCAAAACAAGAGAAAAAAAACCAAATAACCGGATTTTTAAAATGGGCAAACTGCCTTAAAAGACATTTCTCAAAAGAAGATATACAAATGGCCAACAGGTACGTGAAAAAATGTTCAACGTTACTAACCATGAGGGAAATGCAAACCAAAACCACAATGAGATACCACCTTATTCCAGTTAAAATGGCTACAATAAAACAGACAAAGGAAAACAAAAGCTGGTGAGGATATGGAGAAGAGGGAATACTTAAAATGTTGGTGGGACTGTAAATTAGTACAATCACCATGGAAACTGTATGGTGGTTCCTCAAAAAATTAAAAATAGAACTACCACACAATCCAGCAATCCCACTACTCAGTATATATCCAAAGGAAATGAAATTAGTATGTTAAAAAGATTTCAGCACCCCCATGTTAACTGCAGCATTATTTACATTACCCAAGATATGCAATGAACCCAGCTGTCCAACAACAGATGAATGGAAAAAGAAAATGTGGTATATATACACAATGATATAACATTCAGCCATAAAAAAAAATGGAATCCTACCATTTGCAACAACATGAATGAACCTGGAGGACATGGTGTTAAGTGAAATAAGCTAGGCACAGAAAGACAAATACCGCATGATCTCAGTCATGTGGAATTAAAAAAAAAAAAAGTTGATCTCATAGAGAGTAGAACAGTGGTTACCAGATTGAGGAAAAGAGAGCAGAAGATGGGAAAAGGTTGGTCAATGAGTATAAAGTTACTATTAGAAGGAATAGGCTGGGCACGGTGGCTCATACCTGTAATCCCAGCACTTTGGGAGGTGGAGGTGAGTGGATCACTTGAGGTCAGGAGTTCAAGACCAGCCTGGCCAACGTGGAGAAACCCCGTCTCTACTAAAAATACAAAATTAGGCCAGATGCGGTGGCTCACACCTGTAATCCTAGCACTTCGGGAGGCTGAGGTAGGCAGATTGCCTGAGCTCAGGAGTTCGAGACCAGCCTGGGCAACACAGTGAAACCCCGTCTCTACTAAAATACAAATAATTAGCTGGGCATGGTGGCGTGAGCCTGTAGTCCCAGCTACTTAGGAGGCTGAAGCAGGAGAATTGCTTGAACCTGGGAGGTGCAGGTTGCAGTGAGCCGAGATCACGCCACTGCACTCCAGCCTGGGTGACAGAAAAGACTCCATCTCCAAAAAAAAAAAAAAAAAAAAAAAAAATCTATCTATATACATATATATATATAAACACAAAATATGCCAGGCGTGGTGACACATGCCTATAATCTCAGCTACTTGGGAGGCTGAAGCAGGAGAATCACTTGCACCCGGGAGGCAGAGGTTTCAGTGAGCCAAGATCGTGCCATGCACTCCAGCTTGGGCAACAAGAGTAAAACTCTGTCTCAAAAAAAAAGAAAAAGGAAAAGGAGGAATAAATTCTGGTATCCTATTGCACAGTAGGGTGACAATGGTTAACAGTAACACTGATACGGTATATTTCAAAATAGCTAGAAGAGAGACTTTTGAATGTCCTTACCACAAAGAAATTATAAATGCATAATGTGGGCCGGGCGCGGTGGCTCACGCCTATAAATCCAGCATTTGGGAGGTCGAGGCGGGCGGATCATGAGGTCAGGAGATCGAGACCATCCTGGCTAACATGGTGAAACCCCATCTCTACTAAAAATACAAAAAATTAGCCGGGCATGGTGGTACACGCCTGTAGTCCCAGCTACTCAGGAGGCTGAGGCCGGAGAATCCCTTGAACCTGGGAGGTGGAGGTTGTAGTGAGCCAAGATCACGCCACTGTACTCCAACCTGGGCAACAGAGCGAGACTCCACCTCAAAAATAAATAAATAAATAAAGTGGTGGTCATGCTAAATATCCTGATGTGATCATTATGCAACATATATATGTATCAAAATATCAAATTGTACTCCATAAACATGTACAATTAAATGTTAATCAAAAAACAGTAACAGCCGAGAGCAATGGCTCACATCTGTAATCCCAACACTTTGAGAGGCCGGGGCAGGAAGATCCTTTGAGGCCTGGAGTTCAAGACCAGCCTGGGCAATATAGTGAGACCCAATCTCTTAAAAAAAAACCCAAAAATTTAACCAGGCTTGATGGTGTGTACCTGTAGTCTCATCTACAGAGGCTGATGTGGAAGGGTCACTTGAGCACAGGAGGTCAAGGCTGTAGTGAGCCATGATCATGCCACTGCACTGCAGCCTGAGTGACAGAGCAAGACCCCATCTCTAAATACAAATAAATAAACAAGCATTTTAATTCTGGGAAAAAAATAACTTTTTATTCTCTTTTTTATACTGTTTATTTGGGCTATACAGAAAACTACTCACATGATAAGAAAGGAAAACACTTGATAATCCTACCAATTATTTAAGGATACAAAGATATAAAATGTTCCCTCTACACTTTCAATCCACTTTATTTGAAACTGCAAACCGCCCTCCCATCTCCTTTCTCTATTTTATTTTTCTCTATAGCACATATCACCATCCAAGATACTATAATTTTATTTCTTTACTGTCTGTCTTCCTGCATTAGAGTGTAAGCTCCATGAGGACAGGGATTTTACATATCATTGTATCCTCAGTGCCTAAAATAGTGCTTAGCGTGTAGTAGGCACTCAGTGTACATTTACTGAATGAATGAATGAGCAAACTAAGGAAGAAATTAAACCCTACACTTCAAAGGAAACCACTGTTGACACTGTGGGTGCTATCTTCCATATTTTTTTATGCTTATGCAGATGTAAATGTATATACCTACATATTTATGCATATATGCACAGCCCATTCTTTTTAATTTTTACAGAAATGAGATCATAATGTTATTGTTCTAACATGTGCTTTTTTTTTTTTTTTGATACGTAGTCTCACTCTGTCACCCAGGCTACAGTGCATTGGCATGATCTTGGCTCACTGCAACCTCCGCCTCCCGGGTTCAAACAATTCTCTGCCTCAGCCTCCCGAGTAACTGGGATTCCAGGCATCCGCCACCACGCCCAGCTAATTTTTGTATTTTTAGTAGAGACAGGGTTTCACCATCTTGGCCAGGTTGGCCCTGAACTCCTGATTCACGCGCCTTGGCCTCCCAAAGTGCTGGGATTCCAGGTGTGAGCCACCACGTCAGGCCCCTGACATGCTTTCTTTAACTTGTCATAAACAGGCCGGGCGCGGTGGCTCACACCTGTAATCCCAGCACTTTGGGAGGCCGAGGCAGGTGGATCACGAGGTCAGGAGTTCGAGACCAGTCTGGCCAACGTGGTGAAACCCCATCTCTACTAAAAACACAAAAATTAGCCAGGCTGGCCAACATGGCAAAACCCCATCTCTACTAAAAATACAAAAATTAGCCAGACATGGTGGCACACGCCTGTAATCCCAGCTACTCAGGAGGCTGAGGCAGAGAATTGCCCAACGTGGTGAAACCCCATCTCTACTAAAAACACAAAAATTAGCCAGGCTGGCCAACATGGCAAAACCCCATCTCTACTAAAAATACAAAAATTAGCCAGACATGGTGGCACACGCCTGTAATCCCAGCTACTCAGGAGGCTGAGGCAGAGAATTGCTTGAACCTGGGAGGTGGAGGTTTTAGTGAGCCAAGACTGTGCCACTGCACTCCAGCCTGGAAGGCCAGTTTATAAGAAGCTATCCCATTGTTTTTAATGGTTACTTAGGATTTCATTGAACAAATGTCTTGTTCCCTATTTAATTTTTTTTTTTTTTTTGAGACCGATTCTCACTGTCACCCGACTGGAGGGCAGTGGCGCAATCTCGGCTCACTGCAACCTCTATCTCCCAGGTTCAAGCGATTCTCCTGCCTCAACCTCCCAAGTAGCTGGGATTACAGGCATGTGCCATCACACCTAGCTAAATTTTTTTTTTTGAGACAGTCTTGCTCTGTCACCCAGGCTGGAGTGCAGTGGTGCAATCTCGGCTCACTGCAACCTCCACCTCCCGGGTTCAAGCGATTCTCCTGCCTCAGCCTCCCAAGTAGCTGTGATTATGGGCACCCACCACCATGCCTGGCTAATTTTTTTGTATTTTTAGTAGAGACAGGATTTCACCATGTTGGCCAGGCTGGTCTCAAACTCCTGACCTCAGGTGATCCACCCACCTCGGCCTCCCAAAGTGCTAGGATTACAGGCTTGATGATTATTTTTGGTTTTGCTTAAAGAGATGGGGTCTTGCTCTGTCTCCAGGCTGGTCTTGAACTCCTGGCCACAAGCGATCCTCCCACCTCAGACTCCCAAGTGGCTTGGATTACAGGCGTGAACTATCACACCCAGCTTCATTTGTTTTGAATCCAAGGTTTTGCCATAGTACACACTGCTGAAATATTGTTGTTTTTGTTGGAAAGGGTCCTAGAAATGCCATTGCCCAAAGAGTTTGCATTTTTAACATATTAATAGGCATTGCAAATTACTCTCCAAAAATGGAATAATTTACAGTCCAAACAATACCTTCACCAATACCAAATGTTACCAATCTGAGAGGAGACGAAAGAAAGAAAAAGGAACAAAGAATCTACTGTTTTACTTTGTGTTCTTTCAACTATTAACGAAGTTAAGCTTTTTTCAAGGTTTTTTATGTTTATCATCCATTTGAATTTCCTCTGTGAATTAACTGTTCACATTCTTTGTTCATTTTTCTTTTTCTTTTCTTTTTTGTGTTTTGTTGTTGTTTTTCCTCACTCTTTCCCCTTACCCTTTGTTCATTTTTCTATCAGGTTGTTTGGGATTTATATTGATTTGTAGAAGCTCTTTGCACATTATAAACATTAGCCCTTTGTCTCTATTGTGTGATAAATGTTGTTTCTTAATCTGTGACTGATCTTTTAACTTTGTAAATGTCAGTTTTCTCAGTAGTTGCAACAGTAATAATCCTAATAGCTGACCTTTATTGAGCACTTACAATATGCTGGACACCATTCTAAATGCTTTACATGGATTGTCTCATCGAATTCTTACCTTTTGAGGTTTGAACTATTAATATCATTATCTCCATTTTACAAATGATAAAATCAAGTCTCAAAAAGGGGCCAGGCAAGTTGGCTCACGCCTGTAATCTCATCACTTTGGGAGGCTGAGGCAGGCAGATAACTTGAGGTAAGGAGTTAGAGACCAGCCTGGCTAACATGGTGAATTCCCGTCTCCACTAAAAATACAAAAATTAGCTGGGCGTGCTGGCGCGTGCCCGTAGTCCCAGCTACTTGGGAGGCTGAGGCAGGAGAATCGCTTGAGGAGGCAGAGGTTTCAGTGAGCTGAGATCATGCCACTGCATTCCAGCCTGGGTGACAGAGGGAGACTCCGTCTCAAAAAAAAAAAAAATTAGCCAGGCATGGTGGTGTGCGCTTGTAATCCCAGCTACTCAGGAGGCTGAGGCACAAGAATCGCTTGAACCCAGGAGGAGGAGGTTGCAGTGAGCTGAGATGAAGCCACTGCACTCCAGCCTGGGTGATAAAGTGAGACTGTTTCAAAAAAAAAAAAAAGGACTCAAAAAGTAAGTAACCAGAGTGGGCTCTCCCAGTTACTAATTGAACCAGAATTAGAACACTGGTGGTATTGGAATACTTCTGATTCTACAGAAGTTTTAAATATTTAAGTCATCAAATCCATCCAGTTTTTGGGTTTGTTTACCTTCTAGGGTTTGTTAGGGAGGTCTTCTTCAATATAAGATCATGAAAATATTCTATTTTTCCTGTAGTTTTATTTTAATGTTAAATTCTTTAATCTATCTGGAGTTTATTTTCAGAGGAATGAAATTGGATTTGGTTTTTTTTCCTTCCAAATGGGCTGCCAGACGTCCCAACAACAGTTTTTGAATAATGCGTCCATTTTCCTCTAATACGAATGCCATCTCTATCATATCTACAATTCCCATAGATACATTTCTCTATTTTGATTTCGATTTTTTTAACTTGTGTCTAATCATCTTATTGATTAGGGTTTTCTATCCATATCATATAATCTGCAACTAATGATTCCTTTGCTTTCCAACATATATAACACTTTTTCCATTTTCTTGTCTTTTGAGTCAATCAGACCGGTCTGAACCGTGTAGGATAAGAGTAGAGATAATGATCGGCCGGGCGCGGTGGCTCACGCCTGTAATCCCAGCACTTTGGGAGGCCGAGGCGGGAGGATCACGAGGTCAGGAGATCGAGACCATCTTGGCTAACACGGTGAAACCCCGTCTCTACTAAAAATACAAAAAATTAGCGGGGCGTGGTTGCAGGCGCCTGTAGTCCCAGCTATTCGGGAGGCTGAGGCAGGAGAATAGCCTGAACCCGGGAGGCAGAGCTTGCAGTGAGCTGAGATCCCACCACTGCACTCCAGCCTGGGCGACAAAGCGAGACGCCTTCTCAAAAAAAAAAAAAAAAAGAGTAGAGATAATGATCTTTCCTTTCCAAAGCCTGCCTTTAATGGGAGTAACGTAGCCTGTTATTACTACATTTGTTGTTGTTGTCGTTATCTTGTTTAAAAAGTTTCCTGGCTGGGTACAGTGGTCCATGCCTATAATCCCAGCATTTTGGGAGGCCGACGTGGGCGGATCACTTGAGGCCAGGAGTTCGAGACCAGCCTGGCCAACATGGTGAAATCCCATCTCTACTAAAAATACAAAAATTAGCTGGGTATGGTGGCGCATGCTTGTAATCCCAGCTACTCAGAGGCTGAGGCATGAGAACTGCTTGAACCCGGGAGGCGGAGGTTGCAGACTTGAGACCATGCCACTGCACTCCAGCCTGGGTGACAGAGCAAGTCTCCTTTTCAAAAGAAAAATGAAGATTCCCTTTCATTTTTTAAAAAAATTAAATCAGAGTAACTGCTGAATTTTATCAATGGCTTTCCACATTTGATAAACAATATATTGTTAAAACCATACCGGCTTTTCTCCTTTAAGCTATTAGAACTCTAACGCTTTTGGTTCAAGGCTTTAAGCTCTTACCAGTTAATATAGAGATACTTTTCGGAGTGTTAACACTTTAAAGCTATCAACAGCCATTTCTCCTCAGTCTGGCTGATGGTGCAGAAAATCAGAGGAGCCATAAGGATTCAAGTAGAGCCTCAAGGGCACAAACAGGTTCAGATGGGAGAAGACCCACTGGCTCTTACCTGCCCGCAGATCGCAGGCGCAGGAGAAAATAAGACAACTGCACTTTCCCCTTTTGGACCCTGCTCCGCTGGTTTGCAGCCTGGAAAAACTCTTCCTCCCCTTTCATCCTGCTCCCTCAATCTCTGCTCGTGAAAATCCTACCCATTTTTAAACGCTCAAATTAAATACCACCTTCTCCCACTGAGTCTTCCCAGATCCCCTAGATGTCCCTCCAAATCCCTACTCCTTAATGCCACATCGTATAGTGTGAAACCCCACCGCGGCAGGAATCACTTAACTGTCCCGTGTAGAATCACCGTTTATTTCTCTCTGTATCTCCAGCGCCTGGCAGTGTGCCTGGCATACAGTGGGTGCTCCTTCCATGCTGAAAGAAAGACTGACAGACGGGAGGTGTGCCCCTCTCCATCCGTCTGGCCCTTCCCGCCAGGGCCTTGCAGGGCGGACTCCACCTCGGCAGAGGGCATCCCAGACCCCTCTCCAGCCCCGGAAGCCGGATTGCCTGCCATGGGAAGACTACACTTCCCAGCGATCCCAGGGAAAAGCGAAAACCTTTTGGCTTTGACAGCCGCCGCCACAAGTCTTTCCGCCTCCCCAGCCCGCCCGGGAGCTGCGAGCCGCGAGCTGGATTATGGTGGCCTGAGCAGCCAACGCAGCCGCAGGAGCCCGGAGCCCTTGCCCCTGCCCGCGCCGCCGCCCGCCGGGGGGACCAGGGAAGCCGCCACCGGCCCGCCATGCCCGCCCCTCCCAGCCCCGCCGGGAGCCCGCGCCCGCTGCCCAGGCTGGCCGCCGCCGTGCCGATGTAGCGGGCTCCGGATCCCAGCCTCTCCCCTGCTCCCGTGCTCTGCGGATCTCCCCTGACCGCTCTCCACAGCCCGGACCCGGGGGCTGGCCCAGGGCCCTGCAGGCCCTGGCGTCCTGATGCCCCCAAGCTCCCTCTCCTGAGAAGCCACCAGCACCACCCAGACTTGGGGGCAGGCGCCAGGGACGGACGTGGGCCAGTGCGAGCCCAGAGGGCCCGAAGGCCGGGGCCCACCATGGCCCAAGCCCTGCCCTGGCTCCTGCTGTGGATGGGCGCGGGAGTGCTGCCTGCCCACGGCACCCAGCACGGCATCCGGCTGCCCCTGCGCAGCGGCCTGGGGGGCGCCCCCCTGGGGCTGCGGCTGCCCCGGGAGACCGACGAAGAGCCCGAGGAGCCCGGCCGGAGGGGCAGCTTTGTGGAGATGGTGGACAACCTGAGGGGCAAGTCGGGGCAGGGCTACTACGTGGAGATGACCGTGGGCAGCCCCCCGCAGACGGTAAGGTGGTCAGGCCAGCCCTTAGCCCTCCGCCTGCATGAGCAGAGGGGAGACAGGATGGGGATGCCTCAAGCTAGCCCCTGCTCAAATGGGCTGGTGGGGACAGCAGGAGGGACCCCTCCCCAGCCATTCCCCGGGGGTCACGTGGTTGTTGGCAGAAGTGTTCCCAAGCTCCCCATTCCCTCCTCGTCTCCCCTGGCTGCCTAGTTCCCCTTGCTCCTCATCTGACACATACGCCGTCTGGAAGGATTTGAGGCAAGACAGACACATCAGCTGGGGACCCTGACCTGGAGGAAGGGTCCGCCACAGGGGCACTATAACAGGTGTCAGCCCCCTCTGACAGTGGCCCAGTCCGAGTCTCCCAAATCCCACCACTCTAGAGGTTGGCCACCCAACCTTGTCCCCTCCTCTGATTCCCACCATTGTTCCCAGTACCTCCAGGACCAAGGAATCCTGGCAGCAGTTGAATAAGCACCTTGCTCCCACCATCTGGGCTGCCACTGGTACGGCAAAGTGAGGTTGTCGAGGCCCCCCTGACTGCACTCCGCCCGGAAGCCCTGGACAGGCTCCTGCCGTCCCCTCCTCCTCCCCTTCTCCCTCTCGCGGTCTACACTCCGGCCCCTCCCCCACCCCACACCTCCCCAGGCCAGAGGGGAACTGAACTGAGCCTGGTGAAAGAACAAATGGTAGGAAAGGAGCCAGAGCTCCCTTTTAAGAGTGGGACTCCTTCCATGGCGGGGGAGAGGGGAGTTACAGAGAAAACACTGTTATGCCCTCCCCATCCTTCCTGACAATCTCCAAGGTACCTTCAAGGTGGCTGGTGGAGGTGGCACCCTCTGCACCTCTGTGGGTGAGCAGCCCTCCATGTGGGGTGCTGTGGCTGACCTCTGTGTGCATCTGCCGCCTCTGTGGGGCAGTCCGGGCCCGGGCAGCCCTGTGGTTCTGTGTATGCTGGTGCGTGTCACCTTGAATCTGATCCTGCACATCTGTGAGCCACCTCCGGATCTGTGTCTGGGAAGTCTGTCCTTGGGAGGGTCTGTGAAGGTGGGAGTGTGTTTGGGGTGGGCGGAGGGGACAGCCACACTTTCCTGAACTTCTCAGACAGCTGGATCTGGGAGAAACACAAACCCCCACCTCCCAATTACTTTACAGAAGCCAGCCTTCCTAGGTGCGTGCTCCCCAGCCCTACCTCTCAGCTAGTCGAAAGCCTGGTCTTCCCCACTTTCTCATCCTCTTTCCTGTGCACCATAACTTCCCCAGCAGTAGTCTCCAGTGGGAATTTGGGAGGGCAGGACAGAAGCCAAATCCAGGCCCTGAGCAAACAGAACGCTAGATGATATCGTCAGGGAGCAGCAGGTATGCAGAGACCTGGGACCTACTCCTGTTTCTGCGACTGACATGCTGTGCACACTGTGCATGGACCCCATGGCACGATGCAGGACGGGGCTGCAGAACCCACACAAGCTTTGAGGTCAGACAGTCCACGAATCCCAGCTCTACCACCCACAGCTTTTCCTCTTCTCAGCTGTGTGGCCTTGGGCAAATTGCATAACCTCTCTGAAACTACTGTCATATCTTTAAAATGAGTAGGAAATGAGACCTCCTTTGCAAGGTAATTGTGAGGATTAAGTTGTGAGGGTTAATTGTTCTAGGTGCTTTCACCCAGAACAATACACCAGCATATAAAACTGACCTCCAACAAATATGAAGTCACTTTATCCTTGTCTGGCCTGTTCTGCCTCTTCAATTCTATGCAATGAGGCATAAAAACTCGGATGTCCTGGGCCTCCACGTTTTACATGTATAAAACTGGGGTATCCTGTAATCCCAGCACTTTGGGGGGCCAAGGTGGGCAGATCACCTGAGGTCAGGAGTTCGAGACCAGCTTGGCTAACATAGCAAAACCCTGTTTCTACTAAAAATACAAAAATAATTCGCCGGGCCTGGTGGCATGCACCTGTAATCCCAGCTACTCAGGAGGCTGAGGCAGGAGAATCGCTTGAACCTGGGAGGCGGAGGTTGCAGTGAGACAAGATCGCACCATTGCCCTCCAGCCTGGGCAACAAGAGCAAAACTCTGTCTCAGAAAAAATAAAAACAAAAACAAAAACGGGGTATCCATTGCTGTACTTCCCTGATCCCCTGAAATAATGCATACATCCTGCAGCCCAGTACTTAGCAGAGAGTAATTGCTCAATAAATGTCAGTTCCTTCCTCGTTCCTTTCTAGAAGAGGAAAGTGGGCTTAAAGTTCAACACCAGTCCAGGAAGCTAGTGCCAGGGAGCCCACAACTAAAGCAACTGTGTGGCTTGCACTATGATTTCTAACTAAGCCTGCATCAGCCAGTCTCTGCTCTCTGGTGGCTTGGACTCTCTCCCCATCTGTCTGTAAGAAGGACGCCCTTTCTTCCTACCTGGCGCGGCTGTTGTAAGTGCCAAATGAGAACTTGGATGGCATTGTATTCTGAACAAGAAAAAGTAAAATTTGGGGAGCACTTTCTCTGTGCTAGGCAATTAATTGGTGGTGCCTGGGGGCTGATCCACAAAGAGACAAGAAGACATGTTTTCTGCCCACATAGAGTTACAGTGGAAGTGAAAGGGCGGAAGTGACGAGTACAAGGTCATCCATGCAGATATACTCAAAGCGAGGTCGGCAAACCCTCATTGGAGTCAGCTAAAAATGTAAATTCCCTGGCCCCATCCCTGACCTCTAGAGACAGGATCTCTGACAGTGGGGCCCCGTAGTTTGTGCCTCAAATTTGAGAACCATTTATGGCTGGACGCGGTGGCTCACGCCTGTAATCCCAACACTTTGGGAGGCTGAGGCCGGCGGATCACCTGAGGTCAGGAGTTCGCGACCAGCCTGGCCAACGTGGTGAAACCCCATCTCTACGAAAAATGCAAAAATTATCTGGGCATGGTGGCAGGCGCCTATAATCCCAGCTACTCGGGAGGCTGAGGTAGGAGAATTGCTTGAACCCAGGAGACAGAGGTTGCAGTGAGCCGAGATCACGCCATTGCACTCCAGCCTGGGTGACAGAGCGAGACTCCGTCTCAAAAAAAAAAAGAAAAGAGAATAATGTATTTATAGGAGTGCAGAGAGTGAGTGCCACAGGTGTTCAGAAAGTGATAAACTCATCCAGGAAAGCCGCACCAGGGACATGTGCTCTGAGCATGGTCTTGAAGGATGGACAGGAGTGGCAGGCTATTCCCAGGGGGCAGATGGCACCATACTATCCCACTGTACTGTAATTGCACGTTACACGTATGTCCATGTCTGCTCCTTCCCACCCTACCCCCTTAAAATTGGGAGAGTCCACAGTGAATGAGAGGATGAGTTATGGATGTTAGGGCTTAAGCATGGTTGTTTAGGAGACAATAGAGAGCCAGTCCTGTTAATATTACAGGTTTAGGCTAAGACCAGATAAGTTTGGGTAAATAAAATAGAGCCAAATAGCCATAAAGCTTAAATGTGAGACTATAAGGTTTGGACTTTGGCCTTCAGATATAAGGGAAAATCTGAATTTATTGGGGCAGGGGAATGACATGAAGAAAGCAATCTTTCAGGAAGAGACATCTGAATTTTAAAAAGAGTGGGGGCTGTGTGTGGTGGCTCACGCCTGTAATCCCAGCACTTTGGGAGGCCAAGGCAGGTGGATCACAAGGTCAGGAGTTCGAGACCAACCTGGCCAATATGGTGAAACCCCGTCTCTACTAAAAATACAAAAATTAGCTGGGTGTGGTGGCGCGTGCCTGTAGTTCCAGCTACTCGGGAGGCAGAGGCAGAAGAATCTCTTGAACCCGGGAGGCAGAGGTTGCAGTGAGCTGAGATTGCGCCACTGCACTCCAGCCTGGGTGACAGAGCAAGACTCCGTCTCAAAAAATAAATAAAAATAAAAAGAGTAGGACTGAAAGACACAGGCACAGGGGGCTGTCACAACAGTCCAGGTGTGAGGCCCTCTATGACAAGGAGGGCATGAGGCTGCAATAAGATGGAAAGAGAAAGGAAGGGCAGGATGCAGAGAACGTGCCAGGGCAGGTGGGAAGGATTTGGTGACATTGGTGTGAAGGGAAAGGAAGAGGGCATCAAAGATGGTTTTGAGATTCTGATCTGGGGTGAACTGGAGGATAACAAGACTGTGGGAATAGGAAAGGTGGCAGGAGGGGATGGCTTATAGTACTTGTATACAAATTTATTTGCTTGTTTATTAATTACAGGGTCTCTCTCTGTTGCCCAGGCTGGAGTACAGGGGCACAATCGTAACTCCTGGGCTCAAGTGATCCTCCTGCCTCAGGCTCCTGAGTAACTTGGATTACAGGCACATGCCACCAGCCCCAGCTGATTTTTTCAAATTGTCTCACTATGTTGCCCAGGCTGGTCTCCAACTTCTGGGCTCAAGTGATACTTCCACCTTAGCCTCCTATTAGTTTTTCCCTTACAGCAATTCCTGCAATATATAAAAGGTCTTTACTTCAGTGAGCTGTGATTGCACCACTGCAATCTCCAGCTTGTCAGAGGATGACAGAGACCCTGTCTCCAAAAAAGAAAAAAAAAAAAAAAGGTCTTTATCACTCACAGTGTCTAGCAGAAGAAATGGGGTTGAAAGGTTAAACCACTGGCCAGGTAGAAGGCCAGTAAGTTAAGACCTGTTTCATCCTTGTTCTTCCTACTGTGCCATTTGTCTTGGGGAAGAAGAAGTTATCACAAGCATCCCTCTTCCATTCTCCCATTACACCTGCTTATATCTCCATTACTACACTTGTAATGTATTACAACTGTTTTTGTGTTTGTTTCTCTCATAAAACTTCAAGCTCTGGCCAGGCGCAGTGGCTCACGCCTGTAATCCCAGCACTTTGGGAGGCTGAGGCAGGAGGATCATCTGAGGCCAGGAGTTCAAGACCAGCCTGACCAATATGGTGAAACCCTGTCTCTACTAAAAATACAAAAATTAGCCAGGCGTGGTGGCAGGCGCTTGTAATCCCAGCTGCTCGGGAGGCTGAGACAGGAGAATTGCTTGAACCCAGGAGGCAGAGGTTGCAGTGAGCTGAGATTGCACCACTGCACTCCAGAGCGAGACTCTGTCTCAAACAAACAAAACTTCAAGCTCTTAAGGACAATGTCTTTTTAATTTTATTTATTTATTTTGCAGTATCCTCTCTTTGTGTTATAATAATCTATAACAATACCAAGCTCAGAACATACACCTAAAAAACATTGAGTGAATGAATACATAAGCTGCAAGCCTCTAAACAGAACTGTTGACAGGCAGTTGTAAATGCAGAACTGTAGCTCTTAGAGAAAGTATTTTTATTCTTTTAAACGAAAGGGCCAGGTTCAGCAGCTCACGCCTGTAATCCCAGCACTCAGGTGAGGCCGAGGCGGGTGGATCACCTGAGGCTGGGAATTGGAGACCAGCCTGCCCAACATGGTGAAACCCCATCTCTACTAAAAATTCAAAAATTAGCCAGGTGTGGTGCTGCATGCCTGTAAACCCAGCTACTCAGGAGGCTGAGGCAGGAGAATCGCTTGAGCCCGTGAGGTGGAGGTTGCAGTGAGCCGAGATTGCGCCACTGCACTCCAGCCTGGGTGACAGAGTGAGACCCTGTCTCTAAATAAATAATAAATAAATAAAAGGATGTTATCTCATTTTGATATTATGAGCATCACTGACCAAACATAGGATAATAAGGTAACTGTTAGGAGTGAAATTTGGTGATAGTCAATTCAGTTTAACAGATATTTGTTGAGTACTTGCCTACTGTGTGTAGAAGAGAAAAATAATGCCATAGTCTTAGCCCTTGGACAGCTCACAATCTGATGTGAGACATAGACATAATACCTAAATATTACACAAAACCAAATGCATTTGGTACAAATAGTGAAACAGTGGATCTTGGAAGTGCACAGAGAGAAGCAGCTACTTCTGACATGGTATTAGGCACAGCTTGCTGGAAAAGGAGGGTTTTGTTTTGTTTTTGTTTTTGAGAGGGAGTCTCGCCCAGGGATCCACCCGCCTCAGCCTCCCAAAGTGCTGGGATTATAGGCGTGAGCCACCGCGCCCAGCCAAAACGGAGGTATTTGAAAGAGGAGAAAGCTTTGCAATATGGAGAGTGGTGAGGAGGAGCACTTCATGAAGAAAAGCGTGAACTGTGGTGAGAAGCCAGAAGGCATGGTGGGGATGCCATGGGGCTGACAGGACTTTGGGTTTTATTCTGCAAACAGTAAGGAATCCTTGTAGGTATACGAGAAGAGGGATGATATCGTCTAATTTTAGTTCCAGGAAAACAGCTTCAGTGTGCAGAATAACTTGGAGAGTCTAGCATCATGACTCTAGACATGCAAACAAGGATCTCAGGATACGGGGGCCTGAAAGAGGATGGTGGCAGTGAGGGTAGAAAGGAGGAATCAGCATTCATCCATCGTTTAACCAGTTATTCTCTGCGCTTGATGAGATGTATGGGGTGAGAGAGAGGGAAGAGGAGATGATGGCTTTATTTAACCTCTCTGACTTTTTGTCAGGGAACAAAGCAACAGGGGAAAGCTTTTGAAGCACAATATAGTTTTTTTGTTTGTTTGTTTGTTTTGAGATGGAGTTTCGCTGTGTCACCCAGGCTGGAGTGCAGTGGCGCGATCTCAGCTCACTGCAACCTCCACCTCCTGGTTCAAGTGATTCTCCTGCCTCAGCTTCTCAAGTAGCTGGGATTACAGGTGCCCGCCACCACCCCCAGCTATTTTTTTTGGTATTTTTAGTAGAGATGGGGGTTTCACCATGTTGGCCAGGCTGGTTTCAAACTCCTGACCTCAAGTGACCGCCCGCCTCAGCCTCCCAAAGTCTTAGGATTACAGGTATGAGCCACCGCACCCAGCCAGGAAGTACAATATAGTTTACCAAAGTTTATGTTTATTATTCTGCTTTAATTATAAGGGATAGGTATTAGCATATCTATTTCAGGGATAAGGAAACTGAGACCCAGAGAGACTAAGTGTCTTGTCCAAAGTGATTCTGTTAAGAAGAACAGAGTAGGGGTTCAAATACCGGGGCCTTTCCTTCCTGTGTTCTACGATCTGGGACATGCCTTTGAGATGCTAGTGGGTCATCCTCGTGGAAGTATTCAGCCACCAGCTGACAGTGGGAATCTGGAGAGAAGTTAGAACTGGACAGGCAGACAGGACTCATCCACAGAGAGGCCAAGTTAAAAAATAGACTTGTTCTTTGAGGGAACAGAGAGGGAAAGGAGAAAAATGATTAGGAAAAGAATATTAGGTATAGACAAGGGAGCAAGAGAAAATGATCAGAGCAGTAGAAAACTATGAGGGCTCAGAGTCTCAGAAACCAAGAAGGACCAGGTGGTTTTTCTTTTTTTCCTCTCCTTCCCTGCTTGGCAGGGTTCTGTAAAGGGACCTCAGCGGTGAGGGAGAAGGCTGGGAGCAGTCAACACTCTAGATCCCCGCCCTTCCTGTCACCAAGCCATCCCCATCCCCCCGCCCCAAATCTCCTGAGCATCCCAGGATAACTTTGCTTTTATTGTTTTTATACAGTGGACTTCTGGGTTATATTTTTTTAAAAAAGAGTTTTTGCAATAAAAAGGTTGAAAACCATCGAGCTCAAAGAACCACCCTCCAAATTAGACAAAGCCAGCAAGACCCCGGCTCCATAAGTTGCCTACCCAGTCCCTGCCACCACAACTGGCTTTCCTGGATTGGGCCTCGGGTTGCACACAAGCCCTTGCTGGAGCACTCATCCTGTCATTCCAAACCTCTCCTCTACTCCCCAGACCAGTAAAGAAGAGTTTAGCTGGGAGTGAGGGGGCATTGAGAAAGACTGTGCTCTCTCTAAAAGCACTAAGGTGGAAGGTCAGGAACCCTTCTTGGGCCTCTCCAATAAAGGGCTGGGCAGAAAATTCCAGTTGAAAATCCAGAAAGAGGCCAGGCACAGTGGCTCACACCTGTAATCCCAGCACTTTGGGAGGCCGAGGCAGGCAGATCACCTGAGGTCAGGAGTTCAAGACCAGCATGGCCAACGTGGTGAAACCCTGTCTCTACCAAAAATACAAAAATTAGCTGGGCATGGTGGCACGTGCCTGTAATCCCAGCTAATCAGGAGGCTGAGGCAGGAGAATCGCTTGAACCCAGGAGGCGGAGGTTGCAGTGAGCCAACATCATGCCACTGCACTCCAGCCTGGGCGACAGGGGGAAGACTCCATCTCAAAAAAAGAAAATCCAGGAAGAGAAACACCTCCCAGGGAAGCCCCCATACCTAATGACTAACTTCTGTCTCTCCTGGGAGCCTTCTCTTTCAGGTGCCTGGGCAGGGGAGAGTTCTGGGAAGGAACCAGAACATTTTCTGAGTTCTGGAGCTGCCCTGAGATTCTCCTGGCAGGATGCGACAGCACCTGAGTACATCCTTAGTACCGCAGCCTTGGGTACTATAGCCAGGTGTTTCCCAAAATAGGAGAGCTGGGCTGTGCTGGGGAGAATGAGGAAATCAGCAGAACTGGGGGGATTCTGACGTGGGGGAGCTGGGACTCCTAGGTCCTTTTCCTCAAAGCAAACTGGCCAAGCTCTGCCTCCTCCCATGCCAACTTATCCTCTGTCACCATATTTCCTGAGCTGCTGTCACTCTGGGGCCACCCTCTCTGCTGCGCACTGTAGGCTGGGTGTCCTCTTGCTTGGTCTTTCAAGGTCAGTGAATCTCATCACTTAGCCTTTTTTCTTTTTTTTTCTTGAGACAGGGTCTCACTCTGTTGCCCAGGCTGGAGTGCGGTGGCGCGATCTCGGCTCCCTGCAACCTCCACCTCCTGGGTTCAAGCAATTCTCCAGCGTCGGCCTGCCAAGTAGCTAGGACTACGGGCACGCACAACCACACCCGGCTAATTTATATATATATTTTGGTAGAGACGGGGTTTCACTATGTGGCCAGAATGGTCTCAAACTCCTTGACCTCAAGTGATCCGCCCACCTCAGCCTCCCAAAGTGCTGGGACTACAGGCGTGAGTCACTGTGCCTGGCCCTACCACTTACTCTTTTCCAAGGCCTGTGGAGGTTTTGACAGGTAGGACAAGGAGTGAGTTCTAGCATCTCCCAATGGCTTGAATAAACAAGCCCATGTGCTGAGCGTGACACAGGTGCCATGGTCAGCTTCATTTTCAACTGAGGACAGAGCAAGAGAAGATTCAAGCCACTGTAACCTGTGGGTGGGACAAGGTTAAATAACAGGAAGGACTTACTGTCTGACCATGAAAAACAGGTGGCGAATAGCTGCTGTGATACCTTGTGGAGCATGGGTTTTCCAGGTGGGTTCCGCAGAGGCTAAAGGTGCTGAAGAGATGCCTCAAGAGCCAGCACAGGCAGGGGAGGGAAGCAGAGGAAATCAAACCTCCCCTTCAAACAGAACACCTCTGTCTTTTTCTCTCTTGTACACTAGGATCCTGCATACAATTGGAAAAGGGGAAAAGGATTCCGCTGCTTTATTTTTTATTTTTATTTATTTATTTATTTTTGAGACGGAGTCTCACTCTGTCGCCCAGGCTGGAGTGCAGTGGTGCGATCTGGGCTCACTGCAAGCTCCGCCTCCTGGGTTCACGCCATTCTCCTGCTTCAGCCTCCCAAGTAGCTGGGACTACAGGCGCCTGCCATCACGCCCGGCTAATTTTTTGTATTTTTTAGTGGAGACGGGGTTTCACCGTGTTAGCCAGGATGGTCTCGATCTCCTGACTTTGTGATCCGTCCGCCTCGGCCTCCCAAAGTGCTGGGATTACAGGCGTGAGCCACTGCGCGCGGCTGATTCTGCTGCTTTAGAAAAAAAAAAGTTTGAAAATTACTGTCATAAACTCTTGGACCATCGACATCCATCATTCTATTGGAGTAGGAGGCACTGGCAAATATTAGTTGAGCCGGGTTACAGGCTGCGGAGAAATGGGGCATCCCATCCAAAGGGGGAAAGGTATACTAGATAAGGTTTGGGGCGACCCAGCCACATTGGGACTCCTTGAAAAACCAGCCAGAGGTGGGGTAAGTGGCGCCAGGGAGCCTGCTTGCTCCCAGGTACCAATGGCCAGCTACAGCCAGGAGAGGCAAGTGGAAGGCAGAGGAACTAGCTGGGAAAAGGAGTCCATTTGCACAGGGCTGGCTGATTTGTTCAAGGTGGGAGGAACCTGGACAGGACCCAGTCGCTGGACTCTGAGACAGGAGCTGTGTGCTCTGTTGGCCATAAGCCCCTCCCCGCTGCTGACTTTAGGCTCCTCTTGTCCTTCCTTGCCCCCTTTTCTCAGCCTTGGGTAAGCTCAGGTCTGGAAATCACTTAGGAAAAGCAGATGAAGCTGACTCACAAGGTTCTGGGACTAAGGAGGCCTGGAGTCACTATAACTGCTCTAAGAACCACAGGACCCTGGGTGGATATTCACCAACATGGTGAAACCCCGTCTGTACTAAAAATGCAAAAATTAGCTGGGCGTAGTGGCGGGTGCCTGTAATCCCAGCTACTCGGGAGGCTGAGGCAGGAGCCAAGATTGCACCACTGCACTACAGCCTGGGTGACAGAGTGAGAACCCACCTCAAAAAAAAAAAAAAAAGAATAGGAAGAGTCCATAGGGTCATAGGAATTAACTGCAGGGAATGAGGCAGTTGCTGTCAATTAAAAAAAAAATCATTACGGAGCATCTACTCAGGGCTAGGTAACAATTAGGTAATAAGCAATACAAATGCTCCCTACCCTTGGTGGAGCTCATAGTCTGTGGGACAGGCAGACATTAAATACATGATTAAAAGTGTGAGTGGTAGACAAAGAAGCACAGGTGCTACTGAGGATTTGCAAGAGGAAGAACCTAATCTTATCTGGGCGTCAGGACAAGACCTTTGAAGAAAGGATATTTAAAGTGTAATGTGAACATGAGAACAGGGAAAGAATGCTGCAGACAAATATATGCAAAGATGCACAAGTGAGAGATCATCGTGCTTTCGGGAAACTTCACAAGAAGCCTGGTGAGGAAAGGGAACTGGCAAGAGATGTTCACGGGGTTGACCTATGGTTGGTGCCTTCAGGGTCAAGGACCCCAGGATTTAATTCAGATAGTTTGTGTCAGTTATCTGATGCTGGGTAACAGACTACTCCAAAATTTAGTGGCCCAAACAAGAATCATTTTTTCAGGATTCCGTGTGTTGGCTTGTAATTTTTCTACAGATCTTACCTGGGCTCACCCATGTGGCTGCATTCAGCTGGTACGTCAGCTGGGGGCTGGACTAACCCAGGCCTGTTGGGCCTCTGGTTCTGTGAAGTCTTTCATTTGGAAGGAGGCAAGACTGAGCTACTTCACACAGAATCTGAGGACAGCGTTCCAAGAGGGCAATTCCCAATGCACAAGTGCTTATCAAGCCTCTCCTTGCATCATTTGCTGATATCCTGTTGCCCACAGCCAGTCACATGGCTAAGCCCAGAATCACTGTCAGAGGGGATCCCACAAGGGCATGTATGGGGGGCAGGGTGGTTCATTAGTATAACAATCTATCACATACTTCCTCTCCAAATGGGAGAGACGGGAAGGTCAAGGAGATGAAAGACCACACTTAAGGCTTGGTCAGAACCAACGGATTCTTGTCCTAGCTTTGTGGCATGTGTAAGATGGGTGAAGTTGCTTACTCACTCTAGGTCTCACTTTCCTTCTCTGTAAAATGGAAGGCTTCTAAATCTCAACTTTAGCTGAAAGCCTTGTTATGCAAGAATATAGGCGTCTTCCCTCTTTAGCCATGAGGCCCACACAGAAGAAAATAGACTTCCTATTGAATAGGAAGAAGAATTGGAGCTAGAGCCCCCACTCCAGAGGCTTTTGCAAAAGTGCTATGACCTTGGGGTAGTACCAATAAAGGGTGTGGATTCTTAATAATGAGAGATGGTTCAGAATTGGAAAGAGTCTCCATCTCTCCAGGCCACTAAACAGATGCCCCTTGAAGGCGTTTTTCATCCAGAAGAATCTGAGCTATCGCTGTCTGCTGGTGAGAGCTGAGGCCAAGAAAGGTGGGATTTGGGGAACAAAGAGCTTACCCTAAGCTTGCCAGCTCCATACCTGCCTCATCACCCAAGATCTACTGCTGAGAACTGCAGGGGAACATGCAGAGTGAAACCTGGGCAGGTGTGCCTTTCCCTGTGGGGCTTGTTAGCACTTCCCATGAAGCTGCCTTCCCTCTGAGGCCCCCAGGGACACGTTTGTTTGTTAAATGATTGACATTGACCTAGTTCTGACCCCAGGCTGCAGCTCCCTGGGCATCTGTCTCCTGGGTCTGCCTGACCCCAGGGGACAAAGACGATGACTCCCGGATCACAGGCTGCGTAAATACAGGCAGGTGTCATGCCAGGGGCCAGGTGAGAGGAAGGCAGGTCTAAGCTAGAGCCACACCTATAACCTAAAACACCCATGGTTTGGGAGCCACTGAGAGATCCCTCCATCCCCCACCACCCAAAAAACAGGGTAGATTAGCTCTTTCACCTTTTCTTTCCTTCAACCATTCATTCATTCAAGAAACATTATTGCTAGGCACCGTGATACCTTAGTAGAACACTAAAGACATTTTAATAGTTTTAAATTCGATATGAGGGGAGGTGAGATTCAGTGTATAATTACAGAGTGACAAGTTCTATGGAAGATTTTATTTTATTTTGAGACAAGGTATCACTCTGTCACCCAGGCTGGAGTGCAATGGCACGATCTCAGCTCACTGCAACCTCCGCCTTCTGGGTTCAAGTGATTCTCGTGCTTCAGCCTCCCAAGTAGCTGGGATTACAGGTGTGCGCCACCATGCCTGGCTCATTTTTTCGTGTTTTTAATAGAGACAGAGTTTCACCATGTTGGCCAGGCTGGTCTTGAACTCTTGACTTCAAATGATCTGCCCGCCTTGGCCTCCCAAATTGTTGGGATTACAGGCGTGAGCCACCGCGCCTGGCCTGGAAGCATTTAAGTAAGAAAATATAACCTGGTCTCTCTCCCTAAGGAAGTCCCTTGAGCTCAGATGGCAGGATGTGTAGGGGATAAGTAGATAAACCTGCAAGTGGAGAGGAGGATGGTCCAGGCAGAGTGAAGCTGATACAACAGCCTTTGCGAGAGGGACCATGGCTGGTGTGGGGAACTGAGATATCTGAGGTCAGTGTGGCTGGCAGCAGAGCTTTATGGGTTTTTTGGTTGGTTTTGTTTTGTTTTGTTTTGTTTTGTTTTTGAGACAGAATCTTGCTCTGTTGCCCAGACGGGAGTGCAGTGGCGCCATCTCATCTCACTGCAATCTCCACCTTCCAGGTTCAAACGATTCTCCTGCCTCAGCCTTCCGAGTCGCTGGGATTACAGGTGCCTGCCACCACACCCAGCTAATTTTTGTATTTTTGTAGAGATGGGGTTTCACCATGTTGCCCAGGCTGGTCTGGAACTCCTGACCTCAGGTGATCCAACCACCTCAGCCTCCCAAAGTGCTGGGATTACAGGCGTGAGCCACCGCACCCGGCCAGCTTTACGTTTTTAATAGCAAAGGAAAACTGTTTACATAGGAGGGTTAACAGTCAAATTTGCACTTTGAAAAGATCACTCTGGCTGCAGTGCACAAAACAGATTGGACAGGTCAAGAGAAGATGTGCCAAAAGCAGCTGGGAAACTACTGTGATATTCCAGGGTGAGCTGATGATAGCTTGGCCTAGGGACAGCAAAAGAAATAAGGAATGAATACATTCAAGAGACTTGTAAGGAGCTTAATTGGACAGGACTTGTTGATGCACTGGATAGAGAGGTGAAGAAGAGGAAGGTGTTAGGATATGTCTGATACTGCTGACCTACAGAACAGATGGGTGATGCTGCCATCCACTAGTATAAGGAACACTGGAAGGCAGCCACCAGATGGAAAGGACTGCGTTGGGTCAGCTTGGGACATCCTGAATTTGACCTTTTTTTTTTTTTTGAGACGGTCTTGTTCTGTCACCCAGGCTGGAGTGCAGTGGCACAATCATGGTTCACTGCAACCTCAAACTCCTGGGCTCAAGCGATCCTTTCACCTCAGCCTCCTGAGTAGCAGGGACCACTGGTGCCCATCACCATGCCTGGCTAATTTTAAAAATTTTGTTTGTAGACATGGAGGTGTGTGGGAGGGGGTCTCACTATGTTGTCCAGGCTGGTCTCGAACTCCTGGCCTCAAGTGATCCTCTCGCCTTGGCCTCCCAAAGTGCTGGGATTACAGGTGTCAGCCCCTGCACCCAGCCCTTGAGGTATCTTTGAGGCACTTGGGTGCGTGCGTCGGGAGCTCAAAGGAGAGGAAAAAGCTGGAGTTAGGAGCTTAGACATCACCAGGATCTAGGTAGATGGCTTAGTGGGAGAGGGTCGTTAGAGAGGAAGAGGGCCAAAGCTCAAGCCTTGAGAAAGGAGCCTGCCAAGGAGACAGAGAACACAGGACCTGAGAAGATGAAGGCTGACTTGAAAAACACCTTCAGTGTTTGGTGACATGAAGTCACCGGTAACTGTAGTAAGGGCTGTTTTATAGTGGAGGAATGGAGGCGAAACCCAGTTTTAGAATGGGTTGAGGAATGCGTGGGAGGTGAAGAAATGGAGACAGCCTGGCTGAGCGCTTTGGTTGTGAAGGGAGAGGAGAGAGGGGACTGGAGGCGGATGTGAGATTAAGGAAGTTTTTTGTTTTGTTTTTGTTTTAATGAAGAGATGAGCATCTGTAAATGTCAACAGGAAGAATTCAGATTTGGTGGAGATGGGGCCAGGGTGGGGTGGCTGTATCTATGTGAGGGAAAAGGGCCAAGGAAGAGGTGGGTGCCTGGGAAGGGAGGAGGGACTTGACTCCCCAGCACAGGTGGCAGCTCATGAGGAGCCTGGAAGGGGCAGCCGCAGGCAGGTTGGTGTGGTTGGCTGTGGGAGATGAGGGCAGTCTCATCCCCTGGCCCAGTTCAGTGACCCGAGAGGGGAACCCAGCTGCTGGGGTTCGGCGGCTGCAGCCCCTCCACCGCTGCCTCTGCCCAGGCCGCCCTGAACTGCCCTGTTTCATAATGAGCAAGCAGTGCCTCAGCCTTGCCTCGGGCCCGTCCTGTTAAGAGCCCCCCCCATCCCCCCGCTTGGAATGGAGCAGGGGTGGGGAAAAGGCTGCCGGGACTGGCCAGGGCTCCCATTCGAAGCGCTGAAGGACAGGACCAGAATTACTTCTCTCGGGCGGGAGCACACCGCAGAGGGCAGACGGGTCGACATTTGCTCGGGAGAGAAGCCCAACTGTTTATTCTGGTTTTCTTTTGTGTGTGTGTGTAAGGTGGAGAGGGGAGGCAGAGAGCAGTGGGGACCTGAAATCGTAGTATTGGGGTGGGTGAGAGGGATGGGAGTGGAGGGGGACGTTCCTTCCTGGGCTCGGCCTGGCCCCCTTTGGGGTGGCAGGGGGAAAGGCTGGGGCTGGAAGGACAGCAAGAGCGCCCAGGGCCTCAGGGCTGGGGTGGGAGTACCCTGCAGAGAGCTCCCTCCTGCCTCGCAGGAGAGGAAGGGGGAGGCAGGGAGGGGCAGGGACAGCAGGAGCCCCCAGGTCAAAGCTCCACTCCAGTGTAAAGCAGTAGCCATATTTGCTTAGAACTTGCCGGATGTTCCCTCCCTTGCACAGGCCACAGAGACTTGTTGTGGAGGAGATCCTCTTTCTTTGGGGTCCAGTGATAGCAGGGAGCCCTGTAATATGAGGCCAGCCCCCCATGCTGGGAGCTGAGTCCTGAGAATGGGGAAGAGGGTTCGTGGGGAGAGGGTGGGTGAAGAAGCCTTCTTAATCATTAACCTGGTTGATTTCATCTGAACTGCTGAGCCTCCCAGCTCTATTGATTTTCTCTGAAAGCACAGCATCTGGAGCTGGTGGCTGCCCAGAGACCGGGGAGAGAGACCACGGGTAGAGGTAGGGGAAGAGGGGCAGGGAGGGGAATGGAAACCAGGCCAGGAGTGGGGGGCTGGGAAGGAGGGAGGAGACAAGGTCTGAGGGCCGGGAGATTGTCAGAGGAGTCTTTGGGGATGTGAGGAGGCCAGGAGGTCTAAGCAGGCACTGGGGGAGGGCACAGTCAGCACAGCCACAGAGGCACCACGGAGAGCAGGAAGGAGCCAGAGAGGATCTGGCAGAGAGGACGAAACTGAAGTCCAGAGAAGCACAGTGATCTGCTCAAGGTGACAGGGTCAGGGCCTGCACCAAAACTGAGGTCAGTTGATTTCACTGGACTGAGGAGAGAAGATACAGAAATGAAGGCCCCTGGGGCAGAGGAGAACCTGAGGTGATGGAAAGTCGGCAAGAGGCGAGATGCAACTTACAAATTACCATTTTTCTGAGGGTGGGGCCTTTCCTTTTTTTGCCTGTGAGGATATAGTAGACTTTCAAAAAATGGCTCTGGTCTGACTGAAGGTGGGGTCAGGCCATCAAAGGAGGAAGAAAGGGCCAAGGAGAAGTGATGCTAGAGGCCGGGCATGGTAGCTCACGCCTCAGCACTTTGGGAGGCCGAGGCAGGTGGATCACCTGAGGTCAGGAGTTCGAGACCAGCCTGGCCAACGTGGTGAAACCTCGTCTCTACTAAAAATACAAAAATTAGCCCTGCGTGGTAGCGCACACTTGTAATCCCAGCTACTCAGGAGACTGAGACAGGAGAATCACTTGAACCCAGGAGGCGGAGATGGCAGTGAGCCGAGATCGCGCCATTGCACTCCAGCCTGGGTAACAAGAGCGAAACTCCATCTCAAAAAAAAGAAGTGATGCTAGAAAGAGCTGGACAGAAGGGAACACCAAGACACCTGTCCATCTTCACTTAGCCAAATCCAGGGCCCTGACAAGATGGGTTTTCACCAGGACATTTTATGGGGCTCCTGGCTCCCCACTATTTCTGACAGTAGGATTCCTAGGTCTGTGTCACCTGTGAGACAGAAGGGGAGCCACATTCTGGTGGCAGGGACAGAACCACACGCATGGACACTGATGTGCCATCCTGGTCCCCACAGGTCCCCTGACCAGTACAGCTCCTAGAATAGGTCTTCTCTGAGCTGGAGGGGATAAGCCAGACTGCTTCCTGGGAGAATTGAAAAGGAGCAGGGGGCCCTGAAGACAGAATCAGTCAGGTACACAGTGAGCAGGGGTGATGTGACGGTAGAGAGACATGGGAACAGAGACAGCACACACACCACATAGCTCTGAGATGACGCACAAAATGTTATGACTCCATAGACTGAAGCAGACACAGCGTTTCTTTTCTTTTCTTTTTTTTTTTGAGACGGAGTGTTGCTCTCGTCCAGGCCGGAGTGCAGTGGTGTAATTTCGGCTCACTGCAACCTCCGCCTCCTGGGTTCAAGTGATTCTCCTGCCTCAGCCTCCCAAGTAGCTGGGATTATAGGCGTGCGTCACCACACCCGGCTAATCTTTGTATTTTTAGTAGAGATGGGATTTTACTACATTCACCAGGCTGGTCTTGAACTCCTGACCTCAAGTGATCCACCCGCCTTAGCCTCTCAAAGTGTTGGGATTACAGTTGTGAGCCACTGTGCTGGCCTCAGACACAGCATTTCTAAGGCCATGTTGAGGGTGCCAAAGGAAACCAAGATATTTTACCCCAGAATATACTACTTTGACGTATTTTGAGTCGGCTGTCAGAGGGCCAGCACACAGAAGTGGCCCTGCAAATCTGGCTTTTGAGGGAGATTTGCATCTGCAGAGAATCTGCATTGATGCAACCTGGCTTTCTCTGAGGCCCTCCCTGGTCCAAATCTAGGAAAGATTAACTGAAAGTCTGACATGTTTAAAGGTCTGAAAGACACATACATCACCTGTTTTCTCTGAGGGGTGTTACCTATGAGGTTTCATTCATATAAAAAGACCACTTTTACTGGCCTGGCCTCCGTTTATCCCTCCCATAACTATTTTTGCCAAAGTCCAAGTCCCTTTTTTTTTTGTTGTTGAGACAGGGTCTCTGTCGCCCAGGCTGGAGTGCAGTGGCATGGTCTCAGTTCACTGCAACCTCCACCTCCCAGGGTCAAGTGAGTCTCATGCCTCAGCCTCCTGAGTAGCTGGGACTACAGGCATGTGCCACCATGTCCAGCTAATTTTTGTATTTTTAGTAGAGACAGAGTTTCGTCCTGTTGGCCAGGCTGGTCTCAAACTCCTCACCTCAGGTGATCCACCTGCCTCAGCCTCCCATAGTGCTGGGATTACAGGGGTAAGCCACTGCACCTTGCCCAAGCTCCCATTCTTTCTGTAACCTCAAGATGGTATAAAATCATCAACCATCTGGCTATCTCTTTGACTTCCTATATTTTTTTGACTCCCTTGCATATTAGTTCTTCTACTAATCTGCCTTTTTTCAGTTGGTTTTTCAGCAGACCTGCAGAGGGCACAGGGGAAGTGTTCCTTTGGCCCCTGCAGCACCACAGGACCCCAGGTCCTGTCTGTGGTCGTGGTGGTAACGGGTGCCAGCCTGGACCAGTCCTGCATCGTGGAGCTTCACTCTGGACATTCTAAGGGGCAGACTGTGGCTGGGGCGTGAGGGATAATAAAGGTGGTGTGACCGAAGCCTCCTGTCTATACTGTCTTTTCTCTCCCCTTTCTCTGACAGCTCAACATCCTGGTGGATACAGGCAGCAGTAACTTTGCAGTGGGTGCTGCCCCCCACCCCTTCCTGCATCGCTACTACCAGAGGCAGCTGTGAGTCCTGGGGAGAGCCCGGGGGAAGTACCTTTTCCAAGGATCCAGGGCTAAGAAGGGTCAGGGGAGGGGTACAGAGAGAAAGAGTTGATCCTCAGATTTTCTTCTTGCCAGGGAAGGGGAAGGGCGAAAAAAAGACAGTGACCAGGAGAGACAGGGTGAAGTGGGTGGTGAGAGGAGCTATACCATGGGAAAGGGTGAATTGAGAGGTAGCCAGGAAGTGCTTCAGTGCTGAGACAGGGCAGCCTCCTGTGGGAGGGAAAGGAAGAAGAGCCCATAGCTCACAGAACAATCTTAGGGGGCCCATTTTCTCTGCCTGAATGGGGAGACGAAAACCCCACATCCCCTCGGTGTCTCTCAGTTCTCTAACACCAGCTAAGTCTAAGCTGAACAGGCCTCAGTGACGGCTCCCCTTGCTGTGTTCTTACCCAGGGGCCACTCTAGGTGGCTTTGCATAGTCCAAGGACATGAAGGAAAGGGTCTTTCATAAACCCCTCTGCCTAGACCAGTATCAGAACTGAAAGCTGAAATATCTCCTCCATGCACCACCCAGGGTGCCACCAGTTGGATTCAGCTTACTGGTGAAAGGGGGGTTGAAGAGGACTGGTGAAAGTGGGGGACTGGTGAAAGGGGGGTTGAAGTGGGCTTTAAGATAAGAGGCAGTGAGGGGTAATCTGGAAGCCCCCTTAGCATAAAAGCAGGAAGAAGAAGGGATGAGAGGACACCAATATCTGAGACATCAGTGTGTGCAAACGTGAGTAGAGGCTTAAATCCTATCCTTGGACTTGTAGGCAGCTGCAAAACGCACCTTCCCTGTTTCCTCTAATGTCCCAATCTAAAAGAAGCAGTCAGGGAGGAGGGTGCAGGTAGGATCGATGAAAGGGCATTCACTCCAGTTCCTCGTTCCAGTTCCATCACTGCCCCCACCACACACAGAAGCCCTGGTTAGTGGTGTGATTAAACACAGGTGGGGCTGCCACATGTTGAGCACGTTTCACAGAAGTGGTGTGTAATACCAACCTGCTTTTCTGAGATGCTTGAACAAACCCCTTCTCTAGAACTTGCTGTAGAGGTTCCACATTCACCCTGCCTGGCACTTTCTCTACCACTCGGATGGTACCACTAGGTTCCAAGGCAGTAAGAGAGTCAATGGTTCCTTTTCTCGGGGAGCTTGACGGAGCCAGAGGGCGGAAGAGATGCCCACTAGCTGTCCCTGCAGCAGCAGCAGCAGCAGGCACAATGCACAAAGCCCAGGCTTGTTCTTCACAGGGCCTGAGCTCAAGATCTAGGAATATGAGCAATAGATAGGAGAGCAAGCCTCACCAATGGTTCCCTTCATCTATCTGCAAGCCCACTTTACACTCTGTTCTGGGTGGTGAGTCTAGGGATGTTTTGCTGAGCAGCCTGAAAGCAGACTCTAGGATTCCCCTGAGATGAGATAAGGTGGTGTTTGGGAGTAAGTTTAACTTAGATCCTTATACCAGTTGTGGTTATGCATCCACAGATCTCTGCCTTCTTTCCACAGGTCCAGCACATACCGGGACCTCCGGAAGGGTGTGTATGTGCCCTACACCCAGGGCAAGTGGGAAGGGGAGCTGGGCACCGACCTGGTAAGCATCCCCCATGGCCCCAACGTCACTGTGCGTGCCAACATTGCTGCCATCACTGAATCAGACAAGTTCTTCATCAACGGCTCCAACTGGGAAGGCATCCTGGGGCTGGCCTATGCTGAGATTGCCAGGGTGAGAGGAACAGGGCTTGGCCCTACACACTCTATGCACACTGCACTATACAGAGAAGGAATTAGGAGAGAGAAGGGGAATTAGCAGAAGGAGGGCAACAATCAGTTTAAAGGATTATTTAACAGGGGTATAGGGTGGCAGTCTAAATTTTAGCCCTATAGAGGGCAGAACCATAGTGACAGAAGCTGTGATAGGTACAAGAATAGGCTGTGCTTTCTATGTACTCTTAAGATCTTTTTTTTTTTGAGACGGAGTTTCACTCTTGTTGCCCAAGCTGGAGTGCAATGGTGCAATCTTGGCTCACTGCAACCTCCACCTCCTCGGTTCAAGCGATTTTCCTGCCTCAGCCTCCCGAGTAGCTGGGATTATAGGCGCCCACCATGACGCCCGGCTAATTTTTTCTATTTTTAGTAGAAATGGGGTTTCATCATGTTAGCCAGGCTGGTCTCGAACTCCTGACCGCAGGTGATCCGCTCACCTCGGCCTTCCTAAGTGCTGGGATTACAGGCATGAACCACCGCGACCAGCCACTCTAAGATCTTTAATAAAGGCCCCCATAAATTTGAAGCAGGTTAGGCATAGGGGGATCAAAGATATATGAACCTGGCCAGGCGTGGTGGCTCACACCTGTAATCCCAGCACTTTGGGAGGCCAAGGCGAGCGGATGACCTGAGGTCAGAAGTTCAAGACCAGCCTGACCAACATGGTGAAACCCCATCTACCCCATCTCTACTGAAAACACAGAAATTAGCCGGGCATGTTGGCGCATGCCTATAATCCCAGCTACTCAGGAGGCTGAGGCACGAGAATCACTTGAACCCAGGAGGTGAAGGTTGCAGTGAGCCGAGATCGTAACATTGCACTCCAGCTTGGGCAACAAGAGCAAAACTCTGTCTCAAAAAAAAAAAAAAGATCTATGAATCTGTGAACCTATCAATACTGTCCTGTTTGCATTGCCAGGGCTCCTGCTAACCCTTCCTCTGCCAAATCTCAGTGCCTTAAGATGGTCTTTCCCAAGGAGCATCCCCCAAGCCTTCAAATTTGCCTTCCAGTTTAGACAGGAAGCTGGCCTCTGCCTTTAGGGCCGTATGAGGACTCACTCCTTGTCTCTTTCTGCCAAAGCCTGACGACTCCCTGGAGCCTTTCTTTGACTCTCTGGTAAAGCAGACCCACGTTCCCAACCTCTTCTCCCTGCAGCTTTGTGGTGCTGGCTTCCCCCTCAACCAGTCTGAAGTGCTGGCCTCTGTCGGAGGGAGCATGGTGAGTAGGTCCTCAGAGAGGGGAGGTCCTGGCATTGAGGGAGAGATGGGTGCCATCCTCTCCCCTTCCTGAAAGCTACACCACAGTTTTGGCTCCGATACTTAGAATCAGGAGGAACCTCTTTATATTCCCTACCCTTACTTTATTTTTCCATTCTTTTCTTTTTTGCGTTATTCCAGAAAGGAATCAAGGCACCTATGGTAAACTTGGAAAGGAAGGCAATTAGGAAAATTTCAAAGGAAATGAAAATAAGACCTGTTGAATTAAAATTATTCAGTTTGATGGTCAGAAGGCAGAGATATAAGAAGTTTGTCTATTTATTAATTAATTAGAACAATGGTGAATGGTTCTCCAATAAGCAGAGAAAATAAAACTTATAATATAAACAAATAACCATTCATTCAACATTTATTGTGGCAGTTTAGATTTAAATAACTTTATATCAAGGGCTGTATGATTCTGAAACAAATAATTAAAAATCCCGGAAAGTCTTTTCTCCTGAACACATTTAAGAAACTAGAAATCACTTTGGGTATGATTTGTTTAGAAGCAGGAAGATGAAAAGGGTAGCCTGTAGAAGACCTTGCCACCCCAAGAAATCACTGATCTTATTGCTTGGTCCTTGGGGGACTCACTCTCCTTCTGTGCCAGGACACGGGTACCTGCCTCTTTTTTTCCCTAGATCATTGGAGGTATCGACCACTCGCTGTACACAGGCAGTCTCTGGTATACACCCATCCGGCGGGAGTGGTATTATGAGGTGATCATTGTGCGGGTGGAGATCAATGGACAGGATCTGAAAATGGACTGCAAGGAGGTAAGAAAACCAAGGGAGAGCCTGGGAACATAAGGGGGTAGGCAGTACAATGTGAAGGAAGACTCTGGTTATCATGTTGGGAGGATGAGGCAGAGGTAATAGGACCTGCAGAAAGGGTTGGAAGTTGAGCCTAGAACAGTCAGGGGCTTAATGGTCACACAGCAGGATCTGCGGTTTGGGGCCTAGGGACTGGTAGTGAAAAAAAAAACATGGAACTAGTTCTGATGTCTGGACTCTAGTCACTGCCTTGCTTCGTAGCCTTGGGCAAGTCTTTTGTGAGACAGGGTGATAGAATGAAGAGTCTTGTCTTTGGAGTCAGGAAGACCCAGATCTGAATCTAGCTCTGATTTGTACTAGCTATGTACCCTTAGGCCAGTTACTATTCTGTGTCTCAGTTTCCTTATCTGCAAAACAGGTAAAAACAACTTTCTCAGAATATCAGAGATAATGTGTAAAGTGTTTATCTCTGTGGTTGGCAGTACTCAATAAAAGGTAACTAAATCATTTATGTCTTCCTTCCCTAGATTCTTATGTATGTTAAATTAGAATAGATATAAATGTACTAAGAAAAGTTAAAAGCGGCCGGGCGTGGCTGTAATCCCAGCACTCTGGGAGGCCAAGGCGGGGGCAGATCATTTGAGGTCAGAAATTCGAGACCAGCCTGGTCAACATGGTGAAACCCCATCTCTACTAAAAATAGCCAGGCGTGGTGGCAGGCACCTGTAGTCCCAGCTACTTGGGAGGCTGAGGCAAAAGAATGGTTTGAATCCAGGAGGCAGAGGTTAGAGTGAGCCGAGATCACGCCACTGTACTCCAGCCTGGGTGACAGAGCTAATACTCCATCTCAAAAAAAAAAAAAAAAAAAAAAAAAAGAAAAGAAAAGTTAAAAGCACTAAACAAGGTATTTTTATTTTCAAGTTTGGAGACTACCTGCCCACCCAAGATTAACAAGAATAAACATTTACCAAGTGCCTTCTCTCTGCTGGGCACGATTCTAAGTGCTTTACATTGCTGATTTATTTAATCCTTACAATAACCCTTTGAGGTAGGTGCTATTTTTATCCTCACTTTAGAGATGAAGGAACTGAGGCACAGAGGTTAACTTGTCCAAGCAGGTACACTTAGGAGGTGCCAAAGCCAAGATGCCAACCCAGCTGGGGCCCCAGCAGTAACCCCCTACTGCCCAGAGCCCAGCATCAAAAACCTTTTGACTCTTTTAACTCTCTCTTTTCCCTCTTAGTACAACTATGACAAGAGCATTGTGGACAGTGGCACCACCAACCTTCGTTTGCCCAAGAAAGTGTTTGAAGCTGCAGTCAAATCCATCAAGGCAGCCTCCTCCGTGAGTGGACTAAGGATGGGGGTAAAAGAGATGGTACAGTGTCAGAGGGAGGCGGTGAGAGTCACATTCTTCAGCAACAGCCAAGATGTCTGCACTTAGACCCTTCTACTCAGAGCTCTTAAAACACTCTTCCCCTAGCCAGGCGTGGTGGCTCACGCCTGTAATCCCAGCACTTTGGGAGGCCAAGGTGGGCAGATCACTAGGTCAGGAGTTCAAGACCAGCCTGACCAACAGGGTGAAATCCCATCTCTACTAAAAGTACAAAAATTAGCTGGGTGTGGTGGCGCACGCCTGTAATCCTAGCTACTCAGGGGGCTGAGACAGGAGAATCACTTTAACTCAGGACGGTGGAGGTTGCGGTGAGCCATGATTGCGCCACTGCACTCCAGCCTGGGCAACAGAGTGAGACACTGTTTCAAAAAAAAAAAAAAAACTCTTCCCCTTTATGGCTGTCACTTTGCTCATCACACAATCCCCCGGTACAAAAGTTTGACATCACACTCCCTCTCTCTTCCTGTAATCCTCTGGTTGGTTTACCCCTCCCCACTTTAGATATTTCACTGGAAAAGCAAATGAAGGGCCCAGTTAATGTATCTGAACATGGGAGGGGCGAGATGATAAAGAGGCTTTTCCTCATTGTTATCCCCTTCTTGCCAACACAGACGGAGAAGTTCCCTGATGGTTTCTGGCTAGGAGAGCAGCTGGTGTGCTGGCAAGCAGGCACCACCCCTTGGAACATTTTCCCAGTCATCTCACTCTACCTAATGGGTGAGGTTACCAACCAGTCCTTCCGCATCACCATCCTTCCGCAGGTATGTCCCAGCCTGAGTCAGGGGGATCTCTCTTAAAAGTACACACTGGGAGACAGTGAGCAGGTATGGCTTGCCAGAACTTGGAAGACAAAACAGATGAGTAGTGTCCAGCAGTAAAGGGGTCTCAGAAAACCCGTTAGAGCTCAGGGATGGTAAAGGGAAGGGCATAGATGCCTACAAGGCAGAGATGGGGTGAAGGAGAGTGAGGAAGACACTCACCCTGTGATTGCTTACCCCTAGCAATACCTGCGGCCAGTGGAAGATGTGGCCACGTCCCAAGACGACTGTTACAAGTTTGCCATCTCACAGTCATCCACGGGCACTGTTATGGGAGCTGTTATCATGGAGGGCTTCTACGTTGTCTTTGATCGGGCCCGAAAACGAATTGGCTTTGCTGTCAGCGCTTGCCATGGTGAGAGTGCCAGGGCTGAGGGTTTGGGGTCAGTCTCTCCATATTTTCCTTGTCAAACAACAGTTAGTATACCTGGGTCCCTGTCAGTTTAGGGGAGGGTAGTAACAGTTGCCTCAAACCCAAGTCAACAGTTGTGCAAAAGCTAGTGTCAATGCTCGTCCTTTTTTTGTACTGCCTGCCATAATGACCACTGCCTGGATTGGTAACCTCTGTTGGAAACCCAGAGCAGCAAGAGTTACCTGGGTACCTTGGGAAGCTCTTGATGCAAGGGTAGCAGACTGAGTCTATAGTGACCCTGTCAGCTGCCACATGGTGAGGCTGAATGCTACTTCAGAAAGGTGGCAGGGTTTTGCAGTTGGATTTCAGCAGCAGAAAGTTAAGTTTACTAGATTTGGCTTTTGGTCAAGGGGGTGGCTTTTGGTCAACTCAGAACTACTGACTTTTAGTTATCACTCCTACCAGCTGGGTATACAAGGAAGGGCTGCTGCTCCCAGTGACTTGGGAAGGGAGACAGGCCTCTACCTGGTGCTGGCTTCCCAGCCTGCTCCTAAATATCTCCTGGGAAGGAGATTAGATAACTTCTGCATGGGCTAATTTCAAGGCCTCACTATCAGGAAGTTCTTTTTGTTAACTCCTCTATGACAATGAGAGCTGTCCATTCACATTTGCCCTCTCCCCAGTGCACGATGAGTTCAGGACGGCAGCGGTGGAAGGCCCTTTTGTCACCTTGGACATGGAAGACTGTGGCTACAACATTCCACAGACAGATGAGTCAACCCTCATGACCATAGCCTATGTCATGGCTGCCATCTGCGCCCTCTTCATGCTGCCACTCTGCCTCATGGTGTGTCAGTGGCGCTGCCTCCGCTGCCTGCGCCAGCAGCATGATGACTTTGCTGATGACATCTCCCTGCTGAAGTGAGGAGGCCCATGGGCAGAAGATAGAGATTCCCCTGGACCACACCTCCGTGGTTCACTTTGGTCACAAGTAGGAGACACAGATGGCACCTGTGGCCAGAGCACCTCAGGACCCTCCCCACCCACCAAATGCCTCTGCCTTGATGGAGAAGGAAAAGGCTGGCAAGGTGGGTTCCAGGGACTGTACCTGTAGGAAACAGAAAAGAGAAGAAAGAAGCACTCTGCTGGCGGGAATACTCTTGGTCACCTCAAATTTAAGTCGGGAAATTCTGCTGCTTGAAACTTCAGCCCTGAACCTTTGTCCACCATTCCTTTAAATTCTCCAACCCAAAGTATTCTTCTTTTCTTAGTTTCAGAAGTACTGGCATCACACGCAGGTTACCTTGGCGTGTGTCCCTGTGGTACCCTGGCAGAGAAGAGACCAAGCTTGTTTCCCTGCTGGCCAAAGTCAGTAGGAGAGGATGCACAGTTTGCTATTTGCTTTAGAGACAGGGACTGTATAAACAAGCCTAACATTGGTGCAAAGATTGCCTCTTGAATTAAAAAAAAAAACTAGATTGACTATTTATACAAATGGGGGCGGCTGGAAAGAGGAGAAGGAGAGGGAGTACAAAGACAGGGAATAGTGGGATCAAAGCTAGGAAAGGCAGAAACACAACCACTCACCAGTCCTAGTTTTAGACCTCATCTCCAAGATAGCATCCCATCTCAGAAGATGGGTGTTGTTTTCAATGTTTTCTTTTCTGTGGTTGCAGCCTGACCAAAAGTGAGATGGGAAGGGCTTATCTAGCCAAAGAGCTCTTTTTTAGCTCTCTTAAATGAAGTGCCCACTAAGAAGTTCCACTTAACACATGAATTTCTGCCATATTAATTTCATTGTCTCTATCTGAACCACCCTTTATTCTACATATGATAGGCAGCACTGAAATATCCTAACCCCCTAAGCTCCAGGTGCCCTGTGGGAGAGCAACTGGACTATAGCAGGGCTGGGCTCTGTCTTCCTGGTCATAGGCTCACTCTTTCCCCCAAATCTTCCTCTGGAGCTTTGCAGCCAAGGTGCTAAAAGGAATAGGTAGGAGACCTCTTCTATCTAATCCTTAAAAGCATAATGTTGAACATTCATTCAACAGCTGATGCCCTATAACCCCTGCCTGGATTTCTTCCTATTAGGCTATAAGAAGTAGCAAGATCTTTACATAATTCAGAGTGGTTTCATTGCCTTCCTACCCTCTCTAATGGCCCCTCCATTTATTTGACTAAAGCATCACACAGTGGCACTAGCATTATACCAAGAGTATGAGAAATACAGTGCTTTATGGCTCTAACATTACTGCCTTCAGTATCAAGGCTGCCTGGAGAAAGGATGGCAGCCTCAGGGCTTCCTTATGTCCTCCACCACAAGAGCTCCTTGATGAAGGTCATCTTTTTCCCCTATCCTGTTCTTCCCCTCCCCGCTCCTAATGGTACGTGGGTACCCAGGCTGGTTCTTGGGCTAGGTAGTGGGGACCAAGTTCATTACCTCCCTATCAGTTCTAGCATAGTAAACTACGGTACCAGTGTTAGTGGGAAGAGCTGGGTTTTCCTAGTATACCCACTGCATCCTACTCCTACCTGGTCAACCCGCTGCTTCCAGGTATGGGACCTGCTAAGTGTGGAATTACCTGATAAGGGAGAGGGAAATACAAGGAGGGCCTCTGGTGTTCCTGGCCTCAGCCAGCTGCCCACAAGCCATAAACCAATAAAACAAGAATACTGAGTCAGTTTTTTATCTGGGTTCTCTTCATTCCCACTGCACTTGGTGCTGCTTTGGCTGACTGGGAACACCCCATAACTACAGAGTCTGACAGGAAGACTGGAGACTGTCCACTTCTAGCTCGGAACTTACTGTGTAAATAAACTTTCAGAACTGCTACCATGAAGTGAAAATGCCACATTTTGCTTTATAATTTCTACCCATGTTGGGAAAAACTGGCTTTTTCCCAGCCCTTTCCAGGGCATAAAACTCAACCCCTTCGATAGCAAGTCCCATCAGCCTATTATTTTTTTAAAGAAAACTTGCACTTGTTTTTCTTTTTACAGTTACTTCCTTCCTGCCCCAAAATTATAAACTCTAAGTGTAAAAAAAAGTCTTAACAACAGCTTCTTGCTTGTAAAAATATGTATTATACATCTGTATTTTTAAATTCTGCTCCTGAAAAATGACTGTCCCATTCTCCACTCACTGCATTTGGGGCCTTTCCCATTGGTCTGCATGTCTTTTATCATTGCAGGCCAGTGGACAGAGGGAGAAGGGAGAACAGGGGTCGCCAACACTTGTGTTGCTTTCTGACTGATCCTGAACAAGAAAGAGTAACACTGAGGCGCTCGCTCCCATGCACAACTCTCCAAAACACTTATCCTCCTGCAAGAGTGGGCTTTCCAGGGTCTTTACTGGGAAGCAGTTAAGCCCCCTCCTCACCCCTTCCTTTTTTCTTTCTTTACTCCTTTGGCTTCAAAGGATTTTGGAAAAGAAACAATATGCTTTACACTCATTTTCAATTTCTAAATTTGCAGGGGATACTGAAAAATACGGCAGGTGGCCTAAGGCTGCTGTAAAGTTGAGGGGAGAGGAAATCTTAAGATTACAAGATAAAAAACGAATCCCCTAAACAAAAAGAACAATAGAACTGGTCTTCCATTTTGCCACCTTTCCTGTTCATGACAGCTACTAACCTGGAGACAGTAACATTTCATTAACCAAAGAAAGTGGGTCACCTGACCTCTGAAGAGCTGAGTACTCAGGCCACTCCAATCACCCTACAAGATGCCAAGGAGGTCCCAGGAAGTCCAGCTCCTTAAACTGACGCTAGTCAATAAACCTGGGCAAGTGAGGCAAGAGAAATGAGGAAGAATCCATCTGTGAGGTGATAGGCAAGGATGAAAGACAAAGAAGGAAAAGAGTATCAAAGGCAGAAAGGAGATCATTTAGTTGGGTCTGAAAGGAAAAGTCTTTGCTATCCGACATGTACTGCTAGTACCTGTAAGCATTTTAGGTCCCAGAATGGAAAAAAAAATCAGCTATTGGTAATATAATAATGTCCTTTCCCTGGAGTCAGTTTTTTTAAAAAGTTAACTCTTAGTTTTTACTTGTTTAATTCTAAAAGAGAAGGGAGCTGAGGCCATTCCCTGTAGGAGTAAAGATAAAAGGATAGGAAAAGATTCAAAGCTCTAATAGAGTCACAGCTTTCCCAGGTATAAAACCTAAAATTAAGAAGTACAATAAGCAGAGGTGGAAAATGATCTAGTTCCTGATAGCTACCCACAGAGCAAGTGATTTATAAATTTGAAATCCAAACTACTTTCTTAATATCACTTTGGTCTCCATTTTTCCCAGGACAGGAAATATGTCCCCCCCTAACTTTCTTGCTTCAAAAATTAAAATCCAGCATCCCAAGATCATTCTACAAGTAATTTTGCACAGACATCTCCTCACCCCAGTGCCTGTCTGGAGCTCACCCAAGGTCACCAAACAACTTGGTTGTGAACCAACTGCCTTAACCTTCTGGGGGAGGGGGATTAGCTAGACTAGGAGACCAGAAGTGAATGGGAAAGGGTGAGGACTTCACAATGTTGGCCTGTCAGAGCTTGATTAGAAGCCAAGACAGTGGCAGCAAAGGAAGACTTGGCCCAGGAAAAACCTGTGGGTTGTGCTAATTTCTGTCCAGAAAATAGGGTGGACAGAAGCTTGTGGGGTACATGGAGGAATTGGGACCTGGTTATGTTGTTATTCTCGGACTGTGAATTTTGGTGATGTAAAACAGAATATTCTGTAAACCTAATGTCTGTATAAATAATGAGCGTTAACACAGTAAAATATTCAATAAGAAGTCAAACTACTAGGGTTACTTTTTTTTCCTCAATCAGAGTCTCATTTTATCCATTTGGAGTAGAGTGGCTAAAACAATACTGAGGCTTCTGGAGGCTTTCGGTAAGCAAGGCATCTGGTTGGACAGTGGGTGAGCACCAGGCTTTAAATCTGCATACATGAGCCTTAAGGAAATGGACTAGAGGCTGAGCCAAACCAAAGCAGAATGGCCTTAGAGCAACAGCAGGTTCCTAGGTGGTTTTTATATTGTATTTGAAAACAGCCCTGGGCAGGGATATCATAATTTCAAGGCCAAACTAAACATCATCTTCCCTACAATCTGCATCCCCCAAAGGAATTGCAAGATGAGGGGGAACAGACTGTTTCTGCATAATATACATAGTTTCATTTACGAACATTGGAATACAGACTTTCTATACACACATTACCTATATAATAAAAATGTACATGGCATGAGTATATGTCACTGTATAAATATAGAGTTTTAGAAATCTTGAACCCGCGCTTCCTGTTCACATCAGTTTCTCTTCTTCTTCCTCCCCAGTCAGGTCCGTCATTTAAGAGTTGGACAAAAGGGACAAGTGTCATTTGTGTTGGTCTGGGCCCAGAATTTGATACACTGGAAAGAAAGAAAGACACACCTCAGGTTTATCTGGAAAAACAAAGGGAAGGAAGGAGAGAATGCCAATAAGGTTCAACAAGGCCTAAGTCAGAAAAGTTCTTACACTGAGGTACAAGAGGGGCTTTTTTTGTTGCTGTTCTTTTTTCTTTTTTTGAGACCCAGTCTCACTCTATTGCCCAGGCTGGCGTGCAGTGGTGTGATCTCAGCTCACTGGAACCTCTGCTTCCTGGGTTCAAGCTATTCTCCTGCCTCAGCCTCCCGAGTAGCTGGGATTACAGGCGTTCACCACCGTTCCTGGCTAATTTTTGTATTTTTAGTAGGGATGGGGTTTCACTTTGTTGGCCAGGCTGGTCTCGAACTCCTGGCCTCAAGTGATCTGCCTGCCTCAGCCTCCCAAAGTGCTGGGATTACAGGTGTGAGCCACCGCGCCTGGCCCCAAGAAGGGCTATTCAATGGCTCTTACCCTAAAAGAATCCTCAGTGCAAGTGAACCTGTCCTTTTTATGAGGAACATTAACAATGAGCTGTTGAAAATGTTCATGATGCTGCTTTTTGTTGAATGTCTAGTGTGGCTTGCTCCCCCTTAGGATCCATTTTGCCTGAGATGAGCATCTCTGTTCTAAGACCTGACACCCTCAAATCTTATTCAGGAATTTTTCTTACCAAGAATTTAGATGTAAATTCAGTTTCTACCTCTTGGAAAAGCAAAATGAACAAAACAAAATGTTGTTAAGAGGGAATCATCCCTGCTACTAAGAGACTTAACTCTGCTGGCAACATAAAAAAATAGGAATGACTTGTCAGTCTGTGAAGATAATCTCTAACCGGCAAGCCCTCCAAGCTGTTCTGTTAATGGAGTTACTAATCTCATACTCAGGTCCTCCATTCCATTCCTCTCATCTAGGCAAAGTCTTCTGACAATGCTACATTTTGAACAATAGTTAGATATGTGGGATTATCACTCATTGTCAATTTTCCAAGAAAGTTATTTAGTGCGCAGTATGAATTGCTTATCCAGTCCCCTGAAGGGAATGGGGTAAAAAGCTGAGAGATCCTAACTGCAGTATTCTGAATTCTGCTAATGTTTAAGCCACAATTTACTGAAAACCTTATGATTAGACATTAGAGACCAGGTGCACTGGCTCACGCATGTAATCCCAGCACTTTGGGAGGCTGAGGCAGGAGGATCACCTGAGCCCAGGAGTTTGGGACCAGCCTGGGCAACATAACAAGACCTTCTCTCTACTAAAAAAGAAAAAAAAAATTAGCTGGGCATGATGGCATGTGCCTGTAATCTCAGCTACTCAAGAGACTGAAGCACCTTGAGCCTAGGGGATTGAGGCTATAGTGAGCTATAATCGTGCCACTGCATTCCAGTCTGGGCAACAGAAAGAAACCCTATCTCAAAAAACAAAACAAAAAAAAGGCTGGGCACGGTGGCTCACGCCTGTACTCCCAACACTTTGGGAGGCTGAGATGGGCGGATCACAAGGTCAGGAGTTCGAGACCAGCCTGGCCAATATGGTGAAACCCTGTCTCTACTAAAAATACAAAAATTAGCCAGGCATGTTGGCAGGCGCCTGTAGTCCCAGCTACTCAGGAGGCTGAGGCAGGAGAATCACTTGAACCTGAGAGGTGGAGGTTGCGGTGAGCTGAGATCACACCACTGCACTCCAGCCTGGGCAACAGAGCGAGACTCTGTCTAAAACAAAACAAAACAAAACAAAAAAGATATTAATGATGAGCACCAACACAGTAAAAGAAAAGTTATTTTAGCTGTCAGGGAAAAAAAAGAGTAGAAAATGAGAAAGAAAAATTATTTTAGCTGTCAGAAGAAAAAGTGTAGAAAATGAGGAAGGTCTGTAACACCTACCTCCTTGTGCAATACATGGGTACACGCCATTGGATGCAGCTCACTGGGCTGGACGAGTTTCTGGCACATTAGACATAGCTTACAGGTGGCTGGAGCCTGTAGAACAGAGGCGGCATGATCAAAAGGTAAGGAACCTCTGGGTCTCCTTGCCTTTTATGCCCATAATTCCATGCAGCAAAAAGATTTATATCAAAAGAAACAAAAATCCAAATATAGATTCTTGCCTAAAATATTTGCATTTTCCCAGTAGGGCTGCAAATAACCCAACTGATGGTTTCTTCCTGCACTCCACCTGTAAACCCACTCCTTCCTCACCTCCAGCTTCTCCATATCACAGTGTTCAAAGAAAAAGAGTCTTACATGTGAAGACCTTCCAGGATATGAAACTTGGGCAGAAGGCAAGAACATTGGGGTACTGATTTGGGCCAGTGGAGCAGGGAACAAGGCCCGGATGCGACCAAGTGGCTGTAGGTAGAAACATTGTCAGAGTAAGGGAAGAGAGTCTGAGTAACAGAGCATATCACAAAAATCACTTATTTCCCAGTCCAGGAAAGGAAAAAAGCAGACTAGCTACCTCTGACTGGAATGCTTCTTCCCACCCCACATTTTTCTGAAATCTACCTCTTCCCCAGCCCTCAACATGCCTAAGTTCTCTCCCAAGTGGCTTTTCTCACCTGAGTACTTGCTGCCACCCGCTCATGTTCTGCCAGTCGTGCAGCAACCAACTGGATAAGTTCCTCCATGGTCAGGCCTGCCATGGTGGTACGTGCTGTCTTGATCTGCTGAAGAATGTTGGTCATCTGGGCCCTGAGGAAAAAAAATGTTGAGGGAGAGAAAGCCTATGCTATACCCACGGGGAACACCCATGTAACCTCCTCTGTTTTAACCCATAAGCATTTCTCTGATAGAGACATCTGAATCAGTCCTTGAAGGTACTTACTTATTGCACTGTGGGAACCGGGTCAGCAGCTTCTCCAGGATCTTCTCCAGTTTGTCTACTGGTTGGGGCCGGGGAGTTTCAGCAGAAGCCTTAACACCGCCCAAGCCTGGGGGAGGTGGGATGGAGGCGGCAGGGGGCATGTGTGGACCGTGGGGGCTGACAAGGGAACCCAAGCCAGGGCTATTTCTGCCATGGGAGCCAGGAAGGGGTGAGGAAGGCTGGCTGGGCTGGGAAAGGGCAGGGTTCAGGATTGGGAAAGACAAGGAGCGGGGATCTGCACTGGGCATAACCATGGGCATTGTGACCTGCCCAATGGAGAAGGGCATCCGAGGAGCCAGAGAGGGACTGGGTTGAAACACCTGAAGCATGAAGTCTGTCTGCAGAGGAGAAGAGGTAGAGGACGAGAGAGAAAGGAAGAAAAAGAAAGTTTAGGAAACTGGAGAAGACATCAATGAACAACTCTTGCACTGAATAGGGATGGTCCCAATATCTTCATAAAAAGAACACGCAGAAGACTCTGCTGCTGCTACCAACACAGAAAGGTGAACTTCCCCCCAAAGCCACTCTCTTACCTCTGATGGGGGTGGAGGTAAAGTGGGAGTAGGGATTTGAGGAAGGCTGCTCAGCTTGGCTCCGTTCCTCACTAACTGGATATGACTATTAAATTGGTCCTAAAAAAAAAAAGGATTATTTTTACTGCTGAACTGACTCAGGCTCTCTAGAAAGACAGCACCATCCATTATCAGGAAAACAAAAGGAATAGTAGGATAGGCCCCAAATGGCAATGCAAAAGGCTACCTCCCAATTGCTGGAAGTGTTAAGCACAGACTAACACTGACTGAATGATGACTCATAGATACACTTACACGAACATTCTTTTTCATTATCCGAACTCCATTCAGTCTCGTCTCCCACTCCTGTTTGGAACGAACTGTCTCCAGTGTTGGGGGAGTTGACCTTTCAAGAAACCAACAGGAATTTACAGATTTAAAGAAAGCCCTGCTAGGAACAGTGACTCACGCCTGTAATCCCAGCACAAGAGGCCAAGGCGGGCAGATCACTTGAGCTCAGGAGTTCTAGACCAGCCTGGGCAATGTGGCTAAACCCTGTCTCTTAAAAAAATGCAAAATTAGCCAGGTGTGGTGGCTCACGCCTATAGTCCCAGCTACTTGGCAGGCTGAGGTAGGAGGATGGCTTGTGCTCAGGAGATGGAGGTTGCAGTGAGCCAAGATGGCACCACTGCACAACAGAGGGAGACCCTGTCATTAAAAAAAAAAAAAAAAAAAAAGCCCTATTCCTAATTCTCTGAGATAGCAAAAGCAAAATAGTAGCTGGCTAATTGCCGTTGAGAAGAGGTGGGAGCAGGTGCAGGAGAAGCCCAAGATTCGAATTCCTTTGCCTCACTTTAACTCCAGTATCTTTTAAGTAATTGAGAAAGAGAACCAACAACAGAGAGAGGGTTCTTGTCTGCCTGAAAATGCCACAAGGGTCCTCCAAGTTCCATGGCAGAAAGAAAATAAATGACTACATAGGAAATGAATCTCCAAAGATCATTGTTATGCTTTATAGGTTAACAGATGCTGGTTATTTTTTATTTTTTAGAGACAGGGTCTCACTGTCACCTAGGCTGGAGTGCAGTGATGCCATCAAAGCTCACTGCAGCCTCGGCCTCCTGGGCACAAGTGATCCTCCTGCCTCGACCTCCCAAAGTGCTGGGATTACAGGAGCATGCTATTACGTCTGGCTTTAACAGATAGTGTTTATCCAAATGGAAACAAAACATTAAAAAATGCAAAACTATAAAACTGTAGCAGGGAAGAGTTACAGTACAGAACTTTAGAATGTGAGAGGAAAAACCACTGAGCAATTGCTACTGCAGACAGAGATAGCCTTACAATTCCTGTGCAGATAGAATAAGTGCCAGACTAGCTGGCCTAGGAATGAAAAAACCTAAACAAACAAACAAACAAACTGCAAAACAATTAAAGCTCTAGAACGGAAAGGTACTTACTTGAGGTAAGTAAGGTGCAATTCTGCCTCTTTTTCTGCTTCTTCTAGTTTCAGTACCAGTAACTCTTTCCGGCTCTCTAGTGATAAGATCTAAGGAAGCCACACACATATAAATACTTTATTAATTTTACATACACAAAGGTACCTCTAGGTAGTGAAAACAAATGCTTACTGGCTCTCCTATTACAATGCCAAAAGTAGATACCATCTGGAAGCCTGAAACTAAGACTTTCAAGATATCAGCTCCTCTTCTCACCTCTGCCTTCCAGGCCCGTTCAGTCTCTTCCATAATGTTCCTATTTATTTCGCCATCCTGATTCTTGAGTCTATCCAGTTCCATTTCCCACACCTCTCTGTAAGATAAGAAACCAAGAACAAGACTAAGGAAGAAAGATAAGCTTGTTGAGAGATACCAGGGCAAAAGTACAACCCAAAATTGGTCAGCCAAGTATGTTACAGGAAGTCTTACTCTAAGTATTAACTATACTTATTTTTCTTTCTTCTTTATTCTTTGCTAATCAAAAGAGAGCTGGAGTATAAGTATCAAATATAGATACAGACAAATAATGTTTACAGTGGTCTGCAGTTGCATAATGGCCCTATATTTGAAAGTAAAAACGTTGTGACCGGGCGTGGTGGCTGACGCCTGTAATCCCAGCACTTTGGAAGTCCAAGATGGGCAGATCACTTGAAATCAGGAGTTTGAGACCAGTCTGGCCAGCGTGGTGAAACCCCATCTCTACTAAAAATACAAAAATTAGCTGGGCGTGATGGCGCACGCCTGTCGCCTAGTCCCAGCTACTCAGAAGGGTGAGGCAAGATAATTGCTTGAACCTGGGAGGCGCAGGTTGCAGTGAGCCGAGATTGCACCACTGCACTCCAGCCTAGGCTACAAAGCGAGACTCTGTCTCAAAAAAAAAAAAAAAAAAAAAAAAAAGTTTGTATCTCCACTTGCTAAAATAAAGTTACCTACAGCAGGAAAAAGACTGCATCTTAGAACAAAAGCCCTCCATTGAAGGCAGAACATTCTTCTACGTTCAAGAGGATTCAAAACCATTATGGCATTCTGCATTCTTATTTCCCAACATGTCTTTTAGTATGGGTCCTGAAGAATGAATGCAGGACCAAACACAGGGGTCCACTTTTTTGTTTGTTTGTTTTTTATAGACAGGGTCTTACTCTGTTGCCCAGACCAGAGTACAGTGCTATGACCTTGGTTCACTGCAGCCTCAACCCCCTGGGCTCAAGCAATCTTCTTGCCTTAGCCTCCCAAGTTGCTGGGACTACGGACACAAGCCAGCACGCCTGGCTGATGCTTACTTATTATTTTTTGTAGAGACAGGGGTCTCACTTTGTTCTACAGGCTGTTCTCAAACTCCTGGGATCAAGTGATCCTGCCACCTCGGCCTCCCACAGTGCTGGGATTACAGGCTACTGTGCCTGGCCAGAGGCCTACTTAATATTCATCCTTAATGCAGCAAATCACTAATTCGCTACTAAGCACAGTGATACAAGTTTATTAATTTTCAAGTTTTCCTAGCTATAGTAAATATGCTTCAAAAGGAAAAAAATGTTCTCTTCATACCTCAGGACTTCTCATTTTCTTTGGTTTCCTCCCTCCTTACATGTTTTCCCCCCACTCAGCATGACAGTGACCAACTCTCCTGGTTTGCCCAGTACTGAGGGATTTCCCAGGATGGATGACTTTCAGTGCTAAAACTGGGATGGGTGATCACCCTACTCAGAACTATAGAGGCCGTTAAGCAACACAGCCAGCAAAGGAATTTCCTTATATTACATTTGATTGTGGTAAAGTTTTATAGCTGGAAGCCTGGATTACCAAGATCAGTGGACAGAATAGGATGAAAATACTTAAATTATCTCCCCGACATTTTAGAAAAGTAAAAATAAAATAAGAAGAAAAGCTTGGGAAGAGTTACATGTTTTGTTTTGTTTTGAGACAGAGTCTCACTCTGTCACCCAGGCTAGAGTGCAATGGCGTGATCTTGGCTCATGGCATCCTCCGCCTCCTGGGTTCAAGCGATTCTCCTGCCTCAGCCTCCCGAGTAGGTGGTACTACAGGCACGTGCCACCACACCCACCTAATTTTTTGTATTTTTAGTAGAGACAGGGTTTCACCATGTTAGCCAGGATGGTCTCGATCTCCTGACCTCGTGATCCACCCGCCTCGGCCTCCCAAAGTGCTGGGATTACAGGTGTGAGCCTCTGCGCCCGGCCAAGAGTTACATCTTAAGAGAAATGTTCCCACTTTTCTTTTTTTTTTTTTGAGAGGGAGTCTCTATCTGTTGCCCAGTCTGGAGTGCAGTGACACAATCTTGGCTCACTGCAGCCTCCACCTCTCAGGTTCAAATGATTCTCCTGCCTCAGCCTCCCGAGTAGCTGGATTACAGGCACCCACCACCATGCGCAGCTAATTTTTTTTGTATTTTTAGTAGAGATGGGGTTTTGCCATGTTGGCCAGGCTGGTCTCGAACTCCTAACCTCAGGTGATCCACCCACCTCAGCCTCCCAAAGTGCTGGGATTATAGGCGTGAGCCACCACGCCTGGCCCCCACTTTTCTTCAGTGAGAGAAACTTTTATTCCCCTTCTGTTTTTGTAGTAACCTTACATATACAAAAGAGAGCAATCTACTTAACAGAAGTTTATGAGGCCCTTTCCTCTCACATATTCTTGCTTTTGACCCAATTCTCCACATATCCCTGGTTCTCTATTTCATGTATAGGTAGAGAGGGTGTGTGTGTGTGTGTGTTACACACTTATTCAATCTCTGACATCAGCCCTCTACTGACAAGGTATATTCATCTATTAGAAATGAGAAGTAGGTGGGCATTTTCTGCCTTAATCTCCAGGTATTGCTTCCCCAAATTAACTTCCTAGCAGAGAACACATTATCTAACAATTTTTTTTTAAGGCTGTCACCCAAGCTGGGGTACACAGGCGGGATCTCGGCTCACTGCAACCTCCACCCCCCAGGTTCAGGCAATTCTCCTGCCTTAGCCTCCCAAGTAGCTGGGACTACAGATGCGTACCACCACATCTGGCTAATTTTTGTATTTTTAGTAGAAACAGGGTTTTGCCATGTTGGTCAGGGTGGTCTTGAACTCCTGACCTCAGGTGATCCACCAGCCTCAGCCTCCCAAAGTGCTGGAATTACAAGTGTGAGCCACTATACCCAGCCTAATAATTCTTTAGACAAAGATTTTATAGGCAGCTGTGTTTTCTTGCTACAACACATATTCCCTCAGTTCCAAAATATACAAAATATATGAAGAGTCAGAATGCTCTTACCATAAAAATATGTGAAATACATTACAGAGTCAATCCATCTAGCCTACTATTCACTCTGACAATCGGATAATTGTAAGAAAACATGACAGTTGCCTTCTGTGACTGATGTTATCCTTGAAGATTATAGATGCTCACTGAACATCTCTTTCATTAAACACATTGTCAACTACAAATATAAACTTATATTAGAAAAATCCTCTTATGTCAATGGAAACATTCCACATATTCACAAACAAAAAATCTTTTCCTTTGGGTTTTTTGCCACATTCACCTCACTGGGATCTAACAAAAGGAACTACATGCAACAATAGCAAAAATGGTTAAGAAATTATTTTCTTATTTTCTTTTTTTTAGAGAGAGGGTTTCACTGTATTGTCCAGGCTGGAGTACACTGGCATGATCATAACTCACTGTAACCTTGAACTCCTGAACTCCCACCTCAAATTCCTGAGTAACTAGGACTATAAGCATGTATCATCATGCCCAGCAAATTTTTTAATTTTTTGAGAGAAAGAGTCCCACTATATTGCCCAAGCTGGTCTGGAACTCCTGGACTCAAGTGATCTTCCTGAACTGGCCTCCCAAAGCTCTGGGATTACAAGCATGAGCCACTGTGCCCGGCCTTGTTCCAGTTCTGAGGGGGAATGCTTTCAGCTTTTCTCTCTTCAGTATGATGGTGGCTGTGAGTTTGTCATATATGGCTTTTATTATTTTGAGGTATGTTCCTTCTGTGCCTAATTTGTTGAGGGTTTTTTTTACCACAAAGGGATACAGGATTTTATCAAATGCTTTTTCTAAATCTATTGAAATGATCATATGGTTTTTAATTCGGTTTATGTGGTGAATCACATTTATTGACTTGTGTATGCTGAGCCATCCTTGCCTCACTGGGATGAAGCCCACTCGATTGTGCTGAATTATCTTTTTGATATGCTGTTCAATTTGGTTTTGCTAGTACTTTGTTGAGGACTTTTGCATCTATGTTCATCAGGGATACTGGTCTGCAGTTTTCTTTTTTTGTTGTGTCCTTTCCTGGCTTTGGTATCAGGGTGAGACTGGCTTTGTAGAATGAGTTAGAGAGGATTCCTTCCTTCTTGATCTTCTGGAATAGTTCCAGTAGGATTGGTATCAGTTCTTTGAATGTCTGGTAGAATTTGGCTGTGAATCCATCTGGACCTGGGATGTCTTGGTTGGGAGATTTTTTAAATTACTGATTCAATCAAACTACTTGCTATTGGTCTGTTCAAGATTTCTATTTCTTCCTGGTTCAAGCTTGGGGGGTTGTGTGTTTCCAGGAATTTATCCAGTTCATCTAGGTTTTCTGGTTTGTATACATATATGTGTTCACAGCAGTCTCAGATGATCTTTTCTATTTCCGTGGTATCAGTTATGGTATCTCTATTTTCATTTTTGACTAAGTTTATTTGAATCCTCTCACAGCTAATCTACCTAATGGTCTATTATTTTTGCTTATCGTTTCAAAGAAACAACTTTTAATTTTATTGATCCTTTGTATTTTTTGGTTTCAATTTTGTTTAGTTCTGTTCTTTGTTATTTCTTTTCTTCTGCTAGCTTTGGGTTTGGTTTCTTCCTGTTTTTTTAGTTCCTTGAGGTGTGATATTATTAGACTGTCAATTTGTGACCTGTCTTTTTGATGAAGGCATTTGGCACTATAAACTTCCCTCTTAGTATTGCTTTTGCTGTATCTGAGATTTTGATAACTTCTGTCACCGTTATCAATCATTTTTAAAAAATTTTAATTTCTATCTTGATTTCATTGTTAACTCAAAGATCATTCAGGACAGGTTGTTTAATTTCTAATTTCTATAGGTTTGAGAGTTCCTCTTCAAACTGATTTCTAGTTTTATACTGCTAGGGTCTGAGAAAACACTTAATATTATTTCTATTTTAAAAAATATTAAGACTTGTTTTGTAGCCTATCATATGGCCTATCTTGAAAAATGTGCCACTAGGCCAGGTGCAGTGGCTCACACCTGTAATCTCAGTTGTTTCTGGAGGCTGAGGTGGGTGGATCACTTGAGGTCAGGAGTTCAAGACCAGCCTGGCCAACATGGCAAAACCCCGTCTCTACAAAAAAAAAAAATTTACAAAAATTAGCCAGACATCATGGCGCCCATCTGTGTTCTACTTGGGAGGCTAAGGCAGAAGAACTGCTTGAACCCGGGAAGCGGAGGTTGCAGTGAGCTGAGATTGTGCCATTGCACTCTGGCCTGGGCAACAAGAGTAAAACTCTGTCTCAAAAAAAAAAAAAAAAGAGCCATGGCTGGGCACGGTCGCTCACGCCTGTAATCCCAGAACTTTGGGAGGCCAAGGTGGGCAGATAACCTAAGGTCAGGAGTTCGAGACTAGCCTGGCCCAACAGGGTGAAACCTCGTCTCTACTAAAAATACAAAAAAAAAATTAGCCGAGTGTGGTAGTGGGCACCTGTAATCCCAGCTACTCAGGAGGCTGAGGCAGGAGAACTTCTTGAACCCAGGAGGCGGAGGTTACAGTGAGCCAAGATTGTGCCATTGCACTCCAGCCTGGGCAACAAGAGCAAGTCTCCATCTCAAAAAAAAAAAAAAAAAAAAAAAGAAGTCATTTGTTTTCCCAGTACTAGGGGCTTTCTCCTCTCTCCCCTTCATCTAGTAAGATAGCATATTGGCCCCAAATTCTAACTAACTACTCCTTTGAGTTACCCACCACTGAGTTCTTCCATGTGTATGCACATTGCACATGTAAATAAACTGTTTTTCCCTCCTGTTAATCTGTTATTTTGAAACTGTCCCTATAAACTGTATGAAATTCATCGGGGAAGAAGAGGGGGGAGAAACGAAAATAAACGAGGCTTGCAGCACATGCAGTGTTTATCATGAGGTCAGCTTGCTCTCTGACTAGCTACTTCACCAGTGTTTTGCGCCTGCTGCCTCAGAATCACATAGACCCTGCTACGAGATTAAAGTTCCCCTTAAGTGTTCTATAGACAACATGAACATTATAAAACATTAAGTTTTCCCTTTAAGATATTCTTTCAGATCCTGCATAGCAGTGAAATTATTGACATCAGCCTGTCTGAAGGACCCCACTGACGCCAGTTGGTCTGAAGGATCCCAGAGGAGCTGACTCACCAAAGAATGCAGTTTCCACATCTTGATGATTTCATCCCCCGTATCCCAACCAATCAACGACCTCAATTTTCCCGCCCCTTACCTTCCACAATCCCCTTAAAACTTAAAATACCAGCCCATAACTCCTCAGGGGAAATGGATTTGAGGGTCTCCTCCCATGTCCTCACTCAATGCTCTGCAATCATTAAACTCTTTCTCTGCTGCAAACCCTGCTGTTTCAATGTAACTGATCTACTACTGCACAGTGGTCATATAAACTTGTTGGTTGTATAACATTTTGTCAGTTTAATTTTCGGGCCCTAATCTCTGAACATAAGAAGGTAGAGAAAAGGTTTCTCTTCCCCATACAACATACAAAATATCCATTCAAAATTCAAGGTAAACAAATAGATTTTAATGTACTAGTATAAAAAACTTCACAGCTTGCCAGGAATAAAACTAAAATAATAATAATAATAATAAAACAAATTTGAAAATAAAAGCAAAATGTTTATTGATGTGGTTTCAGATCCCACAATGCAACTTAACTTTAAGACACCAACACACCAAGTTTTGGCATAGTATCAAAGATGAATATCCACAATTATCTTTAAAAGCTATTAAAATACTCTTTGCTTTCCAACTACTTATCTGCATATCATCAGATTTTCTTTATATATTTCAACCAAAACAATATATTGCAATCAATTAAATATAGCAGATAAGTAAGCTTCTTCCATGAAAGAGATTTACAAAATGTAAACAATATTATTATTCTAACTAAACTGATCTTTATCTGAAAAATATTTTTCATAGAAAATATGCTATTTAACACATAGGTTTATTATTTTAAAATAAATTAATGCATAAATATTAAATTTTTTCTCAGTTTTAATTTCTGGTTCAGTATATACTGATAGATAAAATCCATATAAACAAAACCTCTTTGGGGTCCTTGTTAATTACTAAGAGTTTAAAAGGGTCCTTAGACTAAAATGTTTCAGCACCTCTAATCTACTATACTCCCATCTCATCTCTACCCACATGGATAATTTTTAGCATCTAGTCATATTCCTTATTTTCTACCCTTTACAACAACCTTTGTGAACTCAATATCCATATTCATGATCCATATGAGACTAAGACCTTGGAGTTCTTCCTCCTCCTAAACTTCATTCCTTGACAATTGCCTACCAGGAAAGCCATTTCTTTCTTTTTAAAAAAAAAAAAAAAATTTTAATTTTACTTTAAGTTCCGGAATACTAGTGCAGAATATGTAGGTTTGTTACATAGGTATACATGTGCCATGGTGGTTTGCTCCACCTATCAACCCGTCATCTAGGTTTTAAGCCCCGCATACATTAGCTATTTGTCCTAATGCTCTCCCTCCTCTTCCTCCCTACCCCCCCAACTGACCCTGGTGTGTGTTGTTCCCCTTTCTGTGGCCATGTGTTCTCACTGTTCAACTCCCACTTATGAGTAAGAACATGCGGTGTTTGGTTTTCTGGCAGCAAAGCCACCCCTTAAACCATATTAACACACGGAAAGTCTACACTGAAAACCTCAAACTTTGGTCCAGGCAAGGTGGCTCAAGGTGGTGGTTGGTGGTTGTTTTTAGAGACAGGGTTTCACTGTGTTACCCAGGCTGGAGTACAGTGGCACAATCGTAAGCTCACTGGAACCTCAAACTCATGGGCTCTAGTGATTCTCCTGCCTCAGCCTCCCAAGTAGCTACAGGCATATACCACCATGCCTGGCTACCAGCACTTTGGAAGGCCAAAGTAGGAGGATCACTTGAGCCCAGGAGTTCAAGACTAGCCTGGGCAACATGGCAAGACCCTCGCCTCTAAGAAAAATAAAAAGATTAACTGGGCACGGTGGTGTGCTCCTGCAGTCCTAGCTACTTGGGAGGCTGAGGTGGGAGGACTGCTTAAGCCCAGGAGGTAGAGGCTACAGTGAGCTATCATCACACTACAGCCTGTATGATGCAGCGAGACCCTGTCTCAAAACAAAATACAACAACAACAAAAAAACACCTCAAACTTTGTTCTGTCATTTTGTGACCACGACCTCCTTTCTAATCACCATTCCAACCCTTCACAAGGAATTAATGAGAACTGATCAACTCCTAGTACACTATCCAGGCCATTAGCTTCATTTCTAGCTCCTTTTCCACTAATGTTTACTACACATACTAGCATGGATATCCTGCAAATACTTCAAATTTAACCTGTCCAGAAGATAATTTAGGACTCTGCTTCTGCCTGAAATGGAGTACCAGGGACAGATTTATCCTGTGGCCCTAAAGAACTAAACAACTGGACAAAACATATGAAACAATGTTTTCAAACACTGGACAATAGGCAGCACAGGACTATGATCATTGAGAAAGGAATACACATGAAAGCAGCCCTACAATTGCTCCAGCTCACTGCCTGGAGGCAGTTTCCAGTCTGCAGCACAGGGACGGCAAATGCAAACAGAGCTGGCATTGTTGCTAAATAAGAGACAAAAACGGGTTCACAGAGGCCAAGGTGGCTAGAATTTTGAGGGCATAATACAAAGAGTAGGAGCTGTCTTCTTGGCCTTGTTAGGGTACAGAAAACGATACCCCAAAATACGATGCTTTGAATTAAAGAAAACTGGCTGGGCGAAGTGACTCACACCTGTAATCCCAGCACTTTGGGAGGCTGAGGCAGGCGGATCACTTGAACACAGGAGTTTGAGACCAGACTGGGCAACATGGCAAAAACCTGTCTCTACTAAAAATACAAAAATTAGCCAAGCGTGGTGGCACATACCTGTAATCCCATCTACTTGGGTGGCTGAGACAGGAGAATCACTTGAGCCCAAAAGGCAGGGGCTGCTACAGTGAGCCAAGATCATGCCACTGCACTCTAGCCTGGGGGACAGAGCCACATTCTGTCTCAAAAAAAAGAAAAAAGAAAACTGAGGCAAGATGTGGTGGCTCACACCTGTAATCCCAACACTTTGTGAGGCACAGGCAGGAGGACTGCTTGAGTCCAGGCATTTGAGTTGAGACCAGCCTGCACAACACAGTGAGACCCTGTCTCTACAAAAAATAAAAATAAATTAGGCTGGGTGAGGTGGCTCATGCCTGTAATCCCAGCACTTTGGGAGGCCAAGGCGGGTGGATCACCTGAGGTCAGGAGTTCAAGACCAGCCTGACCAACATGGCAAAACCCTGTCTGTACTAAAAATACAAAAATTAGCCGGGTGTGGTAGTAGGCACCTGTAGTCCCAGCTACCGGGGGGGTGGGGGAGTGGGGGGCTAAGGCAGACAGAACTGCTTGAACCCGGGAGGTGGAGGTTGCAGTGAGCCCACATCGTGCCACTGCACTCCAGCCTGGGTGACAGACAGAGACTCCATCTCAAAAAAATTAAAATAAGTAAATAAATTAGAGTGGTGTGGTGGCACATGCTTGTAGGCCCAGCTACTTGGGAGGCAAAGGTGGAAGGATCATCGCAGCCCAGGAGGTCAAGGCTGCAGTCAGCCGTGATCGTGCTACTATACTGCAGCCTGGACAACAGAGCAACTGAGTAAGACCCTGACTCAAAAAAAAAAAAAAAAAAAAAAAAAAGAAAAGAAAAGAAAAGAAAATTGAAAAGCCTCAGAAATAAGCCTCAGAACCAAGGTCTATCTCCAACCTTCCCCCAAGCCCATCTCTCTGGTCCTCTTTCCAGAAGCACCAAGAGGGATTATCTTTGGAATTTCCTTATCTAAGAAAATTCTTATCTCTGCAAAAGAAATGCAACTGTCTTAAGATCCCCCACCTAGGAATCTCACCAAACAACAATGAAAGATTCACTACCAGAGAAGAGAAGAGACTGGAAGTCATCAACACGTCCAGGTAAGACTTTTCATTTATAGATGGTCCCTGACTTATGATGAGGTTACATCCGAATAAACCCATTGTAAATTGATTGGGTAAGTTGATTTTTGACTCATGATAGTTTCAACTTATGATGACATTTTCTGGACATAGCCCCATAGTAAGTCAAGGAGTACACAAAATGTGTATTGTTTTCCTAGTATCATAAAGTGGAAAAATCGTAAGTCAAACCATTGTAAGTTAGGGACATCTGTATGCTTCTGAGGACAGTTCAGACAGATTACCTGGGAAACAACAGGCATAAGACAACCTTTGTTAGGCCAAGCACAGTGGCTCCAGTGGCTCACGCCTGTAATCCCAGTACTTTGGGAGGCCGAGACGGGTGGATTGCTTGAGCTCAGGTGTTCGAGACCAGCCCGGGCAACATGGCAAAATCCCATCTCTACCCAAAACACAAAAATTAGCAGGGCATGGTGGCACACACCTATTGTCCCAGCTACTCAGGAAGCTAAGGTGGGAGGATCACCTGAGCCTGGGGAGGTCGAGGCTGTGGTGAGCCATGATCATGCCACTGCACTCCAGGCTGGGTGACAGAGTGAGACCTTGTCTCAAAAAAAGAAAGACAACTTTTGTTCACAGTGAAGTTCTGCCCCTCATCTTCCTGCCACCTCCCCCAAAGTTCAAAAGAACCTTGTCCCAGGCCATTGTTGTTTAGGTTCATTCTTTTTTTTATTTTTCATTTTTTATTTTTAGAGATGAATTCTAGCTACATTGCCTAGGCTGGTCTCAAACTCCTGGCCTCAAGCAATCCTCCTCCCTCAGACTCCCAGCTGCTGGGATTACAGGCATGAGCAACTGCACCCAGCATTTGGGCTCATTCTTTTCCCCTGAAAATAATTTACTCTTATAACCTTCATCTCCCCTTCCCTGTTAAAGAAGGGTAGGTATATAAGCATCTGGACTTTATTGGGTTATCATTCTCCTGCAATTCCCCTGTGCTTACTATGCACATGAAATAAATTTTATATGCTTTTTTATCCTATTAATCTACCTTCTGTCAGTTAATTTTTAGTGAACTTTTAGAGGGCAAAGAGAACGCTTTCCCTCTTTAACCCTATAGCCTCTCAAACTTATGAATCATTGCCAAGAAGAAAAAGAGCGCTCTTCCATGTTCATGAATCAGAAGACTCAATATTGTTAAGATGTCAATTGTTCCCAAACTGATCTACAGATTCTATACAAACCCAATCAAATTCCAAGCAAGCTGTTTGTAAAAGCTGATAATTTGATTTCAAAATGTATATGAAAATAAAAAGTCTCTAGAATATTCAAAACAATTTTGGAAAAAACACCAAAGCTGGAAGATGCACTGATTTCAACATTTACTACACAGTTACAAGGAAAGACAAACAGATCGATGTAATGGAATAGACAGTAAAGAAACAGAGCCACACTTATGTGGTATAAGGGAAAATACAATTAAAAATAAGAGATTTAATTCTCCCTGTTGAAAATAATAAAAAAGACTCCCCCCGACCCCAATCTTGTCTTTCAAATTTTCTTTCACTCTCCTTTTCAAATATACGTAAATCTTTCTAAAGGCCAAAAATAGTCACACAAATCAGGAATGTTTCAAGGACCTGGGAGCCATCTTTTTGAAATGCAAACATCAAAGGAGACAGCTTCCCTATCTCCCAGTTCCCAGTAGGAAGGTAAGAGCCTAACTCTGAAGAGCACCTTGCTCCAATTTACAGAACCACCTCCTGTCAGAACAATATGACTAAGAACAGTTTGTTTCTCCTCCAGATAAAGCCAGTACAGGTGGTCTCCCCAATTACCATAATAAAGTTAGGACAAACTATGTGTGACAAATGGTGCTGTCAAGTCCTCTTACTTGAGGACTAACAATTGTTTATCTTAAAAGTGTGTATTGTAAAGGGTTACCTTGGCTTGGCTACCTACATAAGGGAGTAAGATTCTATCAGTCTTTGCAATATCTCAGTGGATTTGTGATGTGCATCACATCTGATTTAATGTTTATTCAATAATAAAACTGTTGTCTTTCTCTACCGCCTTAGTGAGAGGTTTTCTGGGATGCAAGAAGATTTTCATTTTTTAAATTGTATTTCCCCAACAGTGGTCATTTTAGGTTCTACAGAAGTGCCAAGGTACCTCAATGGGGAAAGGATAATCTTTTCAACAAATGGTGCTGGAACATGTATGTATATTTATAACCAAAAAAATAAGCCTTTTTTTTTTTTCAGACATGATCTTGCTCTGTCGCCCAGGCTGGAATGCAGTGGTGCAATTTCAGCTCACTGCAACCTCCACCTCCTGGGCACAAGCAATCCTCCCACCTCAGCCTCCCAAGTAGCTGGGACCACAGGCATGCACTACCACTCTCGGCTAATTTTCTTTTTTTCTTTTTTTTGTATTTTTTGTAGAGACGGGGGTTTCATTATGTTGCCCAAACTGGTCTCCAACTCCTCAGCTCAAGCAATCCACCCACCTCGGCCTCCCAAACTGCTGAAATTACAGGTGTGAGCCATTGCACCTGACCAAGAAAATGAACCCTGACCCTTACTTCATACCAGATTGAAAAATTAACTCAAAATAGATCATAGGTCTAAATGTAAAAGTTAAAACTATTAACCTCCAAGAAGAAGGTGATCTTGGGTTGGGCAAAGATTTCTTGGGCCACAAAATACATGAACCACAACAAAAACTGGCAAGCGAGACTTCATCAAAATTTTGCCTTTTGTGCTTCAAAAGACACTGTTACAAAAATGCAAGGGCAAGCCACAAACCAGAAAAAAATACTGGTGAAATACATATCTGATAAAATCACTTATAGAGAATGTATAAAGAACGCCTATAATTCAATACTCTGGAGGCTGATATGAGAGCACTGTCTGAGCCCAAGAGTTTGAGATCAGCCTGGGCACCACAGCGAGTGCTGGGTTTACACGCATGAGCCACCATGTCTGGCCCCCAACCTTTTTTTTTTTTTTTTTTTGTGAGGCAGGAGAATTGCTTGAACCCAGGAGGCAGAGATTGCCGTGAGCCGAGATCGTGCCATTGCATTCCAGCCTGGGTGAAGAAGTGAGACTCTGTCTCAAAAAAAAAAAAAGAAAAAGAAGAAAGAAAATAAATAAATTATCCAATATGAGAAATAGAACAAAAAAATTGCAAAGAAATGAAGAGAGCCTCAGTGAGCTGTCGGACAATATCAAAAGGTCTAACTCACCTGACAGTGGAGTCCCAGGAGGAAAAAGGGGAATAGGGCAGAAAAAAATATTTGAAAATTATGTCAGAAAATTTCATAAATTTGGCCAGGTGTGGTGACTCACACCTGTAATCCCAGCGCTTTGGGAGGCCAACAAAGGCAAATCACTTGAGCCCAGGAATTCGAGACCAGCCTGGGCGACATGGCAAACCCCTGTCTCTGAACAAAATACAAAAATTAGCCAGACATGGTGGTGCACGCCTGTGGTCCTAGCTACTTGGGAGGCTGAGGCGGGAAGATCGCTTAAGCCTGGAAGGCAGAGGTTGCAGTGAGCCAAGATTGCACCACTGCACTCCAGCCTGGGTGACAGAGTGAGACCCTGTCTCAAATTTAAAAAAAAAGAAAGAAAGAAAATTTCATAAGTTTGGTGAAGGACGTAACTTTACAGATCAAGAAACTCAGAAAACTCCAAACAGGAAAAGTACAAAGAAAACAGCATGTGGGCAAATCAAAGTCAAACTGCTGAAAACTAAAGATAAGTGGAAAATCTTGAAATAAACTACAGAAAAAAAATGACACAATACACAGAGGGAAAGAGAATGTGAATTGTCCATGACTTCTCATTACAAACAGGAGCCATAATTATAATACCTTTAACTGGGTAAATGAATTGTGAAATATTCATACAATAGACTACTGCTCAGCATTAAAAAGGAATAAACTATTGATATCTACCACCTCATGGATGAATCTCAAAAATATACTGAGTAAAAGAAGCCAGATACAAATCTTTAGAAAAGATAAGTGTAATCTATAGTGGCAGACACAGCTCAGTGTTTACTTAGGAACGGCAGAATGAGAGAGCAGTGACTGAAAATGAATACAGGGAGCATTGTAGAGCAATAGGTATGTGCTATACCTTGATTGTGTTGGCGTTTACATGCATAATTAATATGTCAAAACTCATCAAAATGTACACTTAAAATAAGTATGTTTTTGTATACAAATTATATCTCAAATAAGTTGATTTTTTAAAAAAACTAAGAGATGGCCAGGCGCGGTGGCTCACGTCTGTAATCCCAACACTTTGGGAGGCCAAGGCGAGCGGATCACCTGAGGTCAGGAGTTTGAGACCAGCCTGGCCAACATGGTGAAACCCTATTTCTACTAAAAATACCAAAAATCAGCTGGGCATAGTAGTGGGGGCCTGTAATCCCAGCTACTCAGGAGACTGAGACAGGAGAATCGCTTGAACCCTGGAGGCAGAGGTTGCAGTGAGCCCAGATCACGCCATTGCACTCCAGCCTGGGCAACAAGAATGAAACTCTGTCTCAAAAAAAGAAAAAAAAACCAAAACAACTAAGAGATAATTCTAAGTTTCTACAATTATGACTCTAAAAAATTTCCAGATACTTTATCCAAGAAAATTATAAATCTTTCTGAATCCACTGGCACGTAGTCTTTTTTTATGATGTCCATTGCCAGTGAATTAGAGAAGCAGATGGGGAAGGAAGAAGACGACCAAATTAAAATGGAATTCTAAAGAACATCCAATTAATTTTCAATTTACATAGTAAAAGTATAGACTTAATCCAATCAAATCAATAATTACATTAAATATAAATGAACTAAAGGCTCTAATTAAAAGGCAGCTTATCAGGCTAGATTAAGAGAACCAATTTTTTTTTTTTTTTTTGAGATAGAGTCTCACTCTGTTGCCCAAGCTGGAGTGCAGTGGCGTGATCTAGGCTCACTGCAACCTCCGCCTCCTGGGTTTAAGCAATTCTCCTGCCTCAGCCTCCCCAAGTAGCTGGGAGTACAGACACATGCCACCACGCCCAGCTAATTTTTTTTTTATTTTTAGTAGAGACGAGGTTTCACCATGTTGGCCAGGCTGGTCTTGAACTCTTGACCTCAGGTGATCCGCCCACCTTGGCTTCCCAAAGTGCTGAGATTACAGTCATGAATCACCTAAGAGGACCCAATTATAGGCTGTCTACAAAGCATACAGAAACATAGAAAGGCTGAAGGGGAAAGGATTGAAAAACATATACCATGTAAAAAGTAAGTATAAGACAAATGCAGTGTCTATAGCAATATCACATAAAGTAAACTGTAATATAAAGAGTATGACTAAGATAAAGAGGGACATTTCATAATGACAAAATAGCCAACTTATCAATGTTGGGGCTCAGGGCACTCCACCCCAAAATACAACTTAAAACAATTTTTTTAATTTTTAATTTTTGTGGGTACATAGTAGGTGTATCCAAAATACAACTTTAGGTGACCAGAATATGTCATTCCAAAATATACCCCTTTGACATACTAATTATTTCAAGATGAGTATATTGAGAAACTGCAGATATAGGAATAGCTCTGAAAACTTTCCCTTCTGTAAAGAAAACCTGCCATCTCTAAAACAATTTTCTTTTTTTTTTGAGATGGAGTCTCGCTCTGTCACCCAGGCTGGAGTGCAGTGGTGCGATCTCGGCTCACTGCAAGCTCCGCCTCCCGGGTTCACGCCATTCTCCTGCCTCAGCCTCCCAAATAGCTGGGACCACAGGCGCCCGCCACCACGACCGGCTAATTTTTTTGTATTTTTAGTAGAGACGGGGTTTCACCGTGTTAGCCAGGATGGTCTCGATCTCCTGACCGCGTGATCCGCCCGCCTCGGCCTCCCAAAGTGCTGGGATTACAGGCGTGAGCCACCGCGCCCGGCCCCAAAACAATTTTCATCAGTAAAAGTAAGTCTACCAAGAAGAGAGCTGCTCCAATACCACTTATCACCTGAAAAACATTTTTTTAAAAATTGTAATCTTGTGCCTTGGGACAGCTCTATTCTAAAGACAGTCCTCCTAAACTGAAGGAGACTGCTGTGTGTCCTGCCAGACTACCTTGTTAGAACTGAGCACAGGGGGACCAAAAAAGCAGAGGGGAGTAGAAAAAGCATAGGCCAGGACAATTACAGAGATTTTTACCTACATAACAAGGCAATTTGTATTCACCATATGTTTCTTCCCCTCGCTTGCCCATAATTTGTTTCTGCCACCCCCTAGAAGTCCCAAGCCTCTCTTCCTTTCTATAGCTCAAGCTGCTACGTAAGTGTCAATCATCTGGCCCTTTAATCTGATATTTTTGTGGGACTCCTACGTATGCACGCATGCACACATAATTAAAATTTTTTTTCTGCTGGGTGCGGTGGCTCACGCCTGTAATCCCAGCACTTTGGGAGGCCGAGGCGGGTGGATCATGAGGTCAGGAGTTCAAGACCAGCCTGGCCAACATGGTGAAACCCCATCTCTACTAAAAATACAAAAATTAGCCGGGCATGGTGGCGTGTGCCTGTAATCCCAGCCACTTGCGGGGCTGAGGCAGGAGAATCGCTTGCACCCAGTAGGCGGAGGTTGCAGTGAGCCGAGACTGCACCACTGCACTCCAGCCAACACAGCGAGACTCCATCTCAAAAAAAAAAAAGTTTTTTTTTCTCCTGTTAATCTGTCTCATGTAAACTAAATTAATGACCCAGCTAAAGAACTTAGGGAAACCATTTTTCCCTCCCCTATAATAACAATCATAAATGTATGTGTATCTAACAATACAGTTTCAAAATATAAGAAACAAAAACTGACTGAATAAAAAGGAAAAAAAAAAAGTGGCTGGGCGTAGTGGCTCACGCCTGTAATCTCAACACTTTGGGAGGCTGAGGCAAGTGGAGTGCTTGAGCCCAGGAGTTCAAGACCAGCCTGGGCCACATGGTGAAACTCCGTCTCTATGAAAAATACAAAAATTAGCCAGGTGTGGTAGTGCACAGCTGTAGTCACAGCTTCTCACGAGGCTGAGGTGGGAGAATTGTGTGAACCCGGGTTGAAGCTGCAGTGAGCCATGATTGTGCCACTGCACTTCAACCTGGGTGGCAGAGCAACACCCTGTCTCAAAAACAAAAAAGAAAAGAAAAGAGCTATAATCATAGAGATTTTAACATCCCTCTGGCCTAAGTAACTGATATAACTAAATTTTAAAAATTAAACACACACACACACACACACACACACAACGTTCCTCAATAAACACAGACAAAGGGCCAGGCATGGTAGCTCACGCTTGTAATCTCAGCACTTAGGGAGGCCAAGGCAGGAGGATCACTTGCGGCCAGGAGTTCAAGATCAACCTAGACAATATAGCGAGACCCTGTATTTACAAAAAATTTTTAAAAATTAGCCAGGCATGGTGGCACATGCCTGTAGTCCCAGTTACTTGGGAGGCTGAGGTGAGAGGATCACTTGAGCCCATGAGTTTGAGGCTCCAGTGAGCTATGACATATCACTGCATCCCAGCCTGGGCAACAAAGCAAGACCCCAACTCAAAAACCAAACAGGCCAGGTGCGGTGGCTCAAGCCTGTAATCCCAGCACTTCGGGAGGCCGAGGCAGGCAGATCACCAAGTCAGGAGTTTGAGACCATCCTGGCCAACATGGTGAAACCCTGTCACTACTAAAAATACAAAAAAATTAGCCGGGCGTGGTGGCGGGTGCCTGTAGTCCCAGCTACTCAGGAGGCTGAGGCAGGAGAATGGTGTGAACCCGGGAGGCGGAGCTTGCAGGGAGGCAGAGCTTGCAGTGAGCCGAGATTGCACCACTGCACTCCAGCCTGGGGGACGGAGCCAGACTCGTATCTCAAAAAAAAAAAGAAAAACCAAACAAACTGAAAAAAAAAAACAGACACAAATTTGGCAACATATAAAAACAATGTCTTGTCCATGTAGGGTTTATCTCACAAATGGAAGGTTGGTTTAACATTTGAAAAAAATAAATCAATGGGCCAGGTGTGGTGGCTCACACCTGTAATCCCAGCACTTTGGGAGGCTGAGCCAGGCAGACGGCTTGAGGTCAGGAGATCGAGACCAGCCTGGCCAACATGGTGAAACCTCGTCTCTACTAAAAATACAAAAATTAGCTGGGCATGGTGGCAGGCACCAGTAATCCCAGCTACTCGGGAGTCTGAGGCAGGAAAATTGCTTGAACCCAGGAGGCGGAGGCTGCAGTGAGCCGAGACTATGCCACGGCACTCCATCCTGGGCGACAGAGGGAGACTCTGTCACACTCACACAAAAATTAATTAAATAAAATAAAGTAATACACTGTATTGACATAATAAAGGAAAAAAATCATTTGATAATTTTTTTGAGATAGAGTCTTGCTCTGTTGCCCAAGCTGAAGTGCAGTGGCGTGATCTCAGCTCACTGCAACCTTCGCCTTCCAGGTTCAAGAGATTCTCCAGGCTCAGCCTCCTGAGTAGCTGGGTTTACAGGCGCCTGCCACCATGCCTGGCTAATTTTTATATTTTTGGTAGAGATGGGATTTCACCATGTTGGCCAGGTTGGTCTCCAACTCCTGACCTCAGGTAATCCACCCGCCTCGGCCTCCCAAAGTGCTGGGATTACAGGCATGAGCCACTGAGCCCAGCCAATAATTTATAAATATGCAGAAAAAGCATTTGACAAAATGAAGTACCCATTCATTTTAATAAGTCTCAGATAATTAGAAATAGAATGTAACTTCTTCTATTTGACAAAAGGCATACACAAAAAACCTATAGTCAGCATCAAACTTAATGGTAAAATATTAAAGACTTATCTTCTAAGAGCAGGAACAAGGCAAAGATATCTACTTTACCACTTCTATTCAATATTGTACTGGAGGTCCTAGCCAGTGCAATAATATTTATAAGAAATAAAAGGTTTAAGGGTTTGAAAGGAAGATAAAACTGTGTGTACTCAGAGATACCATGACTGTTTATGTAGAAAATCTTGGCCGGGCGAGGTGGCTCACGCCTGTAATCCCAGCACTTTGGGACGCCAAGGCGGGCGGATCATCTGAGGTCGGGAGTTCGAGACCAGCTTGACCAACATGGAGAAACCCCGTCTCTACAAAAAATACAAAATTAGCCGAGCGTGGTGGCGCATGCCTGTAATCCCAGCTACTCGGGAGGCTAAGGAAGGAGAACCGCTTGAACCTGGGAGGCGGAGGTTGCAGTGAGCCAAGATCGCGCCATTATTGCACTCCAGCCTGGGCAACAAGAGTGAAACTCCGTCTCAAATAAAAAAGGAAAAAGAAAAAAAAAAAAGAAATAGAGACTAGGTCTCACTGTGTCACCCAGGCTGGTCTCAAACTCTTGATTTCAAGTGATTTGACCTCCCAAAGTGCTGGGATTACAGGCATGAGCCACCATGCCCAGCAGACAGTGTAATGTAGTATATAGACAAGTATATCAACACAATAGAATAGTATTCAGAATTACACCTACTATTCATACAAGTGACTCATACCGTCATTTGGTTTTTGGCAAAAGTGCCAAGCAATCAAATAGGGAAAGGAAAGTCTTTTCGATAAATGGTGCTGGAACAACTGGATATCTACATGGAAAAAATGAACCTCAACCTTTACTTCTCACCATACACAAAAATTAATTTGAAGAGTGTGGTGGTACATGGCTGTAGTCCCAGCTACTTGGGAGGCTGAGACAGAAGGATTGCTTGAGGCCAGGAGTTCAAGGCTACAGTGAGCTATGACTGCACCTGTGAATAGCCACTGCACTCCAACCTGGGCATCATAGTGAGACCTCGTCTATAAAAAAACAAACACACATTCCAATGTTGTGCCTCCCAGGGGGAGAAAAAAAAAAAAATCAAAGAATTTGAGATGGATCAGAGACATGAATATAAAAGTTAAAATGATAAAGCGTCCATAACAAAATACAGGAGAACATCTTTGCTACTTCAGGGTGGGCAAAGGTAACTTAGAGGAGACAGAGAAAGCACTAACTATAAAAGAAAAGTTTTAATGAATTAGACATTATTTCACCAAAAATGCAATTAAAAAGTAAACAGTCATGTAAGAGGGCAGAAGAAAATTTTTACATAACATATATCTGACAAAGGACTTATATTCAAAATACAAAAAGAACTTCTACTACACAACAATAAAAACTCAAAAACTCAACCCCCCAAGAAAAGGAATAAAAAAGTTAGACACTTCCCAAAATAAAATATACAAACGGCCAATAAGCAAGTAGAAAAAGAGATACCATCATTAGTCATTAGGGATATTAAAACCACAATGATTCAAACCATCTGCAATCTCTAAAAAATAAAAAACACACACAATGAAATACCACTATGCAAGCCCTTGAATAGCAAAGATGTGAAGCAACCAGAACTCTCATATATGGTTGACAGAGTGTAAAATGGTATATGCAATTTGGAAGCATATCTGGCCATTTCTTATAAAACTGTTCATACATCTACCCTACAACCCAGCAGATTATGCTAGGAATCTACCTAAGAGAAATAAAAGAATATGTTTGAAGTCTTTATGACTTGCACTTGAGTGTTCATAGCAGCTTTATTCATTAACAGTCAAAATCTGGAAACTACTACATGATCATCAACAGCAGAATGAATAAACAAACTCCAATACATTAGTAAGAGGAACACTATTCAACAATAAAGCCGGGCACGGTAGCTCACGCCTATAATCCCAGCACTTTGGGAGGCCGAGGCAGGCAGCTCACTTGAGGTCAGGAGTTTGAGACCAGTCTGGGCAACATGGCAAAACCCTGTCTCTACTAAGAATACAAAAATTAGCTGGGCGTGATCGTGCACATCTGTAATCCCAGCTATTCGAAAGGCTGAGGTGGAAAAATTGCTCAAACCCGGCAGGCGGAGGTTGCAGTGAACCAAGATCATGTCACTGCACTCCAGCTTGGACGACAGAGTGAAACTCATTCTCAAAAATAAATAAATAAAATAAAATAGAATAAACACAGTAAAAACGGACAACATGAATATTAAAAGCATTCTGCCGAAAGAAATAATTCTGATACAAAAGAGTACACTGTATAAGATTGATTCCATTTATGTGAAGCACTGGAACATGCAGAACTAAACTATGGTAAAAAACCACAACAATGGTTGGTTTGGGGAGAGTGGGGGCAGGGACTGACTGAGAAGGCACAAGAGTGAACTTTCAGGTTTAACAGTAATGTATTTTATATATCTTGATGGGGTCTGAATTACTCAAGTGCATACATTTGTCAAAACTCACTGAATGGTTCCCTTAAGATTTATGTATTTTTCAACCAGTGGACTTGCTAAGTGAAAAAAGAAAAAAAAAAGATTTGTATATTTAACTGCATATACATTTTATTACCCAAAAATGCAAATAAATAATATTAAACTCTAATTAATTATGTACATGTATATATGTTCAGGGGCAAAGTTACTGATGACTGCAACTTATTCTGATATGCAATGAAAAAATAAGACCTCAGATAAAAAAAAAGAAAGAAAAAATAAGACCTCGTGTGGTGTCTCCTCTCAACGAAAAAGAAAAGACGGGGCTGGGCGTGGTGGCTCACGCCTGTAAATCCCAGCACTTTGGGAGGCCGAGTGGGTGGATCATGACATCAAGAGATTGAGACCATCCTGGCCAACATGGTGAAACCCCATTTCTACTAAAAATACAAAAATCAGCTGGGTGTGGTGGCATGCACCTGTAGTCCCTGCTACTAGGGAGGCTGAGGCAGGAGAATTGCTTGAACCTGGAAGGCAAAGGTTGCAGTGAGCGCTCCAGCCTGGCGACAGAGCGAGACTCTGTCTCAAAAAAAGAAAAAAAAAAAGAAAAAGAAAAGACAGATTGATGAATAGATAGAGGCATGACAGATGGAAAGGCTGACAAAAACAACTGTAGTAGAATATTAATTGTTGAATCCAGGTGGTCAGTGTTAATGTACAATACTTTCAGCTTCTCTCAATGTTTGAAAATTTTCATAACAAAATATTAGGGGAGAAGTAAATCCAGTAATTTAATTCCTTTGCCTAAAAATCCCAGTTGATTACTGAATAGCATCACAACACTCAACAATTACCAATTAGTATTATTCAGACTTGGTTCTCATTTATTTCCCTGCAGATTCTAATACTATTAAGCATCCTCTTCCTTTGGAAAATGCATACTACTATTCTAAACTATTTCCCTTTCTTTCTCTCATTATTCTTTTTGTCTTTCCTACTTACTTCTACTCCCAAACTGTAAGTATAACTCAGAGTGTAGTACTAAGCCCTTCTCTATTTTCCCACCAAAAATTCCCTTCCATTGTAACTATCGTCTCTATGTTGTCAACTCTCAATCAAGACAGAGCATCTCTTCTACATTCAAGTCTCTCATTTCCAATGACCTACTGAGTACTTGAATGTCCCATATCATCAAATGTATGACTTCACCCTCAAAATTGAGAACAAGAATTCCAACGGTGATGTTATTTTTTACTTTTTCTGTTTTGTTTCTCAAAATAATCAGACAATTCTTCCTGAATCCATTTCTTTTCCATTTCATTTCATTCCACCACTAGTCTGATAATGATTTTTTTGAGACAGGATCTCACTCTGTTGCCCAGGCTGGAGTGCAGTGGCACAGTCATGGCTCATTACAACCTTGACCTTCTGAGCTCAAGCAATCCTCCCACCTCTGCCCCCCAAGTAGTGGGACTACAGGCACACACCAACATGCCCAGCTAATTTCTGTATTTTTTGTAGAGATGGGATTTCGCCATGTTGCCCAGGCTGGTCTCGAACTCCTGCGCTCAAGTAATCCTCCTACTTTGGCCTCCCAAAGAGCTGGGATTATAGGCATGTGAGCCACTGCGGCAGGCCATAATGATTCTTATAATTATACTCACTTTATTGCAAAGAGTGTACTGGCTGATGTCCCAGTCTCTGTCTCTCCCTACAACTCATCCTAAATATTTCTAAAAGATCTTTAATTATGTATCTCTTATTTGTGTAACTTTTATTATTTCCCGTATCTAGAAGATATTACTATATACTAAGCAGAAAAAGTGAAATGTGCTACTTGCTGTAGTAGCAAGTCTCCAAAGATGAGCCCCTCCCAATGAACCAAGCCTCCTAGTGATCACATTCTGTGTAGTCCTTTCCCACACAAATCTGGGTTAGTCCTGTGACTCATATTGACCAACAGAATGTCACAGAACTAGCACTGTACTGGTTCAAAATCTAAGCCTTAAGAGAGCCTGGCAGCTTCTGCTTTGGAACTCAGAGCTCTGGGCTACCATGTAAGAAATCTGGCTCATCTGCTGGAAAGACCACCTGGAGAGGGAAAAGCCCCGAGACTATATGGCAAGAGTGAGAATGAGAAAAGCATGGCATCCCAATGTTCCAGCTGAGCTCAGCTTTCCAGGAGTCCCCCACAATGTGCCAGGGATATGAATGAAGCCATGTTGGATATCCTAGCCCCAGCCACAACCTGACCGGAGCCACATGAATGACTCCAAACAAGGCCAACAGAACCATCCATCTGAGAAGCAATCCACCCAAAGAATTGTGAGAAATAATAAAATACTATTGTTTCAAGATATTAACTTTTACAGTGGTATTTTTACACAGTGACAGCTAATCAAAACAGTTGTCCTCAAGAAGCTAACTATATAATGGTGAAAGCAGTTAAGTAAACAAAAAAGGCCACGAAGAAGTGTTATGATAGCAGTATACACAACATGCTAGGTGAGTGAAGAGGAGGATTAGCTATATTAGTCAGTCAGGGTGTGTAAAGGGGAGGGAGGGAGAGTGTCTGGGAAAGCTTTCTAGAGCAGGTGGCACAGGCTGAGTTTTAAGTACGTTCAGAATACTGCATATAGTAGTTAGGTATAAACCAGCACGGTTGTGTGGGCAAGTAATAAGGTCATACCTAGAGATATAAATGTGAAAGAGGTAACTGAAGGCCTCTTATACTAAGTAAAGGGTTAAAACTTTACCCTAAATACTATACAGAACTATGAAAAAATTTAAGCAGGGAAATGACATTATCAGATTTGTATCTTGGAATGATTTCAATGGTAGCAGTGAATTAGACAATGAGAAAGGAGGCAGGCAGGAAGCAAAGAAAGTTTAGGAGCCCACCTTGGTACTCTACGAAAACTAAAGAGAACTTGACAGTGACAGAGAGAAAGAATAATTAATACTAAGAATATACAAGAGGCTGGGTGTAGTGGCCAGTGACAGAGAGAAAGAATAATTAATACTAAGAATACACAAGAGGCTGGGTGTAGTGGCTCATTCCTATAATCCCAGCACTTTGGGAGGCTGAGGTGGGAGGATCACTTGAGCCCAGGGGGTCAAGACCAGCCTGGGCAACAGAGTTGAGACCCTGTCTCTACGAAGAAAAAAAAATTAAAGAATAAAAACAAGAAATTATATTGAATATTGACAATGAAATTGTAAAAAGAACAAAAATAAGGGCACCTACAAGACATAGTAAAGTGCATGTGATGGAAAGGGCTAAGAGGGGAATTTAGGATGGCCCCAGTATTCAGCTTACACACTAGAGGAAAAAGTGGAGTCATCTATGGAGAAATAGCAGAAGCAAAAGGGAGTGGGATGCACACACAGGTAGAATTATAGACTCAGATACAAGGACAGGAAGAAAGGAAGAATGCCTCTGCTGATGGTTAGAAAACTGAGGGAAGTTTCCATTGATGACACCTTGTTTCTGAGAAATAAAAGACAAGATCATCTGCTAAGGGTAAGAAGAGAAATGGTGGAGACAGGAAGTTTAGAAAGAGAGATTTAAATTTGGGATAGACCTCTGAGGAAGAGGAGTTCAAGACTAGCCTGGCCAACATGGTGAAACCTTGTCTCTACTAAAAATACATCTGAGGATCCAGGTGATGTTGTAAGTCATAAATGTATTCTGGCCCCAAGACACACAGTTGTGTGATTTTCTCCAGCAGCACTCAGCAGCCCAGGTGTAAGAATGAAGAGGTGGGCTAGGCGCAGTGGCTCAAGCCTATAATCTGAGCACTTTGGGAGGCCGAGGCAGGTGGATCACTTGAGGTCAGAAGTTCAAAACCATCCTGGCCAACAATGATGAAACCCCGTCTCTAATAAAAATATAAAAAATTAGCCGGGCATGGTGGTGGGTGCCTGTAATCCCAGCTACTCAGGAGGCTGAGGCAGGAGAATCACTTGAACCCAGGAGGCGGAGGTTGCAGTGAGCTGAGATCGTGCCACTGGACTCCAGCCTGGGTGACAGAGCGAGACTCTGTCTCAAAAAAAAAAAAGAAGAAGAACGAAGAGGTCAGGTGGCTGACTTGACTCAGGACTGGAGTAATACAGGAAAATAAAATGAAAAGAACAAGGCACCAAGAGAATTGATGGTAATGGTAAGCAAGTAAATCCAGTAACAGACCATAAGTCTAGGCTGGCTATGGAAAGAAATACTTCCAGGGAGTTGACAGACTCAAAGGAAATGGAGTGAGGGGTCACTGAACAAGAAAGAGATCTTGATACGGTCAAAGTGTAAATTTATTGGGAATAAGACAAAGTCAGAAGGACACTTGAGTGGGACATTCAAGTACATTCAAGGGCTAGGATTACATGTGTGAACTACCTTGCCTGGCCTCAATTTTAATTTAGCATGCACTTTGTTTTTTTTTTTCTTTGAGATGGAGTCTTGCTCTGTCACCCAAGCTGGAGTTCAGTGGCGCGATCTCAGCTCACTGCAACCTCCACCTCCCGGGTTTAAGCAATTCTTGTGTCTCAGCCTCCCAAGTAGTTGGGACTACAGGCGGCCACTACCACACCTGGCTAATTTTTTTAAGTACAGATGGGGTTTCGCCATGTTGGCCAGGCTGGTCTCCAACTCCTGACCTCAGGTGATCTGCCCCACTCGGCCTCCCAAAGTGCTGGGATTACAGGCACAAGCTACTGCGCCCAGCCAACATAGACTCTTATATTACACCCAGAGTGATGCTTCCAATGAATAACTCCCTTAATCTGCTACTTACCTATCCTATGAATTGATCAGGCAAGTTCAGAGAATTTTTTTTAAAGAAGAAAAATATTGCTTGATATTGCAGTTTTTATGCTCCTTGTCCAAAGCTACATCCATGAAAATATAAATCAATTATGTCTTTTAAAACACAGGGTCACCACGAGCCTTACTTACTGCCATTCTCAATGAGTCACCGTTGTCTTGTTGTTGTTGTCGTTTATTTATTTATTTATTTTTTATAGAGATAAGGTCTCACTATATTGCCCAGGCTGGTCTCAAACTCCTGGGCTCAAGCAATCCTCCCGCCTTGGCCTCCCAAAGTGCTGGGATTACAGGCATAAGCCATCGCACCTGCACACAATAAGTCACTGTTAAAGGTAGGGAGCTTAAAAGAGGTTCTGCACTGGAAGAGCACTAACAGGGAAACCTCACCTTTCTAATGCCAGCAATAACCTGAAGGATAAAAGCTGAGAACTAGAAATTATCCCTGCAAAAGCAAGACAATTTCCAGGACAAAGCAGCCAGGTGTCCAGGAGAAAAAAAATCAAATACATGACTAAACTAAATATTTGATCTTTTACACTTTGGTAAATTCAGTTTGTCTCCTTTAAAAATTATAATTAGACCAGGCACAGTGGTTCACGCCTGTAATCCTAAAATTTTGAGAGGTCAAGGGCAGGAGTTTGAGATCAGCCTGGCCAACAAACTGAGATCCAGTCTCTACAAAACAGAAAAACTTAGATGGGCATGGTGGTGCACACCTGTAGTCCCAGCTACTTGGGAAGCTGAGGCAGGAGGATGGCTTGAGCTCAGGAGTTCAAGGCTTTAGTGAGCCATGACTGTACCACTACACTCTAGCTGGGCCAACAGAGTGAGATCCTGTTTCTAAAAATAAAAAAATTATAATTACATTGAAATACATAGTGACTACCTTCAAATAGTACAAAGCACTTAGCAGATTTCTATTAAGTAAATTCATCTTTAATTAATATTAATGTGAAATTCCCTTAATTTCCAATCCAGTGATAGAATAAACACTTATCAAATAATTACCAGATATATGGCACTAAAAGAATAAAACATTAAAAAAAATTTCAGGCCAGGTGAGGCGGCTCATGCCTGTAATCCCAGCACTTTGGGAGGCCAAGGCGGGCGGAACAGGAGGTCAGGAGAGCGAGACCATCCTGGCTAACACAGTGAAACCCCGTCTCTACTAAAAATACAAAAAATGAGCTGGGCGTGGTGGCAGGCACATGTAGTCCCAGCTACTCGGGAGGCTGAGGCAGGAGAATCGCTTGAATCCGGGAGGTGGAGACTGCAGTGAACCAAGATCACGCCACTGCGCTCCAGCCTGGGCGACAAAGCAAGACTCCGTCTCAAAAAAAAAAAATTCAGATTCAGTTCATAAAGAAATGGCACAGGCAATTTTGCAAAGAAGGCAGAATTTAAGTTAAAACGTATAAGACAGATAAGACATCTTATCAAAGAATCCCATTATTTCCCTAATTTTCCAAGCCAGAAATATGGGAGTTATCCCTAACTCAACCCTGTCTACCCACATTGATCAGTGCTGCCCCTAAATGTCTTACAAATGTGTTCACTTCTCTCATTCCCACTGGCACTACTTTAGTTTCAGCCATAATTATGCTAACCTAGGCTCTGACAAGATAAGTCTCCTAACTGGTCAAATACACTAATCCAATCCATTTTCCAACTGCCCAAGTAATCTACTGAAAATGCAAATCATAGGCCAGGCAGGATGGCTCACACCTGTAATCCCAGAACTTTGGGAGGCCAAGGCGGGCACATCACTTGAGGTCAGGTGTTCAAGACTAGCCTGGCCAACATGGTGAAACCTCGTCTCTACTAAAAATACAAAAATTAGTCGGGCGTGGTGGCACAGGCCTGTAGTTCCAGCTACTCAGGAGGCTGAGGCAGGAGAATCACTTGAACACAGGAAGTGGAGGTTGCAGTGAGCCAAGATCGTGCCACTGCACTCCTGCCTGGGCAACAGAGTGAGACTCTGTCTCAAAAAATGAAAAAGTAAAATAAAATAAAAATAAAATGCAAATTGTATCATTTGATACTCTCCTCCCTTAAAATCCTTCAATATCTCTATCATGGAAAAACCCAAACTCCTTAACACAGTATAAAAGCCTTTCTGATCTGGCCTCACTCCCCCACTTCACGTCTTGCTTGCTTTTCTCTCACATCTCTGAGCCCCCTGCCGGCAGTGTCTTTTCCTTCATTTGTTGCCTGGCTAATTCTTCCCTATACCTACCCTGACCCCTGCTACTTTTTCTTCGAAAATTTCAAACCAAGAAAAAGTTAATAAAATAATAAAATGACCCGGCCAGCCGCCCCGTCCGGGAGGGAGGTGGGGGGGTCAGCCCCCCGCCCGGCCAGCCGCCCCGTCCGGGAGGGAGGTGGGGGGGTCAGCCCCCCGCCCGGCCAGCCGCCCCGTCCGGGAGGGAGGTGGGGGGGTCAGCCCCCCGCCAGGCCAGCCGCCCCGTCCGGGAGGGAGGTGGGGGGGTCAGCCCCCCGCCCGGCCAGCCGCCCCGTCCGGGAGGTGAGGGGCGCCTCTGCCCGGCCGCCCCTACTGGGAAGTGAGGAGCCCCTCTGCCCGGCCAGCCGCCCCGTCCCGGAGGGAGGTGGGGGGGTCAGCGGGGTCAGCCCCCCGCCCGGCCAGCCGCCCCGTCCGGGAGGTGCGGGGCGCCTCTGCCCGGCCGCCCCTACTGGGAAGTGAGGAGCCCCTCTGCCAGGCCACCACCCCGTCTGGGAGGTGTACCCAACAGCTCGTTGAGAACGGGCCATGATGACAATGGCGGTTTTGTGGAATAGAAAGGGGGGAAAGGTGGGGAAAAGATTGAGAAATTGGATGGTTGCCGTGTCTGTGTAGAAAGAGGTAGACATGGGAGACTTTTCATTTTGTTCTGTACTAAGAAAAATTCTTCTGCCTTGGGATCCTGTTGATCTGTGACCTTACCCCCAACCCTGTGCTCTCTGAAACATGTGCTGTATCCACTCAGGGTTGAATGGATTAAGGGCGGTGCAAGATGTGCTTTGTTAAACAGATGCTTGAAGGCAGCATGCTCGTTAAGAGTCATCACCACTCCCTAATCTCAAGTACCCAGGGACACAAACACTGCGGAAGGCCGCAGGGTCCTCTGCCTAGGAAAACCAGAGACCTTTGTTCACTTGTTTATCTGCTGACCTTCCCTCCACTATTGTCCTGTGACCCTGCCAAATCCCCCTCTGCGAGAAACACCCAAGAATGATCAATAAAAAAAAAAAATTAAAAAAAAAATAAATAAATAAATAAATAAAAATAATAAAATGAATGTCTACCTGTCATCTAAATTTACCAGTTGTTGCATTTTTTTTGCCACATTTACATCATGACACTTAACTCCTAAAACTTCAGCAAGTATCTCTTATGAACAAGAACATCCTTCTACATAATGAAACAATGTCATAATCACATGTAAAATATTTTTTTAATTTCTTAAACTTTTTTCAACAACATGGGTTTATACACCCAAAATACATAACACTGACACAGTATTACTTAACACGTAGTCACTATTGAAATTTTCCCAATTATTCCAAAATGTCCTATAATTATACTTTGTTTAATTCAGGATCAAACCAAGGATCATGCATTTCATTTGGTGGTTATCTTCTGCCCCTTATTTTTCAGGACTCAGTTCTGGAATGATATTCCCTGGGAAGCCCTCTGTGACTCCCCCTACCCAGTATGGGTTATATGCCTCTTTCAGATGCTTTCATACCACCACTGTCATGGTATCATTACACTATTTTGCAATCATCTGTTTATCTATGTCTCTCACAATAAACAGTAATCTCTTTGAAGACTTTTTACTCTCCAGGCCCTACTGTCTGGCTCATAGTAGATACTCAATAAATGCTGGCTGAACAAATGAATGAAAACACTATAAACAGGAAATACAATTGTTATGGACTGAATTGTGCCCCTTAAAACTCGTATCTTGAAGCCCTAACCCCAGTGTAATTGTATTTGGATACAGGGCCTTGAAGGAGGCAATTATGGTTAAATGAAGTCATAAAGTGGGAACCTAATCCAATAGAATTGGTGTCCTTATAAGAGGAAGAGACACCAGGAATGTGCATGCATAGCACAAAAGCCATGTGAGACCAGAAGAAGGCAGCTGTCGGCAAACCAGGAAAAGATTCTCACCAGAAACCAAACCTGCCAGCATCTTTATGTCGGATTTCCAGCCTCCAAGAACTGTAAAATATTCTGCTGTTTAAGCCACGTAGTCAGTGGTATTCTGTTATGGCAGGCCAAGGTGAATAATATAATGACCAAAATCTATGTGTCCCGGTTCCTATGAATGATGGAATGCTAAGCAGAACCTACACCACTGCTAGAACAAAGATACCTACAAGAGACATTCCCCCTGCTTCCGGAAAACTGAACCCCACATTTAACAGAAAGAATGGCAGAAAACATTATTCTCACACCGTGACATATACATTTAAAGAAAAAAAATGGATCTTCAAGAACACAAACACCAAAATTATTAGTATCAATCACCATCTGTAGCAATTCAATCAGATGGAAAAGGTAGTAGAGTTACATAAAGAATGTAAAGAGTAAAAGTGAGTTTGTTGAAGGTAAAAAACAATAAAAATTAAAAATTAAAAAAAGGCTGGGCACGGTAGCTCACACCTGTAATCCCAGCACTTTGGGAGGCCAAGGCAGGTGGATCGCTTGAAGCCAGAAGTTTGAGATTAGCCTGGTCAACGAGTGAGATTCTCATCTCTATAAAAAAATTTAAAAAATTATCTGGGCATGATGGCACTCGCCTGTAATCCCAGATACTCAGGTGACTGAGGCAAAAGAATCACTTGAACCCGGGAGGTGGAGCTTGCATGAGCCGAGATTGCGCCACTGCACTCCAGCCTGGGCAACAGAGCAAGACTGTCTCAAAAAAAAAAAGAATGTAAAGAACACACATCAAAAGGAAATTTTCTGCGGGGCTTAGAATAACATTATAGACTCATCTTCCCAGTTTCTGCACTTTAATATCTCCTGTTAAGTTGCTACATGCCTATGGTCATCTTCCTCACACAGATTGTGAAGACAATGGCAGAGACCATGTCATGGGGTGGGAGCAACTGCTTTGATCACTAACAGTGGCTGGGATAATGTTCTATTCCAGGTACACTCCTCATAATTTCTGGAAAATTATCATTATAGACAACTGACCCACCTTCTAATCATTCAGTATCACTAGATTCTCAACAGAACAACTGATTGGTCTACAAGCCCTCTCTCAAACACAATTCCTCATGTTGAGCTTCACAATTATTATCTTGGAGACTCAGAAAATGATTCAGCACATGAGCTTGCTAACTCAGCAGTCTGACGCATTAGCAAAAGCCAAAATTTTTTTGATAAACAAAAAACATTTTGGTAGAATTTAAATAAAATCAACCGAGTATTCACAGCTATTATGATTTCCAAACAGGTCATTTTAAGAAACTTAGAAAATTGGCTGGGCGCGGTGGCTCATGCCTGTAATCCCAGCACTTTGGGAGGCCGAGGCAGGCGGATCATGAGGTCAGGAGATCGAGACCATCCTGGCTAACACGGTGAAACCCCGTCTCTCCTAAAAATACAAAAATGTTAGCCAGGCATGGTGGCGGGCGCCTGTAGTCCCAGCTACTCAGGAGGCTGAGGCAGGAGAATGGCGTGAACCCGGGAGGTGGAGCTTGCAGTGAGCTGAGATCGTGCCACTGCACTCCAGCCTGGGGAACAGAGCAAGACTCCGTCTCAAAAAAAGAAAAAAAAGAAACTTAGAAAATTGAGAAGCTGACCAAATTCTATGCCCACTTTGCTTTTTCTGCAGTACCCAGAAAAGGACACAAATCCTCTAAATAATTCTTTCACAAACAGCTTACAATGTTACTGTTTGAAATTTACTTTGGATGCTGAATAACACAAATGTAATCATTCAAAATATGCTCATGGTCTGAACTTTGTTTTTTTTTGTTTTGTTTTTTTTTTTTTTTGAGACAGGGTCTCACTCTGTTGCCAGGCTGAAGTCCAGTGGCACGATCTCAGCTCACTGCAACCTCCGCCTCCTGCCTCCTGGATTCAAGCGATTCCCCTGCCTCAGCTTCCCGAGTAGCTGAGACTACAGGTGCACGCCGCCACGCCTGGCTAATTTTGTGTATTTTAGTAGAGATGGGGTTTCACCATATTGGCCAGGATGGTCTCGATCTCCTGACCTCGTGATCCACCTGCCTCGGCCTCCCAAGGTGCTGGGATTACAGGCGTGAGCCACTGTGCCTGTCCCATGGTCTGAACTTGTAAATATCAGGTTATAAAGTGAGATCGGTGTTAGATTCATATAAAAAAAATTTTTTTTTAAGAGACAAGGTCTTGCTCTGTCACCCAAGCTGGAGTGCAGTGGCGTAATCACAGCTGACTGCAGCCTGGAACTCCTGGGCTCAAGTGATTCTTCCACCTCAGCCTCCCAAGTAGCTAGGACTACAGCCACGTGCCACCACAACCAGCTAATTTTTTTTTAATATTTTTTGTAGAGAGGGGGTCTTGCTAGGTTGCTCAGGCTGGTCTCAAACTCCTGGCCTCAAGCAATCTTCCCACCTTGGTGTCCCAAAGCGCTGGGATTATAGGTGTGAGCCGCTACGTCCAGCCCGTATCGAACTCTTGACCACACTTGGGACTCAACAATTAACTGTTATTATTTCAAAGTATTTAATAAATCTCTGAACTTTTTTCTATTAAGTCTAATGTTTGATACTGAAAAAGCTAAAGTCATTGGAGAGTTTTTACTTGTACACTTGTTTTTCAAATAAAAATTAAACCGAAGGGAAAGAAACTACAAATACAAACGGGTCTGGCCCCTCATGCATATATACATACACACAGGGTTTTTATTCTTAACATCAGTTACCTTCTGCCCTTCTCACAAAGCTTCTCAATTTCAGCTTTCAGATCCTGCTCCTTCTGCAAAAACTCCTTCTTCTCTTTCTCTATCTTCTTCTTTGTTTCTTCCCGCTTTATTGTCACATCCTGAATAGCCTTTAATATCTCCTGAGTTCCACACAATTACAGTCGCACACAAATAAAAAAGAAAATAAGTTAGTTCTTTTGATGCAAAGGTTATTTTCAACTATCACAAATTCACGTATTGACTTTAGTGAATTCAAATTGAATTGAAAGAATGTGGTTGATGAGTAGCTCCAAAAGCCAGTATTCAGACCTAAAGGAGAAAGTTATAGTAATGCAGATTTCAACTCAACAGGAAAAATAATTTCTAGCAATCGCAATTGTTCAAAAATGAAATATACTGCCTTGTGAAGCAGTAAGCTCTTCATTACTGGTGTTCAAATAAAGGCTGAATGAACACCTGTCAAGAATGCTGAGAAAGGTGTTCTTGTACCAGGGAGGGTCTGTTACATCCAACAAATATTGTCTTGTTTCATTTTGTTGTGATTCTACTTTATTATGTATGGGTTTTGTTTGTTTTACTCTTTAACAACAACAAATACATACATATATACACACACACATATACACACAGATATACATATGTACAAACGCACACTTTTTTTTTTTTTTAAATAAGAAGTCAAACAGGCCAGGCACAGTAGCTCATGCCTATAATCCTTGTACTTTGGGAACCCAAGGCAGGAGGATCACTGTGTCCGGGAGTTCGAGTCCAGCCTAGGCAACATACAGAGATCTTGTCTCACAAAAAATAAAAAAAATTAGCCAGGTGTGGTGGCACATGCCTGTAGTCCAGATACTCGAGAGGCTGAGGTGGAAGGATAGCTCGAGCCCAGAAAGTCAAAGATACGGTGAGCCTTGATTGTACCCACTACACTCCAGTCTGGGCAACAAAACAAGATCCAGTATCAAAAAAAAAGTAAAATAATACAAAGGTGATAAAGAGTCACTCCCCCACTTCATACCACTTCCACCCATAAGAGTAATCAATGTGTTAACTGCTTTGTATTATGCTTTCACATCTTTCTCTATGCTCACACAAAGACATGTATACTTAGGTATGCATTTCTTTGTTGTTGTTGTTGTTGTTATTTTTAAATGGGGTCATTTTACATACATTATTTTGCATTCTGATTTCTTTTACTTGACATGAATGTATTGTCAATAAGTATCGATCTAATTCAAAAATAGCTGCATAACATATGGATGTATCTAATTTATCCGAACATTCTTTATTAAAAGTCTATGAGTGGTCTGGCGCAGTGGCTCACGCCTGTAATCCCAGCACTTTGGGGGGCCGAGGCAGGTGGATCATGAGGTCAGGAGATCGAGACCATCCTGGCTAACATGGTGAAACCCCGTCTCTATTAAAAAAAATACAAAAAATTAGCCGGGCGTAGTGGCGGGCGCCTGTAGTCCCAGCTACTTGGGAGGCTGAGGCAGGAGAATGGCGTGAATCCAGGAGGCGGAGCTTGCAGTGAGCCGAGATTGTGCCATTGCACTCCAGCCTGGGTGACAGAGCGAGACTCCGTCTCAAAAAAAAAAAAAAGTCTATGAGTATTAATACTTTTTTTGAGACAGGGTATCGTTCTGTCACTCAGGCTGGAGTGCAGTGGCACAATTTCGGCTCACTGCAACCTCTGCCTCCTGGGTTTAAGCGATCCTCCCACCTCAGCCTCCCATGTAGCTGGGACCACAGGTGCACACCACCACGCCCGGCTCATTTTTTGTATTTTTGGTAAAGATGGGATTTTGCCATGTTGCCCAGGCTGGTTCGAACTCCTGGACCCAACTGATCCACCCGCCTCAACCTCTCAAAGTGTTGGGATTACAGGTGTGAGCCACCACACCCCGCCTTGCCTTTTTATTTCAATTAACTCAAAAATAAAATTAAAGTTTGAGCCGGGCATGGATGGCTCAAACTTTAATTTTATTTTTGAGTTAACTGAAATAAAAAGGCCTCCTTTCGGAGGCCAAGGCGGGTGGATTTCTTGAGTCTGGAGTTCAAGACCAGCCTGGGCAACATGACAAAACCCCGTCTCTACCAAAAATACAAAAAATGAGCCAGGCATAGTGGCACACACCTGTGTTCCCAGCTACTTGGGAGGCTGAGGTGGGAAGATCACTTAAGCCCAGGAGACAGAGGCTGCAGTGAGCCAAGATTATGCTACCACATTCCAGCCTGAGTGACAGAGTGAGACTCTGTCTCAAAAATAAATAAATAAATAAATAAAGTTTTTTAAAAAATTAAAGTTTGATCAGAGACTGTTGCTTAACTCATTGACAATTTCAATATAAGCAAAATACCTGGTGATTCTTCATTTCCTCTTCTCTCCTTTGCTGAAGCTGCTTTAATTGCACTTGGAGCTGATTCTCCACTTGCCTCTGTTTGTCCAGGACCTCCTGGTAACGCTCTTTCAACAGGGTTCTCTCTGTCATCATTTTATCCTATTATGAACAAGACAAGAAAAGCTTATTTCCTAATTTAATCACAAGAAACATTCACCAGTGCCTGTCCAAGGCATTGTATAGAGCTCTATGACCGCACTATCCAATAATGAAGCTACTCTACTAGCCATATGTGGCTATATTCAGTAAAATATGATGAGATTGGCTGGGGATGGTGGCTCACACCTATAACTGTAGTACTTTGGGAGGCTGAGGCGGGCGGATCACTTGCATTCAGGGATTCGAGACCAGCTTGGGCAACATGGCAAAACCTGGACTCTAAAAAAATACAAAAATTAGCTGGGCATGCCAGTACTCCACTGTAGTCCCAGCTACTTGGGAGGCTGAGGTGGGATGATCGCTTGAGCCTGGGAGGCAGAGGTTACAGTGAGCTGAGATCGTGCCACTGCACTTTAGCCTAGGCGACAGAGCAAGACTCTGTCTCAAAAAAGCGTCCGGGAACATGATTCCTTACTGGTTAACAACACTGAAAACTGATGGATCCACTAAAGAGGCCTGGGAACCTGGTATTCAGACTGAACAACTCAGCAAGCTTTCATATAAAGTCGGGATTAGAAGAGAGACTCCTAGGCAAGGCACGGTGGCTCCAGCCTATAATCTCAGCTTTGAGGGGCCAAGGCAGGAAGACTGCTTGAGGCCAGAAGCTGAAGACCAGCCTGGGCAACATAGTAATACCTGGTCTCTACCAAAAAATAACAATAATAAATAAATAAATAGAAGTGCTTCTGAAAACAGTTTAGCTCTGCCACCCCCATGTCAGTAAATCAAGAAAATCAATGGTTACCTTTCAAAGGGACACTAAAATTTGAAGAGGGTCAACTTAAAACACATTTAGTATGAAGTAGCCCATATAATATTTAAACTGAGAGCACTAAACTGAATTTTTTCATTAAATAATAACCATTTTCAAAGAAAAAAAATTTTTAAAACAAATGAGGAAAATATCCTATTATAATCATTTTAACAAAAGGCTCTCAAGGCTGGGCGCAGTGGCTCACGCCTGTAATCCCAGCACTTTGGGAAGCTGAGGCGGGTGGATCACTTGAGGTCAGCAGTTCGAGACCAGCCTGGCCAACACAGTGCAATCCCATCTCTACTAAAAATACAAAATTAGCCAGGCATGGTGGCACATGCCTGTAATCCCAGCTACTTGGGAGGCTGAGGCAGGAGAATCACTTGAACCTGGTAGGCAGAGGTTGCAGTGAGCAGAGACTGTGCCCCTGCAGTCCAGACTGGGTGACAGAGCGAGACTCCGTCTCAAAATAAATAAATAAATTAATTAATTAATTAATAAAAAAGGCTCTCAAGATAGGACCTTGGCTTTGGGACAAGCTAATCTTTAGTCCATGTACTGAAATGTGACTAATGTGTCCCAAACAGCTGATTACTCAGCATCACACCTTTCCAGGGATTCTGAACCTGGCTTCTACAGGTGGACCCCGGAATCTTTGAACTCTCTGCAACTGATGAATGTATATATTTTTCTGAGATAAGAATTCAAAGTTTCCAAAAGATTCTGAAAGAGGATCTTAACCAAAGAAAAGTTGAAACCAGTAGATTATTCTTTTCTGAGACAGAGTCTCACTCTGTCGCCCAGGCTAGAGTGCAGTGGTGCAATCTCGGCTTACGGCAACCTCCGCCTCCCGAGTTCAAGCAATTCTCTCTGCCTCAGCCTCCAGAGTAGTTGGGATTACAGGCACCCGCCACCACGTTCGGCTAATTTTTGTATTTTTAGGAGAGATGGGGTTTTGCCATGTTGGCCAGGCTGGTCTTGAACTCCTGACTTCAGGTGATACCCCTGCCTTGGCCTCTCAAAGTGCTGAGATTACAGGTGTGAGCCACTGCACCCGGCCTCACTGCCTTTTTAAAAGCATGTGGACCTCACTACCACCCAAAAGATAGAGCCAAACAAAACTCAACCCTGGGCCTCTTCTGGCCCAGTAACTTGCTGGGTTTCCATTCGTTCCTGTTTCATCTACTTGACTGTTACAATTAAGTCCCAAGTTGCTAGTCTCTATTTTAAAACTTTTCTTGGCTTCATCTGGTTAATGTACACCAGTAACTTTTTTCCGTATGCCCTTCAATTTCTTCAACTTGCACCAAATATCCACTCTCTTATCTGGTTGCTACAAGCACTTTCCCTTTTTATACCACTCTTTATAAATTAACATATCTTACCCTAAAGACCTCTTCCTGGGGTGCCTTTCCCAGCATTACCTTCCCTTTAAAAAGTGTACATTTAGATATCCATATACTTAAAGGTGGAAGTTTTAGCCACAAAAGGCCAGGGATGGATCAAAGGGAGCATTTTAACAAAGGTAAGTGTGACGTTCTCTTCAAAAGCCAACTATCTGGGGATAAAATTAAAAAGACACAAGTAAATAATACATGAAAAAAAGACTGGATGGAATTTGACTAAAAGCTTAACAGTATGAAAAAACTGCCAAAATAAGTCAATGTAAGCTTAAGAAATAGTGTCTAGAATGAGAGATACTGAGAGATCCCACTGTATTATAAAGTAATTATACTGTATCTGTACTATTATATATGGTTCTCAAGATCACTTTTTAAAACAAATATTGATAAAATAGAACATGTCTAAGTGAAAGTAACCAGAATGATGATAAAGAAATGGAAAATAGTATCAAAATAGTATCAAAAAGAATACTAAAAACATCTGAGGATGTTTCACCTGGAAAGGTTTGAACTTGGGGAGTAAGAGAATAAGAGCAGGAGGCATAAAAAAACTTCAAATATACACATGGCTAACAAGCAGGAAAGGAACTGGATTTATTCCATAAAGCTCAAGAGAAAGCTACAATAAGAACTTTTTTTTTTTTTTTTTGAGACAGATTCTCACTCTGTCACCAGGCTGGAGTGCAGTGGTGCAATCTCAGCTTACTGCAACCTCTACCTCCCGGGTTCAAGCAATTCTCCTGCCTCACCCTCCTGAGTAGCTAGGACTAGAGGCATGCGCCACCACACCCAGCTAATTTTTGTATTTTTAGTAGAGATGGGGTTTCACCATATTGGCCAGGATGGGCTCAATCTCTTGACCTCGTGATCTACCCGCCTCGGCCTCCCAAAGTGCTAGGATTACAAGCATGAGCCACTGTGCCCGGCCTAAAGCAAGAAGCTCACTGCCACCTCAGCCTCCTGGGTTCAAGCAATTCTTCTACCTCAACCTCCCAAGTAGCTGGGATTACAGGCTAATTTTTGTTTTTTTGTTGTTGTTTGTTTGTTTTTGAGAGAGTCTCACTCTGTCACCCAGGCTGGAGTGCAGTGGTACGATCTCGGGTCACTGCAATCTCTGCCTCCCAGGTTCAAGCTAATCTCATGCCTCAGCCACCCAAGTAGCTGGGATTACAGGCACACGCCACCACACCTGGCTAATTTTTTGTATTTTTAGTAGAGATGGGGTTTCGCCATGTTGCCCAGGCTGGTCTCGAACTCCTGCGCTCAGGCAATCTGCCTGCCTCAGCCTCCCAAAGCGCTAGGATTACAGACGTGAGCCACCGTGGCTGGTCTAAATTTTTGTATTTTTAGTAGGGACGAGGTTTCACCATGTTAGTCAGGCTGGTCTCAAACTCCTGACCTCAGGTGATCCACCCGCCTCAGCCTCTGAAAGTGCTAGGATTACAGGCGTGAGTCACCGCGCCCGGCCTGAAGCAAGAAGTTATAAGGTTTTTATCTTCATCTCAGAACAAAATCTAATAAGAGGTTTCATTTTTGTTTTTTGAGATGGAGCTTCTCTGTTGTCCAGGCTGGGGTGCAGTGGTGCAATCTTGGCTCACTGCAACCTCTGCCTCCTGGGTTCAAGCCATTCTCCTGCCTCAGCCTCCCGAGTAGCTGGGATTACAGGCACACACCACCACGCCCGGCTAATTTTTGTATTTTTAGTAGAGATGGGGTTTCACCACGTTGGCCAGCTTGGTCTCAAACTCTCAACCTCAGGTGATCCACCTGCCTTGGCCTCCCAAAGTGCTGGGATTACAGGCGTGAGCCACTGTGCCCGGCCTTTTTTTTTTTTTTTTTTTTTAATTTTTTTTGAGACAGGGTCTCACTCTGTCACCCAGGCTGCAGTACAATCGCACAATCACGGCTCACACAGCCTCGACCTCCTTGGCTCAGGTGAACAGGTGATCCTCCCACCTGTCTCCTGAGTAGCTAGGACTCCTGAGTAGCTAGGACTATAGGCATGCACCACCACACCTGGCTAATTTTTGTATTTTTTGTAGACATGGTGTTTCACTGTGTTGCCCAGGCTGGTCTCAAACTCCAGGGCTCAAGCGATCCACCCACTTCGGCTTCCCAAAATGTTAGGATTATGGGTGTGAGCCACTGTGCCTGGCCAATAAGAGCTATTTTTTTTTTTAAACGTAACTGGTTGCTTTGTGAGGTAGTAAGCTTCCCATCTTTGGAAGTGATCAAGGAAAAGTCACCTGACCATCTGTCAGGAATTTTATGAAAGGGACTCCTGCACCTTTTCCAACTGAGATGATATGCCTCTAGATCTTCTATTTGATAATGGCTTCATATAACAAGGACAGTTTAAATACTTACCAAATTCTTTTCAATATCTTGATCTGTGTTTACCTCTGAATCAGCTGTCTTAAAGTCAGTCTATAAAGGAAAAAAGTTATATTTAGAATCGTTCAGAGACACTTTAAAAGAGGCAGAATCACTAACACCTAGAATTCCGCCACAGGTAACTAACTTTTTACTCTTTCCCCTTACCAGCTTCCAAGCAAGCTAAGCAATGTAGTTCTGGCAAACGGACACCAACATCCACGCTGCATTAATCATCGGTCCCACAAAATAACCCAAACAAGACCCAATGACTGACTGAGAGAAAGCCTCAAGTCTGAGATGAGACGTCTGCCCTCTACAGTCTGTTGTGCCCATACTTTCTCCTACAACAAAGCACACCCGTCACTAGAAGGCAGGATACACTGTACTTCTTAAGATGTGACTCAGAGAATTAACAAGGATTCTTCCTGCAAGGTCAAAGATGATAAATATGAATGCTAATGTCCTGCACTCATCAGTTACTCAGTGAAAGAGACTACACGTAGGTCATAAAGTTCCTACTTGCCATAAGATTAGACAATGGCTACTGGCTTTCTTATTTACTGAACATCAGAATGAAGTCATTGTATGGCACTGTATGAGAGTAGTATGATGGTTGCTAGCAAAAAAAACAAAAAACAAAACAAGCCAGCAAGTTCTCCACCAAATATGAAGAAATATCTCCCACCCTGAACCCCACCACCCCCCAATTACATTTTAGTAGTAGAAACTTGACACTTGACCTGTACAGCAATGTTCTGAGAAAGCTTCAGGGAAGAGCTATCTTGATCATCATCCTGATCCACTCGGACTCCTTCAACCCCATTTGCTGGAGACACTACAGGTCGGAAATCCAAGCTTGTGTCCCTGTTACCTTCCTTTAGGATGGAGGTTTGTGGGGATTTCTCTTCAGAGCAATTCCTGGAGGCAAGCTGCTTAGTATGGCACCCTGCCTTAAGAGACCGAGTGACTGGATGGAGGCTCTCCCGAAGGCTTGTGTCCCCCTCCTCTCCTGCTGTGCTGGCCACATCCTTCAAATCAGACTGAGACCCACTGCCAGAAAGACAAAGGGCTGTGGCTATCAAGTTTTCTCCTAAAACCACCTGGTGCGCTGCTGAGGTGTCACCTGCTGATGAACCAGGATTCTGCTCTGAGTGCTCCAAATGGACATTTCTGTTATTCTCCTTGGTTATTGTTTGGCTACTTACACTCAACAGAGGCGAGTTCTTCTGCTTCTGTGCAGAGTCTTTGGTGCTATCAAACACACAAGATAAAAAGAAAAGTATATAATACTTTCAACCTAACTACTAGAAGAACAAAACTAGACTACGTAAACCCTCCCGACTATCATAATGAAAGAACTTAGTTTCAATCCAATGATTTCTATCCTGTATGCAGGTAGTATAGCCTGGTGGTTAAGACCTAGTTTTTTGTTTTTGGTTTTGTTTTTAGAGAGGTTCTAAACTCTGTCACCCAAGCTAGAGTGCAGTGCCGCCATCAAGGCTCACTACAGTCTCAACATCCTTGGCTCAAGCAATCCTCCACCTCAGACTTGTGAGTAACTAGGACTACAGGCACATGCCACTACGCCCAGCTAATTTTTTGTATTTTTTGCACGGTTTTGCCATGTTGCCCAGGCTGGTCTCGAACTCCTGTACTCAAGGGATCCATCTGCCTGCCTCAGCCTCCCAAAGTGTTGGAATTATAGGCGTGAGCTGGCCAAAAACCTGGGTTCTACAGTAAATGGCCAAACATAAATGATTCTGAAGATCCAAATAATTTTTGAGTGCCAATTTTAATAACTTTTGGGGATACCGATGAATTAGCCTAATACTAGTTAGAATATTTAATTTAGTTACATGTATTAATTTAGTTATACATAATATTATAATCAAATATTAACTTAGAAGTATTGTTTTTATTCCTCTCTCACCTTTCACAGGAATAATTTTCATTCAAACTCATTATACAGATCTTTGACCAGAACCACTTTTTAGGTTCTTCAACAGTTTTCCAGAGTATAGAACCTACACTTTAAGTTGTCTAAAGTACAATTTTGAATCCAAAATTGAAGCTGTCAATAGAAATTTTATCCCACACAGTAAGTATACATATGCTTAACATTAGGATATTCTGTCACTTGTCACAGCCATTCAAGGTATTGCTTTTATTTTTTATTTATTTATTTATTTTTTGAGACAGGGTTTCACTTTGTCACCCAGGCTGAAGTGAGGTACTGCTTTTTAAAGGGGACTTTAAAACATATTTACAATGACATCCAACATTCACAATTGCACATCTTTCACCCAGGAATTACGCCTATGTTTAATTTCTTTGACCCCACCCTCTTTTTTTAAACTAATTCTATAACTGACACTCTTAACCATACCCAACTAGCAATGGGGATTCAAGTTGATGCGTCTTTGTTTCCTCAGTCGTACTAGTTCAAAATAAAACAACTGAAAGAATATCTCGCTGGGGAGCAATGGCTCATGCCTGTAATCCCAACACTTTGGGAGGTCAAGGCAGGAGGATCATTTGAGGTCAGGAGTTCAAGACTAGCCTGGGAAACATAGCAAGACCCTCTCTCTACATAAAAATTTAAAAATTAGCCAAGTGTAGTGGCGTGCACCTGTAGCTTCAGTTACTTGGGAGGCTGAAGTGAGAGGACTGCTTAAGCCCAGGAGGTGGAGGCTGCAGTAGGCCATGATCGCACCACTGTACTCCAGCCTGGATGACAGATGGAGACCCTGTCTCAATAATATTAATAAAAACACTCGAAGCTGATTCCTTCCTGCTGGGAGTTAACTGTGAGCGGGTGCTTAATTAAAAATTCAGGCATATACAGTACCTGAGTTTGAATCCTGACTCCGCCCACCATTTACAAGCTGTTTGACTCTCGGCAAGTTACCTCATTTGTAAAACAGAAATAATACTATCCACCTAACAAGACTGTTGTGAGGATTACATGAGATAATGCACATAAAGTACTCAGTACAGTGCCTGGCACATAGTAAACATTCAATAAACCTTAGCTGCCATTATTACTAGTGTATGAAGTTGATTTTATTTATCAAAACTCTGACTCCAACATAGCTTGGAAACCTTGGGCAAATTACTAACCTCTCTGTGTCTCAGTTTCCTCACCGGTAAATGCGAATAATATTATCACTACCTCCTGGGACTGTTGTGAAGATTAAATGTGTTACCACGTATGGAACTGTAGTTAAGTGTTAGCTACTGTATTAGGGGACCCAGGTACACTGGAAAAGAGTTGAGGGACGGCCAGGTGCGGTGGCTCATGCCTGTAATCCCAACACTTTGGGAGGCTGAGGCGGGCGGATCACAAGGTCGGAAGATCGAGACCATCCTGGACAACATGGTGAAACTCTGCCTCTACTAAAATACAAAAAATTAGCCGGGTGTGGTGGCGGGCGCCTGTTGTCCCAGCTACTCAGGAGGCTTAGGCAGGAGAATCGCTTGAACTCGGGAGGCAGAGGTTGCAGTGAGCGGAAATCGCGCCACTGCACTCCAGCCTGGGTGACGGAGCAAGATGCCATCTCAAGAACAAAAAAAAAACAAAAAAATTGACGGAGCTAGGTGCAGTGGCTCATCCCTGTAATTCCAGCACTTTGGGAGGCCAAGACGGACAGATCACTTGAGGTCAGGAGTTCAAGACCAGTCTGGTCAACATGGTGAAACCCGGTCTCCACTAAAAATACAAAAATTAGCCGGGCTACCAAGCAGGTGCCTATAATCCCAGCTACTAGGGAGGCTGAGGCAGGAGAATCACTTGAACCCGGGAGGCAGAGGTCGCAGTGAGCCAAGATCGCACCACTGCACTCCAGTCTGGGGGACAGGGCAAGAGTCTCTCTCAAAAAAAAAACAGAGTTGAGGAAGAATACACAGTCAGCCTCTTTATGTAGAATGTGGTCCACATTCATGGACTCAACCAACCATGGACTGAAAATATTCAAAAGGATAAACGTTTGTGATGATGGACATGCTAATTACCCTGATCTGATCACTATACATCACATACACCACAACATCACTATGTACCCCCATGAATACGTACAATTATCGTGTCCATTTTTTAAAATATAAAAATAAATCACTGAAAAGTAAAATACCCAGTCTGGCCAACGTGGCAAAACCCCGTTTCTACTCAAATACAAAAATTAGCCAGGCGTGGTGCTGGGCGGCTGTAATCCTAGCTACTTGGGAGGCTGAGGTAAGGGAATCCAGGAGACGTTTGAACCCAGGAGACGGAGGTTGCAGTGAGCTGGGTTCACGCCATTGCACTCCAGTCTGGGCGACAGAGCGAGACTCCATCTCAAAAAAAAAAAAAAAAAAAAAGGCTGGGCGTGGTGACTCACGCCTGTAATCCCAGCACTTTGGGAGGCCGAGGCAGGCGGATCACGAGGTCAGGAGATCGAGACCATCCTGGCTAACACAGTGAAACCCCGTTTCTACTAAAAATACAAAAAATTAGCCGGGCGTAGTGGCGGGCGCCTGTAGTCCCAGCTACTGGGGAGGCTGAGGCAGGAGAACGGCATAAACCCGGGAGGCAGAGCTTGCAGTGAGCCGAGATCGCGCCACTGCACTCCAGCCTGGGCCAACAGAGTGAGACTCCATCTCAAAAAAAGAAAAGTGAAATAGATTTGAAACCATTAAAAAAATTTTCAGAAAAAAATTGGATGGTTGCATCTGTACTGAACATGTACAAACTTTTTTACCTGTCATTATTCCTTAAACAACACAACTATTTACATAACATTTACATTGTATTAGTTGTTGTAAATAACCTATTGTTTAAAGTATATGGGAGGACATGCATAGGTTATATGCAAATACTACACCACTTTATTTATTTTTTATCTTTTTAATAGCTTTAAGTAGGGTGGGCATATGCCTATCCCAGATAAAATACTACACCATTTTATGTAAGGGACTTGAGCATTTATAGATTTTGGTATCCTCAGTAGGGGTCCTGGAACCAATCTCCAGCATATACTGTGGGATGACTATATAGCTAATTTAGTTCAACACTGTACATAACAATGTATCATATTAGCTACTATGAGATATAAGTTTGGGTAATTGTGTATCTGTATGTATACATATTTAGATATCCATGTACACATACTGATATAACATTTCTCATATATAACATATAAACATATGGTTAAATGAACATACAGTCCACGTAGGAAAGGGCTGGAAAATGTTTGCATTTTTTAATGAGTTTGACCCCATGTATTCTATTCTATTTATTCCCCAAACATTTAGCATGCCTGCTGAGTATCAGGTGCTGTGTTGGATACCAGAAATACAAAGATAGATCAGACAGTCCTGTACCTTTAAAAAGCTAGTGCAGTGCCATCAGAGCCAAAAAGAAAGACCAGCTACACAAGACCATCTCAAAAACCCTTTACCCAAATGAATCTTCCCAGTCAGGAGTCCACACATTACCTTAGACCATCTGGGAGACCTTCGTCTGATTTGGAAGCACATAAACTAGAAGATTCCGGAGGACTGGGGGCATTGGCCACAACACCAGCAACCTCAGACGCTGCCATTATGCTCTGTACATTCAGAAACAAATTACAGGCTACAAGTTTCCAAAGTTTAAAACAAATGTATCTCTCCCCCCTCAGAATGTCCACACAACAGAGCTGTCGCAGTAAAGAAACACAAAAACCTGGGCTCCGGGAGAAAATACTTAAGAGTACTAAAAGAGACATTGTATGCAAAGTCCTAGTGTCCTAGTGGGCAGCAATCCTCAGGAGTCACTGTATTTACATAAATATCTAGGAGTCTGTGCAAAGATCTTATTTTCACTTTTGGCAGAAATGTAGTCATTTCAAACAATACATCTTAGTCTGCCAGGATCTTCCAAGTGGTCCCAGGCCTACCTTGTCTGCTATCATTTTTAATAAAAGACGTACTTTTCGGCCTAGTATCAATCAGATCTCATGTTTTTAAATCACTTTATGGCTGTTACATTCAAAGCATTCTCCATTAATTTAAGGGAAGTTTTTGGAGGTGTCTGCCTGTAAGTCAACAAGTAATGCAATACTGGGCAATCCAGGGTGCATATTTTACTGTCAGCGTGCTCCCCACAGATGGGAAAGGCCTGATACCCACTAACTGAGCAAAGAACAGACTCTTCAGAGTGACTAGTGGTGCAAAAAAGAATCCTGGGTTCTCTAGCGTGAAAAAGTCAAGGTAAAAAACATGGTAACACAAGTAAGGGAACTGGGACGGACGCCTTTTTTAAAAATCAAAAGGTCATCTTTTATGCCGCAGAGCAAACTTATGACCTTATGAGGAGAAAAGAAAATCAAAATACTTGGGAGGTGGGGATGAACATCGGGTTAGTTTGCATTCTTGCTTTTATTTTAACAGCATCACACGTATTCCCCCCCGGAACACTGAAGAGCGCATAGGGCAGATAGGTAGATGGGGCTGTGTCAACACCTCAGTCACAGCCCACAGACCCTCTGTGCCTCAGTTTCCCTCATTATACAAAGCTCCTGGGAGAAAATGGGCCCAAACCGCCATTGCTGCTCCCTCAGGTGCAAACATCCCGTCTCCAACATAGCCCAGGGCTGGGGGGTCCTCTGCGCCCGGTGAACGAAACCCCAGGACAAGGGCCATGCATGCAACTCCGTGGCTAGAGAGCCCGTGGCGCGGGTAGGAACAGCTGGCTGGAGGGTCGAGTGTACCAAAAAGAACTCCGCAACCCGGGGCGACCACCAGCGAAGCAGGGGCGCCGGAGCCACGGGTCCTCGGGCGAGAACAGGGGACAGACGGGAAGGGGACAATGGGGGGAAGCGGCGCTGGGTGGCCTTGGCCACCCCCCACAGGGGACTGCTAGGCTGGCCGCTGGCTCGGACCAGACCCCCCTCCACCCCTTCCCCTCGGTCCCCCCACCCCGCTGCCAGCCACCCCCCCGTCCCACTTCTAGGCCGGGACCCCCGCCTCGGTTCTCACAGCACCCTCCACGCCCCCCACCCGACCCCCATGCCCGGCCCTCGCCCCGCAACCCCCACCCACGCTCGCCCCGCACACACCTCCCGCGCCGCGCCCCCGGGAGGAAAGTGGGGGAGGGACGGGACGCACCTGAGCGGGCGGAGCGGGGGGAGGGGGCGGCCGAGCCACGGGGGGAGGGGTCGAGCGCCGGCCCGCGCGCGGCACCTCCCACTTCCGGCGGCACGAGCGGAGGGGGCGAGGCTCCGGCCGCGAGAGGAGAGGCCGCGGTGGCGCCGCGCCGCCCCCGACGGCGCCCTCTGGCGGCGACAGCTGGCGCCGCCGGGGCACGGGGATGCTGCGGGAGACCCCTGAGATACAAGTGGACTCTCCCGGGGCGCGGGGAAGAAGGGAGAGCCGACTGCGAGAAGGAAGGCGACCTGGGTGGGCAGGATCCCCTCTGGGAAGATTACAGGGACAGTCGGGGCCATGGCGGTCAGAAGGAGAAGAGCAACGAGTGGCTTTTAAAGGTCGGAACCGAAATGCCCTTTACAGAGGACGCCATGAAGGAGAGCCTTCTGAAGAGGGACCATGTGGAAGATGCCCCGAGGACTCGGGGAGGCGGAGCCCGCGGGTTCAGCCCCCAGCGCCCGCACGGCCCCTGCCTGCGTAGGCCGCCCGCGGGAGCCGGACCCCGGGCGCCGGTTGCTGTGGCCCGCGGGGGTCGCCGGGCCGCAGGCGCCGCGCTGATTGGCTGCGCCGCGGGCGGAAGTGATGCTGCTGTCACTGCTCCTCCGGCTCCCGGGAAGCCGCGAGTTTCCGCAGGGAGGCGGCGGCAGCTGCGGCGGGGCCGGTGAGTTGGGAACTAGGTGTGGGGCTGGACCTGGGTGGTCAGGGGGCCCCAGAAGTGGGGGAAGCCGGCGTCTGAGGATGAGGGAGCTGCACAGAGGGTGCCTGAGGTCCTGGCGTGGGGGACCAAGGAGATGGGGCCCCAGGGCCCAGAATTCCTGGATAATGTGGGTGCTAATGAGGAGAGGGGCACATTGCACGGAGCGATCGAGGCCGACGGAGGGAGAATCGGGAAACTGACCCGGTACCCAAGCTGGCTTCTAGGAGCCGGGTGTGGAACAGCGAGGACAGTAGCTTGGGAGCAGGATCTTGGACTCCAGGCTGCCCATTCTCTTCTTCCTTGTCAATTAAGAGCTGTAAAGGGAGGCCTAGCCGTTGGGAGAGGTTGAGACCTGCTTTCAGAAGGCATTTAAGGTTCCTTTCCCAGAAGCCTGGGGGATAAAAATGCTGCTTTGCCACTAGTAGACAGAAGGAGCTCCTGCTTCTCTTTCTTCCTGACATCTGTGGTGGGATCTACTGAGTCTGAAGGAGTCTGCCTAGCGGGGCCACTGTCTGGCTAACAAGGGTTTTGTTTGTTAGTTTGTTTACTTAGTAGAGTATGCAGACTGGGGAAGACACCTAAATATCTTGGGAGAATTGAGGCTCCCGGGGGCAGGGAGGGATTGAGAGGGAATATGCCTGGAAACCTAAGAGAAAACGAGAGGAAGAAATGTAGTATGAAGATTTTTAGAGGTAAAGGAGAGGTGGCATAAGTTCTCCTTTCCAGGAAGCCTTTCAGTAAAATTCCCATTTTTCTGGAATGCTTTGAGGTAGAGCCGCTTGGGTGTGTATCTGAGTACTAAGCCCTGCCCCAGGGTGGACCCAGTGGAGAGCAAAGGCTTTTAAAGGAGCCCAGCCACCATAGGTACACACATGTCCTGCCACCCCATTTGTCTGTCCCCCAGTTCTAACTTGGCTCTTTTTTTTTTTTTTTGAGGGCTCCTGAGACCAATTCCCTGGTTCTGTCAAACCCAGGCAATTGGAGTCCCAGTCTGGAGTCTGAGTCCTCACCTTGAAGCCAGCCTCCTGAGCTCAGTACAGGAGTAGCTGCTTAGTGAGGTTCTCTCATCATTCGTTCTCTCCTGGTTGCCCGCTTGTCCTTGGTGCCTGTTCTGTTTTGTTTGCACTCTCTGGCTTTCCCCGTTTCGCCCCCGCCGCCTCCCTCCTTTCACTTTCCCTGGTATCCTTCTGGGATATACAAATCAAGAAGTTAGCTACCACCTGGACTTCTAGGACGTTATTACCTACTCTTTCAAGAGGCATTTTGGTAACTGTTTTTTGCTAGGCCTCTGGGGAACAAAATGAAAAGAGGGTGGCACGATAGCACAGGAAGTGGGTTTTTTGGGTGTTATACTGATTTGGCCTCACCGTACCAGTTCTGCTCCAGTCTATGACCGATTTTAGATCTTTGGAAATGACAATTAATGAAGTTTCTTTGGTCCCTGGTCCTGGAGTTTATCTAACCTCAGCTTGTTGCCCTGGGATTGGTGGGACATTATTTCTTCTGTTCTTGGATCCCACAGGTCTGTAGCCTTTGCTGAGTCAACACTACTCACAGTGAAAGTGATGCCTTTTCTCCATTTGCACAACATGAGTGTGACGTGGTTAGCCAGACCAGGAGCTCAACCTCATGTAGAATCCAGGTGGGCACGGGGCCCTGTTATGGGGAATTAGCCTTGAGGACAACTGGACTGAGGAGTCAGCTAGGGAAAGATTTATGTCCCCTCTAAATGTAGGGGTGAAGGGGTTGTCTCTGCTAAAGAACAGTCACGATGCAGCCAGTAGTTTGTGGAAGCGATGTGTGCTTTGAGCCCTGTGGGTGGCAACAGGGGTTGCTCGCAGTGCCTGTGAGCAACTGGACCTCCTGCTGGATTAGCTGGTGTCGTGAGGATTGGCTGTCTTGCTGTGGGAGGCCATCCGCTGGTGTTAGTGCTGGCCCACACTCCACCTGGGGGCTTATCCCTGTTGGTCAGGGATAAATGTGAACAAAAAGAGAAGATCAAATGTTTCACAATTTAAAAGGCATGGCTTAGGGACTTCCAGGGGGAACACATGGATGGCTCAGCATCTCCCTCTCAGATTCCTGCAGTTACCAGCTCTTTGATCTCTTCCATATCCTTTTTCTTTGTCTGCAGTCCACTGCTCTGATGCCGAAGGGGAGGCAGAAAGTGCCACACTTGGATGCCCCCCTGGGCCTGCCCACCTGCCTCTGGCTGGAATTAGCCGGGCTCTTCTTACTGGTTCCCTGGGTCATGGGCCTGGCAGGGACAGGTGGGCCTGATGGCCAGGGCACAGGGGGGCCGAGCTGGGCTGTGCACCTGGAAAGCCTGGAAGGTGACGGGGAGGAAGAGACTCTGGAGCAGCAGGCGGATGCCTTGGCCCAGGCAGCAGGGCTGGTGAATGCTGGACGCATCGGAGAGCTTCAGGGGCACTACCTCTTTGTCCAGCCTGCTGGGCACAGGCCGGCCCTGGAGGTGGAGGCCATCCGGCAGCAGGTGGAGGCTGTGTTGGCTGGGCATGAAGCTGTGCGCTGGCACTCAGAGCAGAGGCTGCTAAGGCGGGCCAAGCGCAGCGTCCACTTCAACGACCCCAAGTACCCGCAGCAATGGCACCTGGTGAGTCCAGTCCTGCAGTTTGCAGTTTCAGGTGGGTAGGTTCCAGTCCAGTTCTTTAATGGGCTTTTGACTATATCACTCTTCAGTCACCTCCATCCTTTGCCTGAGGGACCATTTCCCGGTTCTGTGGTGTTTCCCTAGGCTCTCCCTCCCTTCTACTGTCTTCTAGAGGCCGGTGTTCTACAGTGCTCAGGGCACAGATGGTGCAGCCAGGCTGCCTGGGCTCATGGTCCAGCTCTGCCACTTACTAGCATGTGCATTTGGGCAAGCTGCTTAAACTCTGTGCCTCAGCTTCTCCATCTGTAAAGTGGAGATTGTAATAGTGCCTACCTCATAGAGTTATGGTTAGGGTAAGTGAATGTATACATGTGTAGCACTTAGAACCATGCCTGACACATGGTAAACACTATGACATAAGTGATACGATACTACCATTGGCATAAGAGGTGTATCATCTGGCCCGGTGCGGTGGCTCACGCCTGTAATCCCAGCACTTTGGGAGGCCGAGATGGGCAGATCACGAGGTCAGGAGATCAAGACCATCCTGGCTAACACAGTGAAACCCTGTCTCTACTAAAAATACAAAAAATTAGCCAGGCGTGGTGGCAGGCGCCTGTAGTCGCAGCTACTCGGAAGCCTGAGGCAGGAGAATGGCGTGAATCCGGGAGGCGGAGCTTGCAGTGAGCCGAGATCCTGCCACTGCACTCCACACTCCAGCCTGGGTGACAGAGCAAGACTCCGTCTCAAAAAAAAAAAAAAAAAAAGAAGTGTATCATCCAACCCTTCACCCTAGCTACCATTTTATCCCGAATCCCCCATGACTGATGACAAACTTTCCTAGAATCCAAGGCTGTGGCAGAGCTCTCACCTGCTCCTCCTTGACTCTGTTCCCACCTGACCTATTGGTCTGCAATCTGTCTGGCTCTTTGGTGGAGGCCAAGGGTGAAAAGGGGCTGCTAGCTATAACTTCATCTCCCTCTGGGCTGTGCTATGTGTCACTGTATTCCCATCCTGTCTCTCTTACAGAATAACCGACGGAGCCCGGGCAGGGACATCAACGTGACGGGTGTGTGGGAACGCAATGTGACTGGGCGAGGGGTGACGGTGGTGGTAGTGGATGACGGAGTGGAACACACCATCCAGGACATTGCACCCAACTATGTGAGTGGCCCTGGAACGACACCCCTCACTCCCCACGTCTTACCTCCTTCTTGATGTTGCCTCAGTCTTGTCCCCTTTTCTAGAGGTCTTTGGGCCAAATAAAAGAGCCTGGGAGGTGGGATGGGGTTCATCCTCTTCTTTTCCCTAGCTAGCCAGTCAAGGCACAGCAGGTGGCTCTAACTCTAAGAACAATCCTGCTCTCAGTTCTAGTCCTTTTCTGAGGAGTAAGGAGTGGCCCCTGCAGGCAACTTCCCTCTTGTTGGAAATCCGAGTGCCTTCCTCTCTCTAAAGCGTGGCCTCTAGGGAGCCCTACCTGCCTTTTTTCCAGGTTTCCCAAGCCGTGGAGCTGTAGGCACATTCGCATAATGGGCAAGAGAAGTTTGCTGGGAGCTGTGGCACTTCTCAGTTTTGCCCCAGTGTCCTTTGCTCATATCTTTTAGCCAGTGTGGTTTGCAGATAGAAATGGGCTTATTGGGTCCGGGCGCGGTGGCTCACGCCTGTAATCCCAGCACTTTGGGAAGCCAAGGCGGGCGGATCAGGAGGTCAGGAGTTTGAGACCAGCCTGGCCAAGATGGTGAAACCCCGTCTCTACTAAAAATACAAAAATTAGCCAAGTGTGGTGGCGCTCACCTATAGTCCCAGCCACTCGGGAGGCTGAGGCAGAAGAATCGCTTGAACCTGGGAGGCAGTTGTTGCAGTGAGCTGAGATTGTGGCACTGCACTCCAGCCTGGGCAACAGAGTGAGACTCCATCTCAAAAACAGAAACGATGAGAAATGAGCTTATCGCCCTAGCTTCGATTCCCAAACTCCCATTTCCTTTCTGTCCCTGAACCCCAGGACCTGATCCCCTCTAACCAGTGAATGACCACATGTCACCTCCAAAATATTTCAGAGCCCTGAGGGTAGCTATGACCTCAACTCTAATGACCCTGACCCCATGCCCCACCCGGATGTGGAGAATGGCAACCACCATGGCACGCGATGTGCAGGAGAGATCGCGGCTGTGCCCAACAACAGCTTCTGTGCCGTGGGCGTGGCCTACGGGAGCCGCATCGCAGGTAACTTGTGCCTCCAGCCTAGCCTTGGTAGGCTGCTCCTGTGACCACAGTCTTCATTTCCTGCACCCCTCCCTACTCTGAAACATCTTTATCCCATAGCCCAGCTGACACACATAGCATAGAGCAAGGGTGAGTTTATAATAGGTGTCTGTAGGACATATCAGCTCATTGATTTTTCAGTGCAGTGGTGTTTCAAACATGTTTTTCTATTTATAGTTCCATAAATTACAAAGTGCCTTCTTGTCGGTTTTTCCTCTATGATCCGATACGTCTATGGTGGCAGCCTTTGCATTTCCCAGCTCCCCAGCTCCCCAGCTCCCAGTCCCACTGATGGTCACGGGCTGCTCTCCATCCTTTTGGGGGAGCTGAGCAGCCCTATTCCTCCCTGGAGGTGGTTCTGTGGTTCTTTCACACTCAACGTCTGTCCATCAAGGCAAAAGGTGAAGGGAATGAATGGGGAAGCCCTCACCATAACTCCTTATGTGCTTGGGAACCTACAGACTGAACAGACTATTCCTCTTATACTCCAGCAGAGGGCAGTAGCTCTCCATAAATGAGACCGGAGGAGCCAGAAACCCTGTCCAAGTCCCTTCTCTGAAAGTGCCACAGCACTGCAGCCTGGGCGACAGAGCCAGACTTTGTCTCTCTCTATATATATATTTTTTTGGTGGGGGGACAAGTAATACGTATACATGGTGTAAAAATGCAAAATGGGCTGGGCGTGGGGGCTATGGGGATCACACCTGTAATCCCAGCACTTTGGGAGGCCAAGGCAGGCAGATCACTTGAGGTCAGGAGTTCGAGACCAGCCTGACCAATATGGTGAAACCCCATCTCTACTAAAAATACAAAAATTAGCCGGGTGTGGTGGCATGCGCCTGTAGTCCCAGCTACTTCGAGGCTGAGGCAAGACAATCGCTTGAACCCAGGAGGTGGAGGCTGCAGTGAGCCGAGATCATGCCACTGCACTCCAGTCTGGGTGACAAGTAAGACTTTATCTCAAAAAAAAAAAAAAGCAAAATGTACAAAGAGCATGTAGGGAAAAATAAGTCTCCCACATATGGCTCCCCACCTCCCAGTTCCCCGGCTAGGAGACCAGCATTAGTGAGGAGCTGCTGTGGCCTTCATTGCCTAGGTATCCGGGTACTGGATGGACCTCTCACAGACAGCATGGAGGCAGTGGCGTTCAACAAGCACTATCAGATCAATGACATCTACAGCTGCAGGTGAGGCAGAGCTGCAGATGAGAGGGCAAGAGCCTGGAGCACCTGGGACAAATCCGCCAACAAAATCCCAACCAGTGGGCTGACTTAGGCCGGAGCAGGGGTCTCCTCATTGGGTTCAGCTAATAAGTCCATTGCCTTCATTTCTCTAGATTCCCAGCCACTGGGCACTCAACCTTAAGCCCCCGTCACCCCCGTAATCAGATTGCCACATGAGAAGCCCTGGCCTGTGCACATTTATTTGTTTTCTAAACTCCTAAGGCCTCTGCAAGAAAGCGGGCTTTCTTCTCCATCCACAGGCCAGCTGAATGCCCAACACCAATCCCCCACCCCACGCCAATGCACTGCACCTTCAGGGCATGGCTGTGCTGGACTGGACAAGAAGGAAATGGGGTTGGGGGCCCACATGGCATTGATGGCACCTGTTCCTCCCCCGACATACCTCCCTTAAATCCATGACATCATCCACAGGGTACACTTCCCGATAGAGACAGAATAGAGAACTCCTCAACCTGAGAACCAAGAGCTTCCACAGAAGTTCATGGGCGCTCTGCCTTCTACCCTACGAGTTGGGCCAGGTGCGGTGGCTCACGCCTGTAATCCCAGCACTTTGGGAGGCTGAGGCATGTGGATTGCTTGAGGTCAGGAGTTCAAGACCTGCCTGACCAACATGGTGAAACCCCATCTCTACTAAAAATACAAAAATTAGCCAGGCTTGGTGGTGGGCACCTGTAATCCCAGCTACTCCAGAGGCTGAGGCAGGAGAATCGCTTGAACCTGGGAGGTGGAGGTGGCAGTGAGCCAAAATCGCGCCATTGCACTTCAGCCTGGGCAACAGAGGAAGACGCCGTTTCAGGAGAAAAAAAAAAAAAAAAAAAGGTCTACATGTCTCTGATCCCTAGATCAGGAGATGAGTGACCTCTGTCCCTCTCTGCCACTATGGGCTATGGGGACATTCACAAGGAAAAGAAGAGCCTTAGCACACTTCTGTTTTCCACTTTGGAGAGGGGATGGACCTTTGAACCCTGTGCCTTTTAATCACGGAAGCCTTTAAGTGGAACCCTTGGGAGGAGTTAAGAGCTGCAGGTCAAAGGGCAGCCAGCTGAGACTGGGAGGCGCTGGGTGGGTAGCCGCAGCCTGGCTCTGGCTGTCCCCTCTAGGTATTTATTTCTCAACAGCTGGGGACCAGATGACGATGGGAAGACAGTGGATGGCCCCCATCAGCTTGGAAAGGTAACTGGCCTGCACAAAGACTCTGAGAAACGGGATGCCCTCTTCATACAGTCCCGGGAGAACTGCTGCAAGTTGACCCATCTTCCCACTCCACCTCCACGCTCAGTCTCCTTTCAGGAAGAGAACACCTAACGTCGGGGCAGGAAGCCTAGGGGACGTTTGTTCCTAGAGAGGGAAATGGAACAGTGCTTTGAGATTGTTTCCCTTTCATCTTATCCTCAGCTCCCATGCCTGGCCCCACCCTGTCCTCTGATAAGCAGAGGGTGTCCATCAGTCATCATTCAACTCACAGCTGCCCCACATCCTGGGTCAACTCACAGCTCCCTCACATGCGGGGTCCATCTTCCAATCTTTCCCCCATGCCCAGTGCCCTTTGAACTTTTTTCCCTTTGTTTCTAGAAGGGGTGGAGAGGGTGACTGATGTGGTAGGCGGAGGTCTTTCTGTGGGTTCCTCAACTGACACCCTGATGTTTTGGCTCCTCAGGCTGCCTTACAACATGGGGTGATTGCTGGTCGCCAGGGCTTTGGGAGCATCTTTGTGGTAGCCAGTGGCAACGGAGGCCAACACAACGACAACTGCAACTACGATGGCTACGCCAACTCCATCTACACCGTCACCATAGGTAGTCACCCAATGTTTCTGTGCTCCTGTGTGTGTGTCACCGAAGGGTTAGGGCATCACACGTCTTGTCCTAGCTTCTGTGTGTGTCTAAATGTGTGAGCACAATAATCTCTTTGGGCTCAGATAGGACTAGCCCTGCTTGCAGAGGACCTTGGGACTTCTTAGATGTCAGCATACCCTGGGAACACCTTCAAGCCATCATCTGGAGATCACCGAGCTGCCTCCACCCCACCACAGCTGGTTAGGCCTCTGCTCTGGCCTGTCTTTCTGTGGGCCACCTTCTGCCTGCTGGAAGCCTCCCCTGACTCCCCACAGGCCTAAATTAAGTGCCCTTTGCCTGTGCTCCCAGTTAGCATGTGTTTATTTACTTACCTGACTTCTACCTGACTCTAGGCTCCTCGAGACTAGGACTGCGGCCTTTTCCATATGGCCCTGATGCCTGGCACGGGTGTGACCCACAGTAGATGGGTAATGAATGTTGAAAACAGTAAGCATGTGAATGAATAAGTGGGTATGAAGGTAGAAGGCTGCCAGTTGTACCCCAGAGCCTACTGAAAGAATGGTATTGCGGCACAGAATGCCCTCTGCCACTTGAGACTGCCTGTTCAGAAGAGGATCAGGACTGCTCTGAGGGACGTGGGCCGCTCAGATCATGTTTCAAACTCAGGACAGCCCCCCAGGATGGTAACTCCAAGATAACTGACATTAGCAAGCCCCTGCCACAGGACCCCCTCTGCATCTCAGCTCTAATCTCCCTCCTCTGTCCCTAGGAGCTGTGGATGAGGAGGGACGCATGCCTTTCTATGCAGAAGAATGTGCCTCCATGCTGGCAGTCACCTTCAGTGGTGGGGACAAGATGCTTCGGAGCATTGTGAGTGCCTCCCGGGCCCTCCACGGCCTGCCCCTTTCCCACAAGACTTCACGTCTCAGACATCACAGCGCTTCTCACTGTTCCCTGCTTCCCCGCCCCAACACTCAGGCTCCTCTTCCCCCACAGAGCTGGATGTCTTAAGGCATGCCACCCTTGGAGTAGTAGACTCGGGGACTCTGAATACATCTTGGGAATGCTTTTATCTTAGAAATTTGGATTTAGGACGAATATACATATTTTTAGAAACTAAGTGTCACATGGGGCCAAACATGGTGGCTCACTCCTGTAATCCCAGCACTTTGGGAGGCCAAGGCGGATGGATCACTTGAGGTCAGGAGTTCAAGACCAGCCTGGCCAACATGGTGAAACCCTGTCTCTACTAAAAATACAAAAATTAGCCTGGTGTGGTGGCGGGCATCTGTAATCCCAGCTACTTGGGAGGCTGAGGCAGGAGAATCGCTTGAAACAAGGAGGCGGAGGTTACAGTGAGCCAAGATTGCACCACTGTACTCCAGCCTGGGTGACAGAACAAGACTCCTTCTCAAAAAAAAAAAAGAAACTAAGTGTCACATGGATTAAACAACTTTTTCACACTCAAGGAAATGCACAAACAACTTCTTTGCAGTGTCTTCCTTTGGTAAAATTTGGGCTTTTGCTAATTTCTGTGGACTTAAAAAAAACTCCTAATTCCATTGCCCTTCAGCTCTTAGGTAAATACTGTGAGTTCTGGTCATGTGCATCTTCAGGAGGAAAGCTAGTCTGGTTGTCGTTTTTATGGGATGAGTGGGAAGAGGAGTGGGGGAATGTCTCATGTCAACACCAGAGAGAGCTCTTTCTCTGGAGCTATAATTGGAGCCATAGCAAATGAAATTCGAGCAGGGTCATGGAGCTTCTCTAACCTGTGGAACCCATTTAAAGAATTTGAAGACGATCGCCTACACCCAGCTGGGCTTAGCGCCATCCCAGCAGGTTTAAGGCAGGCCTCTAGACCATCTTCCTAGAGCTCCCTGCCTGTCCCTGTTGCCCGCAACCATATAGTGTGGGCATAGGAGGCTCTAGGCAGGAGCTGGGCTGGAGCCAGGTGGTATCAAATTTCTCCAGTGGCTGAGTCGGGAGATCTCTCTGGGGCCATTGGGAATTAGGCTGCTTTGTCTTCCTGCTGGGTCAAATTTATTTTCCAAAACTAAAATTTTGTTATGCCAATAAATGACTTCTGGTCAACACAATGTTCCAAGGCTCTGTGCCAGTTGACCCCTACTACCCCCTCCTCCCAGCCCCAGGGAGAAGAGAAAAGGGAGTGGACTAAAGTAGAGAGGGAAGAGAGGCTGGGCTGTGTGCACAGAGGGCACCCACTGCAGGCCAGGCTGGGTTAGGAGGAAGAACAGGAACATACCAAACTCCACCCTCTAGCAGAACTCTAGGGAACCCAGCTCGCCCTGCCCAGGCCAGGGACCTAAGAAGGTTCTACAACATAATTGTCACTCTTGCTCTGCTGTACCTGGCCTTTCTCATTTTAACTCACCTCAGCTTCTCACCCTCACCACCCTCTTCCATCTGAACTGTAATTTGCCCAGAAATGAAGAGAGAGTGTGTTTAGCAGAGTTCCCATCTTTGGAATGTCCTTGCTATGGAAACTTCTTGTTGCCAGTTTCTAGTCAATGACCAGGGCAGCTGGGTAGAGCTGTCTTTCTGAGGGCAGAGGCTGGGGGCATATGCTTCCCACCATTTGGCTCCCTGGGGAAGCAAAGCTTCTCTGGACTTTTCAATGCCTGCCTGTGGCTCCTGCCACCATAGACAAGTTCGTGGGCTTCACAGCCACACTTCAGACTATCACTGCAAGGCTGTTTCCTTAACAGGAAAAAAAATCAACCCGCTCCCTTGCATAAACCAGGCTCCCACTCTCATTGAGACAACCACTTGGAGAGTGCTTTTCCCTTTTTTTTCTGGGAGTGCGCCATGGCTGGGTGAAAATTACATCTCTTGGCAGCTGCTCTAACAGCTGGGAGGGAAGCAGTGAGTACAGTGGAGAAAGGGCAGCTCTTGGCAGAAGTCGCCACCCTGGTATCTGACCCAGAAGAGAAGTTTGGAAGAAAGAAATTCTCCGGTGTTAGCACTGACACCATGGGCCAACGATCCAAGTGCCATAGAGTGGAGCAGATTTAGGCAGGGCCCGCCTCAGCTAAACCCTCTGAGTCTCCAGGGGTGATGACAGCCCCAAAAGAGCTCGATGCCAGGCAGTCACTGCCTCCCCTTGCCCCATTCTCGCTCCCCACCTCAGAACCACACAGAGAGAAGGGGTTTCATGGCATCTGGCCCAGAGCAGTGAGGCAGCTTGTCCTGTTGAGAGCTGTAGAGCCGGGCAGGCGGGCCTTATAGACACTGAGTCCATGCAGGGCTCGGGGGTGGGCAAGGACACAGTCCTCTCTTGCTGGAACACACTCCCTGTGTTCACGCCGACATCATTCCAGCCCCTGTCGCGGAGCTGCCAAATTGGATTTCCTTGAATAGTGCCGTCAGTGTTGTCCCAGCTCCAGCTGGGCCCAGTAGCTCCCCTGGCCACTTCCTCTGTCTAGCTTGGTTGTGGGGGTTGAAGGGTTTGGAGTTGGGAGTTGGGATAGAGAATTTAGGAATGGGAGCAAGAATATTAGGAGCAAAAATCGGGAGGCCCCCCCATGGTGGCTCATGCCTGTTAATCCCGACACTTTGGGAGGCCAAGGCAGGAAGATTGCTTGAGGCCAAGAGTTCGAGACCAGCCTGGGCAACATAGTGAGATGCTGTCTCTACAAAAAATAAGAATATTAGTGTGGTGCAGTGGTACACGCCTGTAGTCCCAGCTACATGGGAAGCTGAAGCAGGAGGATCGCTGGAACCCAGGAGTTCGAGGCTGTGGTGAGCTATGATCTTACCACTGCACTCCAGCCTAGGCGACAAGGAAAAATAAGAAAAAAGAAAAGAGTTGGGAAACCCTTATCTGCACTGGATGGGAGCCCTTTCCTATCTCTGCCTCCTTTTGCCAACAACCACACCCTCAAAAGTAACTTTTATTATCTTTGTCTCTGTTCTCCAGATATTCTGTTAGGAGGCCAGGAGGGTTAGGGTTTCCTTTGCCCTGCCCTGCTATTGGGTCCTTCTCTGGTCAAAGATTCAGCTCTAACAAAGGAAGGGTCCACCTGTGAGACCTGTTCTGAGGACCAGCCCTGTACCTTTCCCCCATAACAACTTTGAACTCAGTCTCTAGCTTCTTTTTTAAAAAATATTCTTTTTTTATTTTTTAAAGATGGGTTCTCACTCAGCCACCTAGGCTGGAGTGCAGTGGCACAGTCATAACTCCTGTGCTCAAGCAATCCTCCTGCCTGGGCCTCCCAGGTAGCCGGGACTATAGGTGCACACCACTGTCCCCAGCTTGAACTCAGTCTCTAACCTACTTCCTTTTCCTGTTTCACTTCCAGGTGACCACTGACTGGGACCTTCAGAAGGGCACTGGCTGCACTGAGGGCCACACAGGGACCTCAGCTGCAGCGCCTCTGGCAGCTGGCATGATAGCCTTAATGCTGCAGGTGCGGCCCTGCCTCACGTGGCGTGACGTCCAGCACATCATTGTCTTCACAGCCACCCGGGTGAGATACCAGCAGGTAGACAAGTGGCCTGGCCCAGCCTGCTCCAGAGTTCGGGTATCAGGTGGCCTTAGATTCTCAATGTCCCAAATGTTAGATACTAAGTCTCTTTCAGAGTCCCTTTCAGAGTTGCATATGTAAAGAACAGGTGTGGGGACCCCACAAAGACCACAGGCCTAAACTCATTTTATCTGCAAAGGGGAGCTCTGGCTGTGCCTCCTGGCCCCTTCTCTAGAAGCAAGCCAGTGGGGTGGTGACATCATGGGCTTTGACCTTTTGTCCCAGCTTGCCTTGGGGAATCCATTCCCAGTAGCCATAGTGGGAGAGCGTGGACTGGATCAGCCAGCAGGGCAAGCAGGGAAACCAGAGTCAGATTGTTGAGACTACACTGGCAATGCAAGAGACTAACCAGGACCTCTGTCCTTTCAGTATGAGGATCGCCGTGCAGAGTGGGTCACCAACGAGGCAGGCTTCAGCCATAGCCACCAGCACGGTTTCGGCCTCCTCAACGCCTGGAGGCTCGTGAATGCAGCCAAGGTGAACAGGTGTTGGCAGGGCAGGGTGCCCTGTGTGGAGTGACCAAGGGTCGGAGCTGAATGCCCCAAACTGCCTGGGATATCATAGGTGCCTAGTAAATGTTCATTCAGTTCATTGATTTAACAACTTCAACCTTCATCCCAGCTGATATCCATTTTACAAATGAGAAAGCAGGCTCAATGCTATCACTGAAGTTTCCAAACTACTAATAGAGTAAATGGGACCTGAGTATGTGTGGGACTCAGGATGCTCTGGTTCCCCTCCTCCACCCTGGACACAGCTGTTTCCTCTGGTTCCTTAGCTGGGGGCTGTACGGAGCATTCCAGCGAGCAAGCAGGAGCTGAGGGCTGAAGGAAGATGATGAGGAGTGGAAAAATAAAGACAGCTAAACCTTCAAGATCGTATTGACAAGGGCGTGTGTGTTTGTGAGAATGTGGGTGTGATCATTCTTGTTTGTTGATTTGCCATCCCCTCCTTTCCTTTCATAGATCTGGACATCTGTCCCTTACTTAGCATCCTACGTCAGTCCCGTGTTAAAAGAAAACAAGGCGATTCCGCAGTCCCCCCGTTCCCTGGAGGTCCTGTGGAATGGTAAGTAATCAGCACAAAGGGGGTTAATCTTAGGCCTGAGGTTTGGGGCCGGGTGACAAGGAAGTTAAACTCGTCCTCCCTGCCAGATTCTACCCCCTTTCGGAGCTGAGCTCCAGCCAAACCTGTGGAGTTTTCTTTGACCATTTTAGGACATGTTACTGCTTCTGAGTTGGCTCCCCCAGCTGCTTAAACAAGACCTTTCTCCTGGGTTCCTAGTAGTGAAAAGGAGCAGCAGAGCAACTGAGGAGGAGGGCGGGTGGGAGGCATGGGACTGGGGCTTGGGGAGGTCAGGCGAGACCGGGGTGAGAGCTCAGAGAAGCTCCTGTGACTTCCATGCTAAGATCTTGCCAGAGAACTCTGGTCAGTCCTCGGGTGTCTGGATGAAGTAAAGGAGTTAGGCATTTCTTCCTTTGATTCTCTGGCTTACCTAATAGAGAGAGTCAGATGTGGTCTGCTGGGGATGGACAGAGGGTTTGTAGAAGTCTCCTAGGCTTTAGTGACCCATCCTCTGCCTCCGCCTCCATGGTGGCCAGCATGAACCAGGATTGTCTGAAGGGGTTGTATCCTCTAAGCCAGCGACCTGGTTTTATGTTGAGCGAAGAGGCGGACGCCCTCCCTAGAGGAGAGTGCAGCTGGATCAGGATGCTTGTGCAGAGGATGCCCTGTCTGCACATTTACCAGCGTTTTCCCTACCCCCAGCTCCTTGGGGGATTCTTTTTCCTGGAGTCATTTACTACTTTTTGCAAAGGAAGTATGCTATGCTTAGTGCCCAAACCAAAACTGTCTTCACTTTTTCTGTCCTCCTAGAAAGTGATCAATTGAGAGCCATGGCAGGAGAAGGAATGGCCAGAGAAGGTTACTCAGAAGGGAGGATGAGGGGTGGCTTCCCTCAGGTGAAGGTTTCACAGAGAAGAATTGAGTTTTCTCCTCCTAACCACATCCAGCACTTGCCCAATTTCCCTCAATGTGGAATGAAACCCCTGGGCCAGTCACTGCATTTCCCATAAAAGGAATGTTATCTTGGAAAGGGCATAAAGCGTCAGCCAAGTCAGAGAAGTTCAGAAACATTTCCAGGAATGCAGTTCATTTGGAAGCCCCTGGCTTTGCACTTGCGTGTCTTAGAGATAGTGTGCCTTCAACTTTACCTTCTATCCAGGGCTATTTCCTGTTGCATCTGTCAAATGAGGGCAGTGACTTAAAAGAGTAATATGGTCTTCCCAGCTTCGTCATCCTCTGCTTCCTGCTGACCAGGGGACGTTGCCACGGAATGTCTACCCTAGGCATTGAGGCATCTGGCAACTGCTTGCTTGTCACTAAAAAGTAAGAGAAAGAAGGACAGATTGCCTGGGTGGAGAAGAGTGGGAGGTGGCCTAGTGGAGAAAGCAGGATTAAGAGAAGGGAGGGAAAGATTTAGGGAGTTTGGCTAATGGAGCCCTTTACCTGTTGGAAGGGCAGCAAGCAAAAGTTTTACCAGAGTTTTCCCTACCCCCAGCTCCTTGGGGGATTTTTTGTTTTGTTTCATTTTTGTTTTTGTTTTTTTGCCTTGAGTAATTTTGACATGCAGAGTTATTCACAACTTTTTGCAAAGTACTATTTTCATTGGCTTTTCAGAGCCAGTGAAGTTGCCTTCTCCTCCAACATGACCACATTTTCCTCTGAGCAGACAAAAACAGAACAAATAAGTTTGTGGGCTTGCTTGGAGGTTGAAAGAAATAAGTCCAGTTAAAATGAGAGTTGAGCCAGGTGCCCTGGCTCATGCCTGTAATCCCAGCACTTTGGGAACTTTGGGAGGCAGATAACCTGAGGTCAGGAGTTTGAGACCAACCTGACCAACATGGTGATACCCCATCTCCACTAAAAATACAAAATTAGCTGGGTGTGGTGGCTCATGCCTGTAGTCCCAGCTACTTGGGAGGCTGAGGCAGGAGAACCCGGGAGGCAGAGGTTGCAGTGAGCTGAGATCGCACCATTGCACTCCAGCCTGGGCAAGAAGAGGGAAACTCCATCTCAAAAAAAAAAAAAAAAAAAAAAATTGAGAGTTGAGCAGCTCAGTCCCAGGAAGTCAAGAAACCCCTTCTACAGCCAAGTTATGGTTGTTTTCCACCAGGACCTGGTTGATTCAGTGTCTGGGGGCTGGAAAGTGAACTTTTTATAAAGCAGAGGGAGCTGAACATCCCTGAGATAGAAGAGGAGGCTAAATACCTCTAAGACTCTAGAGTAGCATTGTCCCAAAGAATTTTCTGCAATGATGGAACTGTTCCATGTCCATGCTGCTCAGTTCAGTGGTCACTAGTCATCTGAGTCTATTGAACATTTAAAACATGACCAGTTGGCCGGGCATGGTGGCTCACACCTGTAATCCCTTTGGGAAGCTGAGGCAGGAGCATTGTTTACGCTCATGAGTTCAAGACCAGCCTGAACAACATAGTGAGACCCTATTTCTACAAAAAATAAAATTAGCCAGGTGTGGTGGTGCATGCCTCCTGGGAGGCTGAGACAGGAGGATTCCTTGAGCCCAGGATGCCAAGGCTGCAGTAAGCCATGGTTGCACTACTGCACTCTCCATCCTGGGTGACAGAGCGAGACCTTGTCTCAAAAATAATAATAGGCTAGGCGTGGTAGCTCATACCTAGCCTATAATCCCAGCACTTTGGGAGGCCAAGGGCAGGGGCGGATCACTTGAGGTCAGGAGTTCAAGACCAGCCTGGCCAACAGAGTGAAACCTCGACTCTACTAAAAAAAAAAAAAAAAACGATACAAAAATTGGCTGGGCACGGTGGCTCACGCCTGTAATCCCAGCACTTTGGGAGGCTGAGGCGGGTGGATCACAAGGTCAGGAGATCGAGACCATCCTGGCTAACACGGTGAAACCCCATCTCTACTACAAATACAAAAAAATTAGCCAGGCGTGGTGGTGGGTGCCTGTAGTCCCAGCTACTCGGGAGGCTGAGGCAGGAGAATGGCGTGAACCAGGGAGGCGGAGCTTGCAGTGAGCCAAGATCGTGCCACTGCACTCCAGCCTAGACAACAGAGCGAGACTCCATCTCAAAAAAAAAAAGTATATATATATATATATATATATATACACACACACACACACAAATTAGCCAGGCATGGTGGCACGTGCCTGTAGTCCCAGCTATTCAAGAGGTTGAGGCAGGGAAATTGCTTGAACCTGGGAGGCAGAAGTTGCAGTGAGCCAAGATTGTGCCATTGCACTCCAGCCTGGATGACAGAGCAAGACTCCATCTCAAATAATAATAATAAGGCTAGTATGACTAAGGAGCTAAATTTTAATTTTGTTATACTTCATTTTAATTTAGATAGCCATGTGTGGCTAAGGGCTACCATATTGAGAAGTGCTGCTAAAGAGCAAGACTGATTTTTCTCTCTCCCCGCTGACAGGAGGTTATGAGGGAGAGGGGATTGGGGCCTCTTGGGGTTTTTAGATCTGACGCTGGTCTGAAATCTCTACCTGAGGGTAGGAGGGAGAGTGGGGCTCTGGAGGAGTGTGTTATTCACACTCAGAGAGTCTGTGATTGGAAGGTGCCTGAACACCCACTTGCACCTCTCCTTTTGTTGTCGTTTGCAGTCTTGAGGATACTGGCTAAGCCTCTGCCTACGCAGTGAGTCCTGTTCCTTCTCCTCTCCAGGTCTTCCCTCTTTAACCAACATTTCCCTCTCTGCTGATTCTTCCTTTCTGCCTTCAAATGCAAGTCCCTGCTACCTCCAACCAGGCAACTTTTCAAATGAATGAACTGAAGCAATTTCTCCCCTTTGTCACACACTCCCTCTGCCACAGAAGACTTGCTTTCTTACTCATAGTGCCCCTTTCCTGACCGGTTCAGGGGCTGGTTCAGAGTTCATCCTTTTTAACATTCTTGTCACTCTGACCCTATTAATGAGGTCTTTGTTGCAACGTCTCTCCTCCTGTAGCTTCTGTGGCGGCCTTCTTGGCTCCATAGCCCTCCTCTGCCTTCTCTGCCTGAGGTACTTGTTTCATACTCCTGAACTGTGAGTGTCTTCTAAGGCTTGTTTCCTGACTTTTTCCTCACTCTACATCATCCTCCTTGACAGTACAGCTATGTTTATGACCTTAGCTACCACCTCTCCACAAATGAGTCCTCGACCTAAATCTCTTATTCTGATCCTTCACCAGTGGAAAGGATAGAAACTAGAGCATAGCTTCCATAAGATTATGGGCAAATAGTCCAGGCACGGTGGCTCACGCCTGTAATCACAGCACTTTGGGAGGCCGAGGTGGGCAGATCACGAGGTCAGGAGATCGAGACCATCCTGGCCAACATGGTGAAACCCCGTCTCTACTAAAAATACAAAAAAATCAGCTGGGCATGGTGGCGGGCTCCTGTAGTCCCAGCTACTCGGGAGGCTGAGGCAGGAGAATTGCTTGAACCTGGGAGGTGGAGGTTGCAGTGAGCAGAGATCATGCCACTGCACTGCAGCCTGGTGACCGAGCAAGACTCCGTCTAAAAAAAAAAAAAAAAAAAAGAAAAAGAAAAGAAAAGAAAAAGATTATGGGCAAATAGAACCCTGGCGTCTTCTGGGACAGAGAGTGACTGTTGAAAAAATTCCAATTTACCAAAGGCCACATAATAAGATGCTTTTTATGTGCCAATCACTGTTCGCAGCGTTAGCTCATTTAATGCATTAACTCATTTAGTTCTGGTAGAGAGAGTTCTAGTGTACTCATTTGCACTGCCACCCAAGTCCGCATCCACACCAAGAAGTAAATGGATGTAGCATGCCACTGCGTACACTGCGAACGCAGACAAGCACTCCTTTTGGGATTCTTTTCCTTTTGGGATTCTATTCTGTTCCATAACGTCATTTCTCTCCTGTAAGCCCCTTCTCTGCCACATCAATGCTGTCCTCTAACTATGCCATAAATATTTTCCATCATCTTTCTGTTCCTAAATCACTGTGTGCTGTTGATATTCCACCAATACAGTACACTTAACATGTACAAAATTTTAGATTTCACTATCACCTCTCAAAAGCTGGCTTGCTTTCTAAGATTTTCCCATTCGTGTCAGTGCCGTCACCGTTCCCTAGGCCCCCAAACTTGAAACGCGCGAGTGTTTCATCCCTCTAATATCCCTCGCCTCTTCCCAGGTCTTCCCCAGCCCTTTCCCTTGCAATTTAATCTTTTTGTTGTTTTCTGTGAAATATCTCTCAATCGACTTATTCATTCTACAAATATTCGAGGCCTACTTCATCCCAGGCACTGTATTAGTTCTAGAGACTCGGGGATAAGACACTATTCCTGCCTTCAACGAGCTTACAACCTGGTAGGGAAGACAGTGAGGTTTATAGGCATAGTGCAGTGTTATAGGCACTGCAACAGGGACAACACAGGTGCTTTGAGAGCACAGCAGAGAGATGTCTCCTGCCACTAAGGAAGAAAGGGAAGGTTTCTCAAAGAAACTGGTGGCCAGGCACAGTGGCTCATGCCTCTAATCCCAGCACTTTGGGAGGCTGGAGCAGGCAGATTGCTTGAGCTCATGAGTTCGAGACCAGCCTCGCCAACATGGCAAAACCTTGTCTCTACAAAAAAATACAGAAATTAGCTGGGCATGGTGGTGCACACTTACAGTTCCCAGCTACTAGGGAGGCTGAGGTGGGAAGATGGCTTGAGCCTGGGAGGCGGAGGTTGCAGTGAGCTGAGATCATGCCACTGTGCTCCAGTCTGGCGACAAAGCAAGACTCTGTCTCAAAAAAAAAAAAAAAAAGAAAAGGCCGGGCACGGTGGCTCATGCCTGTAATCCCAGCACGTTGGGAGGCCAAGGCAGGTGGATCACAAGGTCAGAAGTTCGAGACCAGCCTGACCAACATGGTGAAACCCCGTCTCTACTAAAAATACAAAAATTAGCTGGGTATGGTGGCACATGCCTGTAATCCCAGCTACTTGGGAGGTGGGAGGCTGAGGCAAGAGAATCGCTGGAACCCAGGAGGCGGAGGTTGCAGTGAGCCGAGATCGTGCCACTGCACTCCAGCCTAGGCAACAGAGCAAGACTTCGTCTCAAAAAAAAAAAAAAAAAAAGAAAAGAAAAAAAACTGTGATGTAATTATTTTGTAAATGTGGAGGGGACGACAACTGGGGAAAAGGTGTGGGCATGATTTGTTAGATTCTCATCTGCCATAAATGAAAGTCAATGCATAATGTCTCAAATTGATAAGCCATGAAATATCCATAACGCTTACTGTTTAGAAACACGAAAGTAGATCCCAGAAGAAAACAATTAAAAACAATAAAAAAAAAGTTTGCTTCTGGGGAGTAGATCTCAAAGGTGGTAGGGAATTTTTTTTTTCATTATAAGCACTGTAGCACCAACTTACATTTAAATTCATGCATACTATTTTAATAGAAAAAAATGTCAAGGACAATTGGGAAGGTAAGAAGTAGCCATCGTGAATCTAAACAGCTTTCTCAAGAATTTTGACAATACAGGAAAAGAAATAATATCTGATACATATGTAGCCTTAACATTAGCTAGGTACCATTCTGAACGCTTTAGGTATATTAACTGTTTAATCCTCGTCTCAAACCTATGAAGTAGGTACTGTTACTGGCCCCATTTTACAGATGAGGAAACAGTTCTCACAGCTAGTAAGTGGCAGAGCTGGGATTAGAACCCAAGCTTAGTGGCTCCAGAGCCCATGCTCTTAACACTGGTAGGTGGCAGGAAGTGAAGAACTGAGAAAGGGTTTATTTGTTTTTGTTTTTCATTTGTAGTAGGAAAGGTGCTAGCAAAAAGGTCTAGCCAAGAAGATGGATAATCAGGCTGAGCCATTGTTTGACTTTTGCCAAGTATTGCTGTGAAAGGACAAGAAAGTGAAGGGAGCTTGAGAATGTAAACACACATGTTGGATGAGCCATGGAATCTCAGCCAGTTAGGAGAAAGGAGCTTGAGGGGTTGTGGGAAAATGAGGGGGTCAAGAAGAGAGTGGGGAAAGTGGAAGGAGAGAGGTTGTTTTCAAAGAAATGGGACATTGGCTTTGAAGAGGTGACAGATGGAATTATAGAAAATGAGGCTGGGTGTGGTGGCTCGTGCCTGTAATCCCAGCACTTTGGGAGGCCAAGGCAGGCAGGTGGATCACCTGAGGTCAGGAGTTCGAGACCAGCCTGGCCAACACGGTGAAACCCCGTCTCTACTAAAACTACAAAAATTAGCTGGGCGTGGTGGCATGCGCCTGTAATCCCAGCTACTTGGGAGGCTGAGGCAGGAGAATTGCTTGAACCCAGGAGGTAGAGGTGGCAGTGAGCCAAGCATCTAGCCGCTGCACTCCAGCCTGGGTGACAGAGCTAGACTCCGTCTCAAACAAACAAACACCCCTGTCCTTGCTCAGTCATCTATAATAGCTCTTAGTTGCTTATTTAAAACAAAAATCTTTAAAGCGCATCCCACCCTAGGTTACCCAGCCCCTACTTTCAGTGCCTCTCTGAGCTACTGTGTCTGTAAAATCAAGGTATTGTACTCTGCCTTGCATATTGGAATAATTTTTTTTTTTGAGACAGGCTCTCACTCTATTGCCCAGGCTAGAGTGCAGAGGCACAGTCATGGTTCACTGCAGCCTCAACCTCCTGGGCTCAAGCCATCCTCCCACCCTCAACCTCCTGAGTAGCTGGGACCACAGGTGCTTACCACTATATCCAGCTAATTTTTTATTTTTTTGTAAAGATGATGTCTCCCAGGCTGAAGTTATCCTCCACCATGCCTGGAGTGAGCCACCATGCCTGGCCTGGAATAAATTAATGGAAGAAAGGGTGCTTTAAAAAGAATTGTATTCGGCCGGGTGCAGTGGCTCACGCCTGTAATCCCAGCACTTTCGGAGGCTGAGGCGGGTGGATCATAAGGTCAAGAGATTGAGACCATCCTGGCCAACATGGTGAAACCCCATCTCTACTAAAAATACAAAAATTAGGTGGCCATGGTGGCGTGCACCTGTAGTCCTAGCTACTTGGGAAGCTGAGGCAGGAGAATCGCTTGAACCCAGAAGGCAGAGGTTGCAGTGAGCCAAGATCATGCCACTGCACTCCAGCCTGGCAACAGAGAGAGACTCTGTCTCAAAAAAAAAAAAAAAAAGAATCGTTCTCATTACAGCCTAATTTCTTAATAGTCCCCAGTTGAGTCTTCCTCTTCAGTAGTTTTTTGTTTTTGTTTTTGTTTTAATAATTGTAGATTTACAGGAGGTTTCAAAGAAATGTACAAGAGAAGTCCCGTGCACCCTTCTCCCAATCTTAATGTTTCACACAATTAAAGTATAATATCAAAACCAAGAAATTGACATTGGTACAATCCATAGAGCTTATTTGGAGTTCACCAGATACACATGCTGTCAATATTTGTGTATGCGCGTGTGTAGCTGTATGCAATTGTATCACATGTAGCCTTGCATAACTACCACCACAACCAAGATCCAGAACAATTCCATTATCACAAGACTCCTTTGTGTTACCCCTTTCTGGCCACACCCATCCCCTCCCCTGTCCCTGGCCCCTGGCACCCATTTATCTGTTATGTATCACTGCAGGTACTTCAATTAACATCACCTAAATGGAATTGTGTGCTACGCATCCTTTTTCTTTTTTTTTTTTTCTTTGAGACAGGGTCTTGTTCTGTTGCCCAGGCTGGAGTGTGGTAGCATGAGCATGGCTCACTGCAATCTCCACCTCCCAGGCTCAAGCGATCCTCCCACCTCACCCTCCCCGGTAGTGGGACCACAGGTGCACACCACCACACCTGGCTATATGCTTCTTTTGAGATTGCTTTTTTCACTCACATAATTTGCTTGAAATTTATCCACCAGCATTTTTTAAAAATTAACTGTGCATCATCTTCAGTGAGATGTGTGCATTTCGTCTTTGTTCATGCCTTTTCCACTGCCTAGAATGCCCTCTACCAACCCTGTCTACCGATCTGTATTCATTTCCTTCAGTGTGTCTCACTGCTGTGTGCCTAAACCCATCTGACTTATTTCTCTTCCCTTATCAATTATGTATATTTCCCATACCATATCATTTTCCACTTGCAGGTAGGAGGCAGGGACCACGCCCATCTTATCTTTATATTCCCAGCATCTAGTACAGTGCCTGAAATGGAGGAGGTACCCAGTAAATAATGTTTTGGATGAATGAATGATTGAAGTTGCTCTGCTGGATTCTTATATTGTGTCTTGGGTATGTGTCGTCTTCCCAACTGCACTCGAAGCTACGTTGTAAACTTGAGAGCAGCAGCTCCATTCCATTTACTAGTATAGGCGAGGTCCCAGTTAGGGTTGCCGTAGATGTTTGTATGTGGCTTCAGTGAGCGTGTGTCTTTGTGTACGTGGGGGTGAAGTGAAGGCGTGTTTGTGGGCTGGTTTCCCAGCTGCCCAGCCTGACTTTCTACAGTCAGCAGGATGGACCTGGAGATGTCAGGGCTGAAGACCCTGGAGCATGTGGCAGTGACAGTCTCCATCACTCACCCACGGCGCGGCAGCTTGGAGCTGAAGCTGTTCTGCCCCAGTGGCATGATGTCCCTCATCGGCGCCCCCCGCAGCATGGACTCGTATGTACACCCGCCCGAGGCCTGAGCAACCTTTTCAGCAAGGGCCTTTCCAGGGAAAAGAAATGGAAGAAGTGGATCCTGGCACTGTCCTAAACTACTGTGGCACTGGCTATCCCTGGCGGCTGGAAGCCTTTCGTCACATACCTTCTTCAAGCGCTAGGCCCTGCACCTCACATACATGTTCTCTAATCCTTCTAAGAACCCCCTAGATTAGACTTTGTAACCTCCTTTTACAAATGAGGAAACTGGCTGGGTGTGGTGGCTCACACCTGTAATCCCAGCACTTTGGGAGGTCAAGGCAGGAGAATCACTTGAACTCAGGAGTTCAAGACCAGCCTGGGCAACAAAGTGAGACCCTGTCTCTACAAAAAATTTAAAGATTAGCTGAGCATGGTGGTACATGCCTGTAGTCCCAGCTACTCAGGAGACTGAGGTGGGAGGATCACTTGAACCCAGGAAGTCAAGGCTGCAGTGAGCTGTGATCATGCCACTGCACTCCAGCTTGGATAACAGAGTGAGACCCTGTCTCCAAAAAAAAAAAGAAAGAAAAAGAAAACAAGTCATGGAGCTAGTAAGTGCCCAAGAGAACAAGAATAAACCTAGATCCGTGGGACTCCAAGCCTGTGCGCGCTCCATGCTTGCTTTTTCCACCACACCACGTTAACACAATTTCCTCCTTCCATGAGACCCCAGGGGAAAGGGGCACCTGAGAAGCCCTCGTGGCACCCTCCCAGGTTGTTTCCACGGCTACTACAGTAAGAAAGTGTTGCTGGGGGAAGGTCAGCTCTCTGGCCCACGCCTTCCACCTGTTTCTGCTGTGTTCTTTCCTCAGGGATCCCAACGGCTTCAATGACTGGACCTTCTCCACTGTGCGATGCTGGGGGGAGAGAGCCCGAGGGACCTACAGGCTTGTCATCAGGGATGTCGGTGAGTCTCGTGCCCTCACACCAGGCCCTACCTTTCCTGCTTGTTATCTGGTCCCTCTGCATCTCAGAGTCCCCACAGAAAGTGTCCCGTGTGCAATATATAGGGTTGCCATTGGACCAAGAGAGTTGATGCCAAGAGTGTGCCCATCCGTGAAATGGGCATTGCTCTCTGCAACTGTTCATTTATACTACCTCTCATATTCCCTGGAGGAGTGACCCATCCATCTTTCCTCAGGATAGCAACAAAAAGTCCTTGTCGAAACCACATTTCAAGTCCTTTTACGTATAACCATCCTTCGGCCAGCCCCGGTAGGCAGGTAAGGGCAGGACTCATTTCACCATTTTTTTTAAACTGGCCCAGAGGTTTGAGGTGACTTGTGGAAGGTCACCATATCAGTGAAGGCCACAATATCCATGAATTGTGAATATCTTTAGTATCAGCCTATAGACTGGAAATTGAGCTCCACCCTCCCATCCTCCAGTCAGTTAGGTATTCTCTAGGCCAGTGGTTTTCAAAGCTTTCTTTAATTTGGTGGAAAGACATTTTTTTCTAATCCCAGCTGAACCCCCAAAATACGGGAGAGAAAAGCAAGACTCTGCTTTGGAGTACAGCCTTTCAACCCTTTCCATCCCTAAGGGCACCCAGTGAGGCCCTTCTGCAGAACCTGGGGTCAGTGGGACACAGTGAGGCAGCTCCTGGAGCAGACCATGTGGCCTGAGCCCCTTTGGGTGGCAGGGCGGGCAGGGCCTCTGCTGTCTGGCATGGCTGACAGAGGGGCGTGGCTCACGAGCTGCCCCTTGCTGCCCTAGGGGATGAGTCATTCCAGGTCGGCATCCTCCGGCAATGGCAGCTGACCCTATATGGCTCTGTGTGGAGTGCAGTAGACATCAGGGACAGACAAAGGTGGGTAAAGCCGCATGTGTCAGAGGGAAGGCCAGTCACAGGGGAAGGGCCGCCTAGGGAGCCCATCGCCCTCTGAACCCCAGCTGTGCTTCCCAGTTCCAGCGTCAAGCCGGTAGATGGAGCCCCGGGCTGGGAACTCACAGTCTGGGCCTCTCCTTTTTGCTGTGGGGCTTCCCTGTCTTCACCTGTAAGGCAGGAAAATGGGTGAGGGCAGATGGTATAGGAACCATAGTCAGTGGGGCATCCTCACCTCTTTTCTTCTCCACAGGCTGTTAGAGAGTGCCATGAGTGGAAAATACCTGCACGATGACTTCGCCCTGCCCTGCCCACCGGGGCTGAAAATTCCTGAGGAAGATGGTTACACCATCACCCCCAACACCCTCAAGGTACTAGGGCCAAGACTCAAGCTGCGGGTAGATGGGACTGTCCTGTCTGGGGGATGGAGTTCTTAGTGTGTTTCTCAGGGTGACCTGCGGGGTGAAGGACTGGGAAGACCTGGGTCCCAGCAGTGGTTTCATAGCATTGCTCCTACCCTGCTAGCCTAACTCTTACAGGACAGGCCTTGTCGGGGGAGGGGGCAGAGGGAACAGTTTGGGTGAAAAAGGCAGTCCCTAGAAGGAAAAAGACTTTCTGAGCTCATTGTCCTGGGCTGAGAAAGGCTGTAGGCTTCGGGAAACAGTGCCTCACGTAGGTGCTTGCCTCGGCCCCAGACCCTGGTGCTGGTAGGCTGTTTCACCGTCTTCTGGACTGTTTACTACATGCTGGAAGTATATTTGAGCCAGAGGAATGTGGCTTCCAATCAAGTTTGTAGGAGTGGACCCTGCCACTGGCCCCATCGGAGCCGGAAAGCCAAGGAGGAAGGGACAGAGCTAGAATCAGTGCCACTTTGCAGCAGCAAGGATCCAGACGAAGTGGAAACAGAGAGCAGGGGCCCTCCCACCACCTCTGACCTCCTTGCCCCAGACCTGCTGGAGCAAGGGGACTGGAGCCTGTCCCAGAACAAGAGCGCCCTGGACTGCCCTCATCAGCACCTAGACGTACCGCACGGGAAGGAGGAGCAGATCTGCTGACCTCAGGGCCTGACAGTGTGGGACAGGCTCTTCTTTCCCAAAATTAGGGAGCTCTTGACAGAAAGCAGTTCTGATGCTTACATCTGGAATCTGAGGCATCCTCTGACTCCACTCAAAGAGGGTGAGGGCCTTCTTAAGATACAAATGGTGGAGGATTGCTGCCAGAGAAGTCTGGTCAGAGCCACAGGGTCTGCCTCCAGCCAAACGGGAGCTTTTGGTGAGAAGGTGTTGGACAGGGGATTGGCGCCCCCCTTTGGTTTGGCCTCCATCCTCATCTCTCTTGGGCCAAGCCAGCTGCCTAGGTCCCCCAAGCATGGGGGACCCCTTCCCACATATAAGTTGAGAAGGTGCCTGCCATAGCCAGGAGCGCATCTCAATGGAAACATCACTGGGGTCACTTGGGAAGAGGACTTCGGGGTAGAGGCTGGGAGGAGCCCCTGGACATGCCTGTCCTGAAAGCGGCTGCCTCCATTATCCATTCCCAAGATGCCTGATCAGAAACCAACCATGAATGAACCCCTGGCTCCTTCACCACCCCCACGATTGGTATGATGCTGCCGGCACAGCTGGGATACACACGGCTCCCCCAGGCCTGAGCTGCTTCACTAGGGAATCCTGCGGCAGGACTGCAGAGCAGATGGCAGATGCACATGTTGGAGGAGAGAGCCTTGGGAGCCACTGCCACTCCAGTCCTGCCACCACCCTGTCTTCCTCTGCAAGTGCTCAGGGAAATGGCCTTCCCGCCGGAGGCCAGCTATCTGCCTGACAGGCTGTGACTCTTCTCTCAACCTTGGCCTTCTCCCCTCTTCTGAGCTAGTTGGTTGAATTTTTTTTAATGCTTAAGATTTGTTTTTCTCTTTTCACAGCAACATTTTCTTGAATTTTTTTCTGCACAGCTTTTCCAAAATAAAAACCTTCCAAACAATTCTGCCACTCGCAATCTCTCCTTTCCTCTGTCTCCCCAAAGCCACTGCATGCTGCTGAGTGGCTCCTTTTTCCCTTCGGTCCCCAAGATTCACTCTCCTGTTCTATGGCCTGTTTCCTCTGAAAGAATCTGACTGTCCTGGAATCTTGGCACATGAAGGGTCCTTCAGAGGACGGCAGCCAGGAACACATACAAGCCCGAGATGCCTGCCTGTCCCCTGCGCAGATCTGAAACCATAACAAAAGTGACCAGGGCAAATCAAACTCTGCCAGCCAGGCCTGAGAAAAGATTGATTTTTTTTTTTTTTTTTTGAGTTCCAACCCCAAAAATATTCCAGGACAAGATAGGGGGCAGGCTGGGCTGGTTCTTCTTCAATGGGCTTTTGCCGCCAAGGAGGACAGTGGACTTGGCCCACATCCAGGCTACCCCCAGCCCGCTTCTCCCCTGCTTAGCCCAGGGAGGAGACAGTAGAGGTGATGGGGGCAGCCGGGAGGGAGGGGCCAAGGCAGTGATGCTTTCGGGTAAGAAGTTGGGCTGAGGCTGGGGGCACAGGGAGGAGCTGCCCAGGTGCAGTTACCATTGCTCAGTGACAGAGCCTCAAAGCTTGGCCAGGGCTGAAGGTACCACACGGGTGTGGGTGAGGCAGGCTAAGCGGGATGGCTGCAGCCAAGGAGCTGGGGGAGGGCCGGGCTCAGGGCTAGCCCTCTCCGCTCTAACTGATGATCTGCCGAGGTCGTCCGTAGCCTGTCATGCCGGCCTGGGAGGCCCCTCTGTTGCTGCCCATCTGAAGGCCAATGACATGCTTTCCCTCCTGCAGCTGGCTCTCTGTGAATTCCCTCTTATGCTCCTGCGCTTTCCTAGAAGAGGAGGAACCAGGATAAAGACTTGGTAGAACTGTGTGTTTTCCACCCGTTTTCTGATCCCTCTGTTACGTCCTAGCCCAATCCCATTGCCTTCCTGTTGCACTTTTTTTCCCTAATCTAGCTTGCCTCATAGGCTAGGGAGACTGAGCGCAGGAGGGTGGAAAGGGAGGGGTCAAGGAGTATTAAGGACCCATTATTCCCCATCCCAGACCCTCACTTTATCCTTTCTTGGCTATCTGCTTCCCCTAATCCTTCCCGCAAGCTCCTTAGAACAAGCCACCTCCCACCCCATGCGGAGACCCAAGCTCCCTGGGGGCCACATACTTCATAAACCAGTTGGGATCTCCACGGTAGTGCCCATCATTCTTGGTCACTGCCAAGCTGCCCAAAGCCATCAGGGTCCTCTGCACTGCTGCCATGTCTTTGCCTGTGAGAAGACAGGAGAGAGGAGATGAACATCAAGAACGTATAAACAAGACTCCAAGCCAGGGCCTGCCCCCGTCTCTCACAAAAAAATGGCCAAACCAGGGCCAAGAGTTGTCCCCAATTCAAGGGAGGCCTCTCAGTGGGCCCTGTGAGCGTGGCGTGTTATTCTCGGCATATCCCATCCCTGCTGTGTGCGGGCAAGCACACCCCTAGTTGTGGCATATTCTGGTCATTCCCTCTCCCTGTCCCAGCACCCTGTCCTCCTGCCCACCTCCTCCCCCAGCCTCTTCCTCTCTACCTTCAAAGAGGTCAACAGTCTGGAACATGTCAGTCTTGATGACCCCATAGTCCTCAGCCGCCTTCAGGAACTGAGCCACCTGCTCCATCTGCTTGAAGACCATGGAGGGTGGGTTCTCGGGCACCTTCACCGGCTTGGAGCCATCAGGGTACAGGCTGTTCACCAGCTTGCTCAGAATCTACCAGGCATAGGGCATAGGACGCAGCTTAGCAGTCAGCTCAGGGATTGGCCCAGGACTCACAGGGTGGCACACCCCAGCCCCCCAGCGCCCTAGCCCAGGGTGCCACTCACCACGCCATTCTTCAGCCAGACCTGGAAGCCCAAGCGCCCACGGTCTGGGCGGCCCACATCAGGGCCACACTGCACTATGATCCACTCCACCAGCCGCTCCTCCAGCTCCTCGTCATACTTCTTCTCGATTTTGGACTGCACTTCGCGGCTCATGCCATAGGAAGGACCCTTGTTGGCCATGTCTGGGGAAAGCTAAAGCAGGCCAGGGTGGAGGAGGGAGGGGCAGAGGGTCAGGGAGCAGCTCTGCTTTCACCCGTGCCAGGCAGCCTTCTAGCTCTGTGCAGGATACCCGGCCATCCTAGACACTTGTCACAGCACTGCCCATCCAGGCCAGGCTCAGCCCCTACTCCAGACACCTCTCTGAACTTGAACACCAGGAAAGAGGATACCAGGTCTTTGGAGGTCTAGAGCAGGGGTCAGTAAACTGTTTTTGTAAAGGATAAGACAGAACATATTTTAGGCTTTGCAGGACACATGGTCTCTGCTGTTGCAGTGTGAAAGCAGCCATAGACAATATGTAACAAATGAACATGGCTTTGTTCCAATAAAACTTTACTTACAAAAGCAGACAGCAGGCTGGATTTGGCCCATGAGCTGTAGTTTGACAACCCTTGGTCTAGAACATTCTTTGCCAAGACCAGCTACAGAGCCACTGGAGAGACCTTCCAGAAGCCACATTGCCCCCACAGAATACAGCCAGCTGGTGCCTTTGTCCAGCTGCGGGTGTGAGGGTTTACTGCCTCTGCCTCAAGCAACCATTACCTCCCACTCTCACCCAGAAGCAGGCCCTGGCCTGGAAGCCCGAACTCCAGAACTCCAGCTCTTTTCAGGTCAGCTCAGCTTCTGGTCTGCAGCTGAAGAGACTAAAACTCGCCCACCCCAGGCAAGGGCGACGAAGCCACCAAAGCCCAAGAGTTCTTGGCAAAGAAGCTGCATTTCCTCAGAGAAATCAGAGACACCTGGTCTACCCATCGACTTCCCCTCATGCCCTTACGCTCTCGTAAGGCTACCCTTACGGAGTAGCCTGAGTAACCAAGAAGTCAGAGTCCCCCAGGGATCTTCCAGAGCCAAGAGTCTGCCTGCCAGGGAATGGGAAGCCTGGCCCCATCCAGCAACTGCCACCCTGAGGGCCTGGGCCTGGCACTGCTCAGGAGTCCCACTCATGGAGAGGGGTGGCAGCAGGAGTGGGCCAGGCAGGTAGGTCCCTGGGCAGACAGACAGGGGTGGCTGGGAACAGGAACAGGAAACTGACCTGTCCACTGATGTCACCCTAGGGTGCTGTGCCTTCTCTCCAGTGTTTGTCTGAAGAGACTTCCAAAAGAGGTACCAAAGGAAGCCGAACCCATCCCCTGGCCTCAGAGGGGTCAGAGGTTGGGAGGGACACGCTGGTCTGAGGATGGACGCAGGAGCGCACTCCCCCGGCTCCCTCTCTGGTGAGACCCCTCCCCACTGGCACCCCACCCGCGGGAAGCAGAGCCAACACTATCACACCCCACTGGTCCCAGGCCAGCTGCCCAGCCCGATGCCCTGCCCTTCCTTTCTCAGGGCTGACAGGCTTTCTGGGCTGGAGTTCCTCATCTGTGAAGTGGGGGTTATGTTACCAACCTCAGAGGGCTGTGAAAATGGGACGGTGTCTGTGAACTCCCTCACATACTGCCTGGCCCTTAGCAGAGCTCCTCGAAATGTCAGTTCTTTGCTGCCCGGAGCCAGGCTCCTGGTAATGACCAGGGAGAGAGCCTGCCCTTGACCAAGGAGTGAAAAACTGACCTCAAAATGTCAGTTCTTTGCTGCCCACTCCAGCCTCCACCCGCTTCTCACAATCATTCCCTGAGCGCGCAGCAGCTCACACGGAACAGAGTTCACACGGACTCATCGAAGTGCCCGTCATTGGGCATCCCTCTCCTCCTTGCGTCTGTTTCCTTATGTGTAAAGTGGGGGCAGGACCACTTCTGAGGACCCAGTTCTCTGAGCACTGGGGATGAGGTGGGCTCCTGGCCCAGCCACCCCTCTCCCTGCCAGTGATGCCAGAGACCCCAAAGGCAGAGTGCTCTGTTCTGCTGTTCAGCTACAAACAGCCAATCCCTCCCTTCACCCTGTGTGTCCCACCCCCGCTCCCCAACCACCCAAGGACTCCTGCACAAAGAACTGTGGTCCAAACCCCCAAGTCAGCTGGGACCAGGTGATTTTGGTAGCCCTGCATCCTGGCTTCCATCCACCCCAGCCTCTGTCTCAGCCTTTGCACCACCATCCCAGACAGGCATCCACCTTCTGTCTCTGGCCCTGCTTCTACCCCCACTCCACCTGCCCTCATGTCTGCCTTCCCCTTCTGCACCCCTGCTGGGCTCCTGAGGAACAGGATGGAAGGAGAGTGTGTCCCCTACCCCCAGCTTCCAGTCTCAGGAGGGTCAGAACAGACAATACAGGTCAAAGCAGCAAGGCTAAGGGTGACAGGTACACAACGCTGCAGCCCCCAGATCTAGAGACAAGATTAGGATTTCGGTCAGAGGGGGATGAAGCACACACCATCCCCACTCCCACCCAGCACCACCATCCTTCCCCTTCCTCCTCCTGGGTCAGGGTCGAAAAGTGGAGAATCCCCAGAAATCCTTTAGAGTCCTCTGATGAAGCCTCCCGAGTCCTGCCTTCGAGCCAGTGGGGAGGGGGAGAGGAGGATGATTACAGGGCGGCCCCCCCAGGGGCATCTCAAGACACTCCCAGGACAGCATGGACAGGCATGGACCCTCCTGCCCTGTGGCTCCTGCCAGGACCCCTCCCCTGAGCTGCCCAGTGGGTGAAAGTGGGCAGTGGAGAAAGAAAGTCCAGGGTCAAACGGGAAGGTGGCACCCCCTACCAGCAGAAGCCCAGAAACACGAGCAGAGCCAGGGGCCCCTGCAGGGCTGCTGTGCCCCTTCTCTCTTCCCAAATAGGAGTGAGCACACCTGGACCTCTGAGAGGGCAGGAGGGTGGCTCCTCTCCACTCCACGGACAAACAGGAGTGGCCTGGCTACATAAATGTGTGCCATCCTCACTGCTACCTTTGGAATAGCAACTTCGAAAGGGAACCACCCTTTGGGAAAGACCAAGGGTCCCAGGCCTGCCCCGCCTATCACTCCAAAGCTCCTCCTTGGCAGTACCCGCCCCCCACCCCTCTGCTACAGTGGGGGTGACCTCCCACTGTCAGACAGTGGAAGGGGCTGCTTGTCAGAAGGACAGGCCTTCCGTCTCCACTCTTTGCCCCTGACTGGAATACAAGAGTTCTGTGGCCCTTCACATTGTCACAGGGCTATCGCTGCTGCTCAGGCCCTGGGGACCCGCCAGAGTGGGACACCGTGCTCCAACACAGGTGCGTTCACACACTCCTCACCTCCTTGGAAGTTCTCCTGGAGGGGCAACAGACAGTAGAGCCTTGGCCTAACCGGCCGGCGCCTGCACCCTTACACACACCTTGTGGATGTGGCTGGCTGAGATGGGGAGCCTCCCTCTCACCCCGGTGGTTTCCATCAATTCCTCTGCACTAGCCAAGTCATCCGGGGCATTTCAATGAGCCCGGGGCTGCCCAGTCTGAGAGAGATCCAGGACGCTAGTGATCCAGCCCACCCTGCCTGGAGCTTGGGCCCCCATGCTGACTGAGAGGGTGGGTTTCCCTAGCCAGGGAGCTGGAGCTGGCGCCTGGGACCTCAGGAGAGCCTGCCTGAAATGCACCCACTGCTCCTGTCCAGCTCCAGCCCAACTTCCCTCCAAGCCCCAGCCAATGCACTCACAAGGCTTCCTCAGGGCTCGCAGGAAGGAGTGAAGACTTGTGTCTGGGTTCGGACAGACAGGATGGGGCGCTGGCTGGGTGAGGGGTTTAAAGGGCTGCCGCCGTGGTGATGTCAGCCTCCCCCACTGGCTCGCTCCTCGGCCCCCTCCCTGCTAGAGGAAGCCGGCTCCGCTCCCCACCCCCGGCTCCCCCAGTGACTCCACACAGGCTCCATATTTGGGGAAAGACACCAAGTTGGAGCAGTCTACCGGGGCTGCCGAGACATTCTCTGCATGCTTTGGAGATGGAGCGGGCCGGGGCGGGGCACGCTGCCGGCGGGGAGCCGGCCCGGGAAAAGCCTTTTATGGACAGGACCCTGCCCGGACTTACGGCTGCTCCTACTTCACTGTTCTCTGGCCCCGAGTTTGAGAAGAGGGGGAGTTCAATAGAGTCTGGCTGGAGAGAGGGGCAAGGGGCTGGGGAGCCGGGAATCCCAGGGGTTTGTGGGGACAAACCAGCCACCCTCTCCTCCTGGGGCTTTTAGCTCTGATGGGACATGGGATCCAACCTTTCCTGAGGACCTACTCCACACCAGGCCCTTTGCAGTGCTCTCATTGAATACTCACAGCTACAGTGTGAGGGTGTAATTACATCCCCATTTTATAGATGAGGAAACTGAGGCCCCGAGTGCGTCTTCCTCAAGGCCACATGGTGAATGGTAAGTGGCAGATCCTGCACACCTCTGCCAACCCGCATGGGTGCAGGAGAGGTGGTCAGACCCACCCTTTCAATTGGACCACCCTGCTCAGGTTGAGAAGAGCTTTCAGTGCAGGTAGGTCTTGAGTTATATGCTTTAGTTGGGGCTGGGATTTGAGGGTTCGGCAGAAGCTGAGTCCAACTCCGGTCCCCATCCAGTGGGCAGTGTCAATAAGAGGGTCTATAAGGCCTGGCAGGGCCTGAGACACTAACGCAGGAGAAGGAGGCTCAGGAGGCTGGTATCATCCCTTCCTCCCTTTAGGAACAGTCCCTACCAGCCTGGAAAACAGACCAGCCTCTGTCACTCCAGAGATAACCCACTCTCATCTTGCTCGTACCTGGCTTCAGGGATCTTGGGGAGAGATAAGAGGTTAAAAAAGGTGAGACTAACAGTGGGATCCCTGGACTGACTGCTGTGGCACTCCCCTGCAAGGGCATCTGGTAGGGAAGACCTAACACTCTCCACTACACACACACTGCCACACCCGGCACCACCCCTAGCCAAACAAGGCCCTAGGAGGGGGCTGCCAGGCCTGGCAGAGGAGGGGCCCGCCTCCGCAGTTCTGCCCACTGCAACTGGACATGCTCCAGAGCCCAGGGGAGGCACAGCCATAGCACCTCCCAGTGGCGCCTGCAGGAAAAGCAGGAAGAGGAGTGGGCCCTGGCGAGGGGAAAGCCCACTCCTCCATCCCTGACCCTGCAGACCTCTGGTTGTGTTCTGAATTCAACAGATTCCTTGGCCCCCAAATCATGTCCTCCTTAGCCGACTGAAGTCTAAATGAATCTTTCAGGGACATATCAAAACTCCCTCCTCTTGGAGCCTGCCCAGCTTTCATCACCCTCCTGCCTCGGCCTGCACGCTGAGCGGATTATAAACGCCGCATCAGGGAGCACTGCTTGGGCCTGTGGCTTGGTGAGCTGGGGGCCGCTCAGGTCAGAGGTGAAGTGAGCCTCAGTCTGGTGGGCGGGGCCAGGTGGGCAGAGACTGCTGTTCCTGGGGAGGTAAGGAGGGATGTCTGCAGTGGGATGGCGTGGGAAAGGCTTTTCCAGGAACTGGCCTCTGTCCAGCACAGTGCCCCGGTAAATGTTTACTGAATTAATGCTGTTGCTGGAGGGACAGGAAAAACGGGAGAATCAAGGAATTGCAGTTCCCAGTAGGGCCATGGCTTGAAGAATGGGGAAATGGAAGACCTCCGCCTCTCCCCTCATCCTCAACAGCTCCACCCAGAGGGAGTGCAAACAAGGGCCCCAAGAACTGAGTCTGGTTGTTTATTGAATGCAAATTCATTCATAGAAAACGGAAATGCAACCATAGCATGGAGACGCTCTGAGAAAAGATCCAGACCCACCTCATCTCCCAGCCCTTCAAGCAGAGCTATAAAAACAAGTTTGGGAGAAAAACACATTCCCATCCCCAAAGCAGAGGCCCCGCCTGAGCTCCCCCATCCTCAGCATCTGGGGTGGACCAGGTGGGACGAAGGGGATCCAAGGACCAGGGTGGCCAGGGTGCCCAGAGCTGGGGCAATTCTTTGTAAACTCCAAGGTTTCATAGGTATGTGTGTGCATGACTAACACAGAACTTGCCTGAAGACTGGACGGAAACTTAGAAGCCAGCCCTGGGTCCTAGAGCGAGGCTAGGACTGGGCACGTAGAGGGAAACAGCACATCCCTTCCTGAAGCCCCTTTCTAAGGTAGGCACTGGGGTGCCCACAGCTGTGGAGGCAGAACGGGCTGAACTCTGTATCATCCCTCCTTTGCCCCTGGACATTCTTGGGCAGTGTCAATGGCACTGAAAGGCCACCAGCTGGGGTTTGGCAAGACTAAGGGCCTGGAAAGAAGGAAGGGAAGGGGTGAGGCGCTTCTCCCTCCAGTCCTGGTGCTGGCATCAGTCTGGGAGCTGATGGGATGAAGAGGTGACCTCTGAATTCAGCCTCTTGAATCAGAAGGCGGTTCTCAAATTGGGCTGAGCGCATTGCTAAAGAGCCAGCCCTGAGCACAGGTCAGAGGGAAGAGAATACGCACTGCCCCAGGCCCCTTGCAGGCCTTAGCACCAAAAGTCTGGCACCAGCTGGCCAACCCCCAAAATCTCATACCCCCATCCATCCTGGCTGACTGGAATGGGCAGTGATGGCAGCCAGGGACAGCCCAAAGAGAACTGGGGCCCTGATACAGGACAGAGATTCAGGCCCCAGACTAGGCCCTGGAGTGGGAGTATGGGAGGAAAAAGAGGCCTTAGGTCCCAGGCTGGGGCATTGTGGGGAGGAGGACGGGCAAAATGCAAGGCATGAAATGGGGAGGGTGTCCCTTCCATCCTTCCTCTTGCAAAGGGACAAATGGAGAGCCAAAGGACAGGGGCCCATGGAAGGCCCCAACACTGAGAAGAAAGCAGCAATTTGGCCAACATCTGGGGGTTCCAGGGGAGCAGGCCTGCTCCTCGGCAGAGGGCAGCTGCAAGGTTCCATGCCACCCCATGGCTGTCCCAGGCCAAGCCTAAGCTAGACCTGGCTGTCCTGCTGCCATCCAGTGCTGGGCAGCGGTGCTGGGACTCATCCCCACAGCACGACAGAGTGACCGGTCTATGACACAAAGGAGCTCAGGGCCCCTTGAGGTGAAGCGAAGGGCCCAGCTCCTGCTAGAAGACATAGATCTTGTCCCGCTGCACAGTATCCAGGTCGTCATCCAGTGTCAGCAACACCTGGGGTGTGGACGCCAGATCAGCCACAGAGAAGGAGGCAGCTGCTACCTTCACGTACCCACCCGGCTCGGCCGGGAGGCCCGCTTACCAGGAAGGACCCGAACATGGCGATGGAGGAGAGGAAGTGCCAGATGTCGTGGTCGTCAAAGAAGTCGAGGAGGATGCAGTCCCGGTTGTGCTCCCTCGACTCTGCAGGGGTTTTCTTGGGGAGCAACAAGAAAAACTGCCGAATGACCCTGCTCTGGCAGGGCAAGGGCCAGACCCATCTGCCATCTTGCTCCTGGGCACCCCTCTCTCCAGCCCCAGGCAGGACAGCAGCAATTCTGACCTGTCCCTTGTCCTTGTCCCTACCCCTTCCCGATCTAACAAATGGCCTTTGGTTACAAACTTCTCCCTGAGTTCACTGGCTTCTCTTCCCTTTTCTTTCACTCTTACCCTCCTCCTTCCTTCTGATTCTCTTCCCTTGACCTAAGAGCACAGGGTTGCAACAACCTTGAAGGCCTTCAGCTCAGAGATGGCAGAAGGCCTTCTCACCCACTTCCCGGCCTTGGACTCCGCCCTTGCTCTAATCTTTCTGCAGGCTCATTGTTTTTTCCAAAGCACTACTGTCAGGTTACACACCTGCTCCGGGACAGTAGCCATAACCTGTGGCACTCAAGGTCCTCCCTGCTCTACTCATAAGCTCTATCCCATAAGCTCATCCAGGCTGTGTCTGTCTGTGCTACATGCTGAGGCCACAGACATAACCAAGACCTGCCCCACCCTCAGGGAGCTCACAGTCTGCCTGGCTCCCAAATGAGTGCATTCACTGACCTCCAAATCTGCCCCTGTATCATTACTAAGGTCACAGTAGGTCTGGGCCATGGGGCTCTTCTCCATTACCCAAGACTTTTTTTTTTTTTTTTTTTTTTTTTTTTTGAGACAGAGTCTTGCTCTGTTGACAGGCTGGAGTGCAGTGGAGAGATCTCAGCTCACTGCAACCTCCACCTCCCGGGTCCAAGCCGTTCTCCTGCCTCTGCCTCCCGAGTAGCTGGGACTACAGGCGCCCACCATCACGCCCAGCTAACTTTTGTATTTTTACTAGAGATGGGGTTTCACCATGTTGGCCAGGATGGTCTCAATCTCTTGACCTCGTGATCCACCCGCTTCGGCCTCCCAAAGTGCTGGGATTACAGGCGTGAGCCACCGTGCCCAGCCCTCCTCACCCAAGACTTTTATAGCCCAGAACAAGGCGCACTTTTTCCAGGAAGCTTTCCTGGACTCCTAACTCGGAGAGACCCGTTAGTCCTCTGTCCTCCTGCCCCGTCTTGCCTGTGCCCTTCATTTCATGTATCACATCGTAAACAGCACTAACAGTCATGCACCAACAGTCCTTCTAGCCCTCTTCGGCTAGTTTATGAGTCCCTCAGAGACCATGTCAGACTTAGTTCTATTCCCAGAATTAAAGCCTGACATGTGGTAGGTGTCCTGCAAGGCAGAGAAGAGAGCCAAGCCTTGCTGGCTTCAAATGCCAGCTGTGCCACTCACTGGCTATGTGCCCTGGGGAAGTCACTTGGCCTCTCTGAGCCTCATCTGTCTCGTAAGTAAACTGGAGCTATCTCCAGGCTGGAATGCTAGGAGGATTAACTGGGGAAGCCGCTATGAAAGTGCTGGCCTATGGTAGGTGTTCCCAAATGATGTTTAAAATTTTTTTTTTAGAGACATGGCCTATCGTCCAGGCTAGAGTGCAATGGTGCAATCTTGGCTCACTGCAGCCTGGAACTCCTGCACAGGCTATCTTCTTGCCTCCGCTTCCGAGGTAGCTAGGACTACTGGTGAATACCACCACGCCAGGCTAATTTTTTTATTTTTATTTTTTTATTTTTTGTAGAGACGGGTTCTTACTATATTGCCCAGGCTGGTCTTGAACGCCTCAAGTGATCCTCCTGCCTCAGCTTCCCAAAGTGCTGGGATTACAGGTAATCCCAGGCTCAGCCCCAATGTTTAAAAAGAGGACTGGCCACTTGTTGGCTCACAAGGAGCCTGAGGGTGAGTGCTCACCTGCCAGGTGCTGAGTCCCTGGAAGAAGAAGAAGAGCGCGAAGCCCCAGACCACGGAGGTGCAAACGATGCAGAGCAGGGGGATGAGCTTGATCCTCTCCCCACTCCGGAGCTGGGAGGGGCCAGGCAGGGACAGCAGTCTGAGGGCTTACCCCTGTCCCACCCCGCTGTCCCACCCAGCCTTTCCCAGATTCCCTTTCCTCATGGCCTCCCAGGCCTTCAGGACTGCTCCTTGGATTCATACCATTCCGCACAACCACAGAGCTCAACCTGCCCCCACCCCGATGTCCACCCCACCCAGCCTCCATGTATCCAGAACCCTGTGTCGGGACAGTGCACTGGCCTCAAGGCGCTCCCTATGCAGGGGGCTCCAATCAGAGTGGAAGGCAGGATGGTTTCTGGGGAAGCACCTGATCCTGAGAGGCCCACACCCTACCTCCCCTCAGCCCCTTCTGCATGGAAAGGGGCACTTACAACTGCAGCCTAAAATGCCACCTGTTTCAAGGGCCCTTGGAAGGGGCTCAGTAAATGGTCTTTGGGCTGCAGTTGGCTCCCAGGGGCCCATGCAAGAGGCTTTAGCCTCTCCCCTCCGCAACCAGCAAAGATGGGACAGAAAACTTCTCACTGCCCCTCAATGCTGCCGGGCCCATCTCTCTCCCCAGATAGCAGAGCAGCTGACAGAGGGGGCTTGGCCAGCCCCACTCACCTTCATGATGATGTAGAAGGCGAAGTAAAGGAGCAGGTTGCAGATGCCAATGGCCAACAAGTAGGAAGCGAAATCATTGGGGCGCATGATAAGCCCATAGGCAGCCCTGGCAAGAGGGATGAAGGGTGGTGAAGCAGGAAGCCCAAGGGCAAGGAAGTGCTCTTCCTGCCCTGCCTAGGCATGTTTTATTATGATGTTGGGCTGTGTTCAGAAGCCCACAGAAGATTCTAGAAGCCCAGATGCCAAGAGAGAGAAGAGAGGCCAAGATCTCTCTTAGCCCCCATGTCTTATGCCCAACATTTGGAAGTTGTCCTTAGCCCCCAAGGCAGCCAGTGGCTGACCGAGTCCCCAGCTGTCCACCCAACCAGGCCACTACTGCTGACCATACTCACAGCGACCAGTTGATGACGTTGCCCATGACCAGCAGCACCATGCGGTCCTGGAGGGAAGCAGGGACACAGGGACTGAGGGCAGGGGCAGGGAGGGTGGTGGAAGAAGGCCCAGCCAGCTGGTCCCCACTCTCCCCTGGGTCCTCAGCCCAGCCCCACTCCCCCATCAGAGGGAAGAAAGGAGATGTGGAGAATGGAGCAGGGGAACCAGGCAGGTACCACGTAGAGCGGCCCGCTGCACTGCCGGATGCAGTCTGTGTAGAGCACGTGGAGGATGCGGCGGAAGATCCCCGAGTCTGCGAAGAGAAGGGAGTGGTGCTGACAGGCACGGGGCACCCTCCTTTGCTGGACCCCTGGGATGTGCCAGCTGAGGAGCCCAGGCCTGATCTAATTCCTCACCCAGTGACTCCAGGGCCCCCAAGACAGAACCTGAGCGTCTCCCGTGCGTCCGGGTTCCCAAGGCCCCCCAGACCCCTCCCCCAGGCCCTGCCCCGGGCGTGCCCTTACCCAGTTTCCACCGGCCCATGTAATAGAGCTGCGTGCTGAGGAGCAGGGTGGCGATGATGTGAATGATGGAGAAGACGATCCAGAACGCCGTGTTCCCTTTGCCAAAGACCTGTCGGGAGGCCACCAAGGGCAGCGGTGAGGGTGGAGAGGGAAGTGGCTCGGATGGCCCACCCTTCCTGGGGCTGGCTGCTCAGCCAGGCTGGGACTCTGAGAGGGGCCCAGGAAGGCATCTCAGGGAAGGAGCAGGAATCTCTCATGCAGGAGGTGGCGGAGGGTGTGCACTACGTGTCTGAACGCACGTGCACCTTTCCTATCATACAGGCTGAGCAGAGCAGGTCAGGCCCTCACCACGCCCAGCACAGAGAAGAAGATGACAATGGCCAGGCAGGCGTAGGCACTGTAGGCGCTGGCGTTGATGTCCGGGTGCCGCTTCTGGTAGAGCTTCAGCATGCAGAGTCCGGCGATCATGTACATGAACGATGTGTCTAGGATGAGGGACACGGAAGGGAGCTGCAGAAATGGCCACCAAGCCCCAGCAGAGAACTCCTGGCCCCAACAATCCCAGAGGAAGAGAGAGCCCTGGTGCCCCACCACGGCCATGGTGTGAGCTGGTGGCAGGGTGGCACTTGAACTTCAGTTCCTTAGTTGTACCTGCCACACCACACTGCCACCCCACTGGCTGTCACCCAGAGTCTGACATCTCCTGAAAACAGGGACAACTTGGTCTGTGTCTTAGTCTGTGAGCACCCTGAGATCAGGGACTCCCTTTTATTTTTTTGGAGACGGAGTCTCACTCTGTCGCCCAGGCTGGCGTGCAATGGTGGGATCTCGGCTCACTGCAACCTCCGCTTCCTGGGCTCAAGCAATTCTCCTGCCTCAGCCCCCTGAGTAGCTGAGATTACAGGCATGCACCACCACACCCAGCTAATCTTTGCATTTTTAGTAGAGATGGGGTTTCACCATGTTGGCCCGGCTGATCTCAAACTCCCCACCTTGGGCGATCCCCCCGCCTCAGCCTCCCAAAGTGCTAGGATTACAGGCATGAGCCACAGTGCCCAGCCAGGGCCCCCTTCTTTTTTTTTTTTTTGAGACGGAGTCTCGCTCTGTTGCCCAGGCTAGAGCGCAGGGCGTGATCTTGGCTCATTGCAAACTCTGCCTCCCGGATTCATGCCATTCTCCTGCCTCAGCCTCCCGAGCAGCTGGGACTACAGGCGCCTGCCACTGTGCCCGGCTAATTTTTTGTATTTTTAGTAGAGACGGGGTTTCACCATGTTAGCCAGGATGGTCTGGAGCTCCTGACCTCGTGATCCATCTGCCTCGGCCTCCCAAAGTGCTGGGATTACAGGCGTGAGCCACTGCACCCGGCCAGGGACCCCTTCTTAATTATACTGTTTTCTTCACTGCGGCACATGCCTTTACATAGGAATAGCTTGACAGATGAATGAAGCAGCATCTAGGTGCCCATGTTCCATAGGCTAGGATGTGTGCACACCCAGGCACGCCAGCCTTGGAGTTTCCTACAGGGGTGTCTTAGCGATCCCTGTGGGTGACTTGGGGATAGTGAAGGACTCAGGCAGGTCCCTGCTGTAGGTTGAGCCAGAAAAGAAGGACGCCCCACTCACCAAACTGGAAATTGGTATAGTTGGGGCACACATGATAGCAAGCACTGAGCAGCCCCTCCATCATCAGGGCTGTGCCCATGGCGTAGAAAAGCCCAAAGTGTTTGGGGATCCCACATTCCTGTTGGGGAGAGAGAGAAGGGAAGGGAGGGAGGAAGTGAGGCAGGAAGGGAAGAAGGGACCCAAAAGAGGGACCCTAAGAGGAGTGGAAGAGGAAAAGGGGTGGGGTATGTGTCGAGTGTGGGTGTGCAGGGGTGGGCTGGCCTGGGCAGGCTGGCAAGGGAGGGCAGGGCAGGGTGGGGCAGGCTGGGCTGGATAGGGTGGGCCAGACAGAACTGGGGAGGGGAGAGCTGGGGAAGGCAGGGCCAGGCCTGCCCAAAAGGGTGTCCTGGAGCCAAGGCTTGAGGTCTGTGCTGGAGCTGAGGCTGCGGCAGGCAGGCAGGTGCTCCCTTACCAGGGCACAGAGGTCATTGCGCAGCAGGGCCCGGTTGTGGTTGATCTCCCGTTGCAGGATGATGAGCAGGAAAAGCAGCCCCAGCAGGATGTACCCCAGGTTGCTGAGGATGTTGTTGAAGGCGCTAGAAGGGGCAACACAAGGCAGACTGCTTGGGACTCACACCCAGGCCTCTTCCCTAGCCCACGTGGGCATTGCAAAGCCCCAGGCCCTGCCCCATTTCACCCTTGGCCTGGACAAGGGGCCTCCCAGCATGACCCCCACCTGAGATTGCCCAGTGGGTGGGCGCAGAGGAAGTTGTAGTAGCAGATGTCCTGATTCCCTGTGACATTCACCACCTGTAGCAGGAGCAGGGACAGGGAGTGGGTCTGTCGTCACGCCCAACTCAGCCCACGCCCCGCCATCCGGGCCCCTTTGGCAAAAAACAGCAAGTGCCACCACAGCTAGCAGGTGGGAATACACAGCACCGCAGGCACGTGTTCCTTCTGAGAACATGGATGCCATGCAGCACAGTCGCTGTCCCCTCTCATTAGGCGTGGCTGAAAACCCTGAGGCATGACCGTGATGGAAGTTCTTGCCCCACGGGACAGAGAAAAGGGAAGGGAAACTGATGCTTACAAAGCCCCAGGACTTTGGTTTCATAATCCGCACAAGAAACCAGGGAGGGGCTATCTTTAGTGCGGGCTGCTCCCATTTTGCAGATGAAGAAACTGACACTCAGGGTTGGGGGGGTTATGTGATTTGCCCTGGGTCACTCGGCTGGGAAGGCAGAGCTGGGATCTGAACCCAGGTCCTGTGATGGAACACCAGGGCCCCAGGCTGGGAGGCTCTGCACTTTGGGGCGGTGTCCTAGGCTGTCGGAAAGGTGAACCTGCCCTGCCCTCTCACCGTCTGGTAGGTGATCACCAGCTGCACCACAGGAAGGGCATAGAAGACAGCAATGGTGGCAATGTTCCTGCGGAGCAGGAGGGCGGCAGTGAGGTGGGTGGCACCCAAGGCTGCCACACACCCACCAACAGCAGAGCCCCAGACACTCAGCCCACTCACCAGAAGTAGATCTGGTACTTTTTCCGCAGAACACGCTTGTCCTTCCGTGCCAGGTCAGCCACATAGAGGTATTGCTGGGGAGAAGCTGGAATCAGCCCCACTTACTGCTACTTGGGAGAAGCCCCCTCCCCCAGGTTAGAGGTGGACAAGAGGGGCCTCCCTCACACAGGGCCGAATTCAGGGGGGCAGGGTTCAAGGACATCCCACTGCTGCGGCCGCTTAGACCAAGAGGGTTTGGCCAATCAGGCCGGAAGGGGTTGGAGGTCAGGTTAGTTTCCCCGGCATCTGCCCTGCCCCAGCTGAGCCCCTTCCTTCTGCTTCCCTAAATGCCACGTCAGTGGGAACATGCTGGGGCGGGAACGCAGAATGTCCCTTTCTCAGGAAACGCCTGACCAGGCCAGGCCCACGGGTCAGACCTTGGTGCGAATGACATTCTTGTCGGAATCGATGTCGGTCAATGTGTCGTAGTCATCCTCCTCCACAGAGCTCATGGAGTCCACTCGGGGCCGAGTACCTACAGGTTCAAAGGAGCGGCCTGGAAAGGGCAGGGAGGGAGGGGTTGCACCGGTGGACACAAAACCCACAGTGGCCCTCGCCCATCTGAGGCAATTGTAACAATTATTAGGCAGTAGGGAAGAGGCAAATTGTGGGCTGGGCCTCAGAGTTGGGGTGGAAGTGGGCTCAGGAGCTGGGAGGAGACATCAGGTGCTCCTAAGTCCTGGGGGATGATGGTAGACTCTAGAAGAGGCCACCACACAGGGGCCGCTCTAGCTTTGCTCTGTTCCTGGCACCCCTCATGGGCTAGGGCTTCCCAGGCCAGGACACAAGGCAGACCCCAGGCAGCAGACACAAACAACAGGATTGAACTCGGCAAGTCATGCTGATTCAAGGGTGCCCAGCCCTGTGGGTTCTGAGAAGACACTGCCTTGGCTGCCACTGGGTTAAAGACCCAGTGGGCCTGGGGTGCAGAAAGAGCATTTCTCCTTTATCCAGAGGCCAGAATGTGACCCCCATGCCTGTGAGCCCTCCCCAAGCAGGCCAGGGAGTGAGGGCGCTGGCAACGCAGACGATAAACTAGATTGTCCAGCCTGGAGAGAGCGGAGGCGCCAGCCCGCCAGCCAAAGGAGCCTGTGCTCTGCTGCTATCTCAGAAGACACAAGAGCGGGCAATTACTGGAATTACATGGGGAAGCCATGCACATAGAATCTTTCTGGCCCCACAGCCGGCAGTCAACCGGAGCCGGCAGGCACTGATTGGCAAAACAGCCCTACCCCCACCCCAGGTCTACCCATGGCAATGCACAGCTGCCGCATCTGGCCAGAGGGGAGGCGCCGCTTGAACTGGTCGTGCCCTTCAAAGGAAAGGGAAAGTTACCAGGGAACTGGGGCCAAGGAGGAGGGGATGAGGGAAGAGAGGGGTTAGGAAGACAGCAGGCCCTTCCCAGGTTCCAGCATCTGGCAGAAGAGGCAACCGCCCACCGTGACATTTTACCCAGACAACACCGTCCTGCACCACACCGCCCCTCCCAGCCTGGCCCACTCACCCTGGTAACCGTAAGAGAGGTCCCCAGTGCCAGCGCTGTCAACCAGACCATCGGTAGATCCAGAAACATTCTCTGTGGGGAACGATCAGTGGTGAGGCAGGAAGGAGAGGCCGCAGGGAAAGGGGCTCTGAGCATCTGCAGAGGGTGTGGGGGCTGGAGGAGGTGGCTCCCACTTTACCGCCTCGGAGGTGGTGGCCTAAGGAGACAAGGTCATGTCCCCAGCAAGCACGGTGCTGGCTTTGACACGTACCAAAGGAGCCATAGTTGTAACCCTCATAAGGGGAACTGCCAGGAAAAGAATCAGCCAGGACTCGAGGGTGACCTGCAATGAGAAGTCAAGGTCTGTTAGCACTGGACGAAGAGAGAGGCCTAGAGCCAGGGAGAAGAACAAAGAAAGGTCCAGAGAAGACAGCCACAGGGAGGCCATGCCAGCAGACGAGAAGCAGCACCTATCCAGGCAAACACACCCCACTGCTGCCACCACCACCCGCCCCAGCCCCCTGCCTGCCTCTCCCATGGAAACAGCACCACCCTTTGTCTTCCCTAAGGAGAGAGAAAGTTCAAGAACAGGCACATCTAAGTTACCAGCAACAAAGACAACACTGGCCCGCCCACGAGCCCTCCAGACAGCCCTGTGCTGCACCCTCCCTCCCCTACTCTGGACTCCAGCTCCTCTGCCCACAGCACCTGGAGCTTACCAAGGAGAGAAGCTAAGAGAGAAGGTCCCACGCAGGAGGGAGGACAGAAAGAGAGGGAGGGGTGGAAGAGAGAGAGAAGGAAAGGTTAATAATCCCAGAGACCGTGGGCCACACTGCCCAAGGCAGGCAGACACCATCGCTAGACATGGAATAAACCAAGCAACACCTCAGCCTCTGAGGTGTGCATGTTAGGGATGCATGGACATCATATCCCAGCCTCATTCCCATCTGTGGAGTGTTACCCCCATCTGAACATCCAGAAACCCCCAGCCCTTCCTCCTCCAACCCCCTAGGGAACCATCCACCACCACCCCCCAAAACACAAAGCACACTGTGCCCGCCCCACCCAGGCCCCCTGGAGGTACCGCTTTCTGGGCAGGCTCGGTCAATGGCCACCAGCAGGGTCTTCTTCTTCTGCCTGCATGGACAGAACCCACAGGCCACCCAGATGGGACAGGACAAGGATCACTCTGTATGGGGCTGACTTTCCTTCTACCTCTCTGCTCCACTCTCATCGCTATGACCCTGTCCTCCACCCTTTGTCCCAGGGTTCCTCACAGGCTGGGGAGCAACATGGGATCTCCCTGCTTGGGAAGAAGGTTGAGGGGAGGGGATGGTTTCTAGAGAGGCTCATGGGCCACAGACTCTAACAGCCCCACCATCATCTGCTATGGATGGTGTAGATTACCCTAGGCTGGCTCAGATCCTGCCAGGTGATCTGCCCCACACACCTGCCCAAACCACCCAGACCAGGGGAGGCCCAGCAGTTCCACTTTACCTCCAGTTCTCCCAGCAGGCCAGGAGGACGGTCAGCAGGTAAAAGGAGAGAAATATACCCAGGCAAAAGAGCATCCCACTGACGTATGCCTCAGCTTCAAGGAGGAAACAGGAAGGTGGACAGGTCAAAACCTTCCACCACCTCCCATCATGGCACCCAAAGGCCTTCATGTCCTCCTCCACCCAGCTCAATCTCTCACCCTTCTCCCCTCAAATGTAAGGCCCTGCCTAGCCAGTATGAACAACTGGCAGTTCCTCTAATACACCAAACTCTGACACACTCCTATTTTTGCTCATGTTGCTCCCTGGGCTAGAACTTTCTCTTCTACTTTTTTTTTTTTTTTTTTTTTTTTGAGACGGGCTCACTCTGTTACCCATGCTGGAGTGCAGTGGCACGATCATAGCTCACTGCAGCCTCCAACTCCTAGGCTCCATCCTTCCACCTCAGCCTCCTGAGTAGCTGGGACTACAGATGTGTGCCACCACGCCTGGCTCATTTTTTTATTTTTTATAGAGATTGGGTCTCGCTATGTTGCTCAGGCTGGTCTTGAATTCCTGGCTTCAAGCAATTTCCCTGCCTCAGCCTCCCAAAGTTCTGGGATTATAGGCGTGAGCCACCGTGCCTGGCCTCTCAAAAATTCCACCTTGACTTAACCCTCAAACCACAGCTCAGGGACTGTGTCCTCTAGGAAGCTTTCTCTGTCCTGTATTTCCACAGTGACCTGTTCCTTGCTCACCACAGCTCTTAACTGCCTCCTGTTCCTCTAGACAGGACCCCGCCCCCACCAAGGACTGCTGCCTTAGCATACCACCTGGCATATAGGAGGTGCTCCATAAATATTTGCTGAATAAATAATCCATGTAAGAGAGGCACCCTGGCCGGGCGCGGTGGCTCACGCCTGTAATCTCAGCACTTTGGGAGCCGGGGCAGGTGGATCACGAGGTCAGGAGATTGAGACCATCCTGGCTAACACGGTGAAACTCCTTCTCTACTAAAAATACAAAAAATTAGCCGGGCGTGGTGGCGGGCACCTGTAGTCCCAGCTACTCGGTAGGCTGAGGCAGGAGAATGGCGTGAACCTGGGAGGTGGAGCTTGCAGTAAGCCGAGATTGCGCCACTGCACTCCAGCCTGGGCAACAGAGCAAGACTCCATCTCGGAAAAAAAAAAAAAAAAGAGAGAGAGAGAGAGGCACCCTCTGGCTGGGCACGGTGGCTCATGCCTGTAATCCCACACTCTGGGAGGCCAAGGTGGGCGGATCACCTGAGGTCAAGAGTTCAAGACCAGCCTGGCCAACATGGTGAAACCCCCGTCTCTACTAAAAATACAAAAATTAGCTGGGCATGGCGGCAGGTGCCTGTAATCCCAGCAACTCAGGAGGCTGAGGCAGGAGAATCATTTGAACCCGGGAGGCGGAGATTGCAGTGAGTAGAGATCTTGCCACTGCATTACAGCCTGGGTGACAGAGCAAGAGTCCATCTCAAAAAAAGAAAGAGAGGCACCTTCTTTCCCCTCCTATCACAGTCCCTTAGGGCCCCATTTAATCATTCAGTAAATATTTATTGAGCACTGAGTAGGGGCCTGGTACTTTCCTGCTAATTTTATCTGCTAATTTTGTGCTAGCCCTCATAACTTAGTGAGATTAACTGGACAAATTTTACTCCCTCTGTTATAGAGACAGGGAAACTGAGACTCAATCTTATAGCAGTGTTTCAATGACAAATTAGGGTATGTTTCTGAATATGAGATTAAGAAACATCCTTCAGAATAAATAAGATTATAACTATGCTAACAAAGCAAAATTAAAGCTCTTTCTTACAATCAGGTTACACTGCTGATAAGTGGCAGAAAGTGAACTGGACCTCAGTTCTTCCATCTTTAGTCATGAACTCTCTGTACCACATCACACTGGAACTCACCTCCCGGCCCTCCCCATCTAGAAGCCTGCCAAGAACACTCCCCGTTCCTACCCCACCAGCATATCTGCATCCTCATCACCCACTTCAGGGCACACCCTATATCCCAGGTCTGAAAGCAGGAGCCAGAGAGGCTTGTCCATCCCCTCTCAGCCACCTGCAGCACTCACACGTGACTGCTTGAGACACCAGCACTGACAGGGTTTTCTGGCGGTGCCCTTGATCGACCGGTTCATCTGGAAGTAAAATGTCAAAGTGGTAAACTAGTTGCCTGGAGCTTGGCTAGAGTCAGTGGGATCAGGCCTTTGAGAGACTGGAGCCAAAAACCCATGTCCTATCAGGTCCACCAATCAGCCACGCAGGCTCTTCTTGCTCCCAGAAAGTGACCAAGACCTCCCCATCCCTAGCCAGGCCCAGGGCACAAAATGTACCTTCTGCGAAGGGGTAGAAAGGCAGGGAGCCCCCGCAGGCTTGGTCTTCGGTCTTCACCACCACCACCACATAAAAGCTGTTGCTGGGGAAGTCTTTGCGCTGCAGGATGATGATGATAAATATCTTCTTCATCATCATCATCATCATTCTTTTCTAAATACTTGTTCTGGGGCCAGACATTATGCTAAATTCTTCATAGATATATTTTACTTAATCCTCACAAGATTTTTTTTTTTTTTGAGACGGAGTTTCACTCCTATTGCCTAGGCTGGAGTGCCATGGCATGATCTCAGCTCACTGCAACCTCCGCCTCCCGGGTTCAAACAATTCTCCTGCTTCAACCTCCCAAGTAGCTGGGATTACAGGCGTCCATCACCACGCCCAGCTAATTTTTATGTTTTTAGTAGAGATGGGGTTTCACCATGTTGGCCAGGCTGGTCTTGAACGCCTGATCTCAGGTGATCTGCCCGCCTCAGCCTCCCGAAGTGTGGGATTACAGGCGTGAGCCACTGCGCCTGACCTTTTTTTTCTTGAGACAGAGTTTCACTCCTTTTGCCCAGGCTGGAGTGCAGTGGTGTGATCTCGGCTCACTGCAACCTCTGTCTCCCAGGTTCAAGTGATTCTCCTGACTCAGCCTCCCGAGTAGCTGGGATTACAGGCATGCGCCACCATGCCCAGCTAATTTTTCGTATTTTTAGTAGAGACGGGGTTTCAGCCTGTTGGCCAGGCTGGTCTTGAACTCCTGATCTCAGGTGATCCGCCCACCTCGGCCTCCCAAAGTGCTGGGATTACAGGAATGAGCCACCGCGCTCAGCCCTCTTATTGTTACAATGAATGAAGTAGGTATGACAGCCAGAAGGGGGTACTCTACTCTTTCCCATCCCCAAGAGCAACTGGGATTATGGTACAACTCTCATATATATCAGGGGACTCAAAGTCACAGGGACTGGAAGGCCAAAGACTCAGTCGTGTGTAGGATAGGAATGGGCAGAGGAAGAAGAGCTCAAGTTTGGAAAGCTACACAGCTTATCGCCCAGCCACACCTCCCACGTGGCCACATGCATTTCCTACCTGTACGGTGATGGCCGCCTTCTTGGTCATCGTCTGGTACATGCCGATGAAGGCTACGTTGTTGTCCAGGTCATAGACAGGACACTGCAGAGGGGCGGGAGAGGCAGATGGATGGGAACCTGGCCTGCCCCTCTCTTTAGCAGCCCTGCTGCCTGCTGGGGAAGAGCAAAAGGGCAGGCAACTCACCAGCACATCCTGAATGGAGATGACTGAGCAGGGGAAGGCCTTGTTGGAGGTCACCTTGACAATTACCGAGTCCACGCCTTCAGGGAACTCATACTTGAAGTACTGAGGGTGCAGGAAGGAAGGGAGAGCCCCATCTCATGAGGATGCTCTCTTGGCCCCTCTAGAAGGGAATAGTCCCCTATAAGCGAGGACCCAGAATCCTCTGAGGGGTGGGCAGTGGAGGCTCTCCGAGGAGACAGGCCTTGATCACAGCAGCCCCTTTCTCTGTATACCATTCCCTTCAACCTCAGCAGGGCACTCAGCAGAATGCCAGAGAGGCAACCAGACTCCATGTCTCTGTACAGTCCCATGCTGTCTGTCCCTCACCATGTCAGGGCCAGAGCTCCTGTTTCCAGAGAGCCCTCCATGGAGAAAACAGCCAATTCAAAAGGCCAAGCAAAGACCGCTGGCCACTCCCATTCTCATATTCAAGCTCCCCCATTTCTCCTCTCGAGCAATCAACAGGGAGATGTTACCTGGGGCTGTGCTGCTGTGGTATTGAAGCTGAACTGCTCCCCAGTCCTGCAGGGCAGAGAAGAGCCCCCACCAGTCACCCCCGGAGCCTGGGGAAGAACCAGCCCCCGTGGTCCCCTCACTCTACCCTGCAGACCTGAGCACAAAATCGTCCATGCGGCTGACCCGGAGCTGGTATGTGGTGTTGACTGGTGACAGGGTGGACACATCCACGTAGAAGAACTGAATCTCCGACTCATTCTTGGTGGGGGGCTGACACAGGGTTCGTTCCACTTTTTGGTAGAGGTACTTGCGCTGAAACCTATGGCCCGAAGCAGGGAGATAGGATGTGAGCACTGTCCCAGCCGGCCTGCCCCTCCAGAGGAGCGAGGCCCCACCTCGCCCCGTCTGGTCTCCACCACCTCCCTGCGAGGTGCACAAGCTCCCGGCTGGTGGGACTCGGCCCTTGTGCTGTTGACCAGCCTCCCAGCCCAGGGAAAGGGGAGGAGAAATGGGGGGGCTCCTGGTTGAGGCTCCAGCCAAGGACTGGCCTAGGCTGCCCCGCTTCCCTGATGCCCAGATCCTACTCACATCCCTCGCAGGATTAGGGGCACCTGGAAGGACACCACAGCCTCCTTCTGGCGGACCACAAACAGCAACGGCGCCCCCTTCTGCTTGTTCAGGACGTTCACAGACACACGCACGCCCTCTGTCTGCAGAACGACATGGAAATGCCTCTCAAGCCTCTGCCACCAGGGACACGTGGCTCCAGAGACTATGAGCCCTGCCCTCCTTCATGCCAGCTACTTTGGTCTTTCTCCATCTTGGTCGGGCCAGGGAGTCATCTCTGCCTCTTCTTCTGCCAGAACAACCCCCAGACTCCAGGAAAGACCTGTGCTGAGTGCAGCTCCTGGCCGGCAGACATGTGCAGGGCAGCAGGACCCAAGCAACCGCAGGGTCTCACCCTCTGCCAGGAAACACGGTGGAGGCCTTGCGAGTCTCCAGGATACCCCATTCCTATCCATGTGCACAGGATGCACAGGCCTGCACACACAAACGTGTACACACGCCCCCACACACGAAGACACAGGAGAACAAGAAGTGCTCCTCAACCTTCCTGTGAGCCAGGAAGCCAGCAGGAAGCTCTAGTTAACAGCTAACCTGGGGCCAGAGCCCAGAGGAGTTGAGGAGGGGTAGGTATTGAAGGCCATGTTGTATCCTTAGCTCCCACCAAGGGACAGGGCTGTGGAGAAGTCACTTTACTTCTCTAAGCCTCAACTTCTCCCTCTATAAAATGACAGCCGGGTGCGGTGACTCACGCTTGTAGCACTTTGGGAGGCCAAGGCAGGAGGATCATCTGAGGTCAGGAGTTTGAGACCAGCCTGGCCAACATGGTGAAGCCCCATCTCTACTAAAAATACAAAAATTAGCTGGGTATGGTGGCAGGCGCCTGTAATCTCAACTACTTGGGAGGCTGAGGCAGGAGAATCGCTTGAACCGGGAAGGCGGAGGTTGCAGTGAGCTGAGATCACAAAACTGCACTTCAGCCTGGGCAACAGAGTGAGACTGGTCTCAAAAAAAAAAAAAAAAAAAAAAAGATAAAGTGATCTTCACCCTTGGAGCTATGAAGGAACATATATAAACAATGGGAGCTTAAAGGAAAAATAAAACCAAATCGATCTTGGAATGCTTGTTATTGGGCTGCTGAAACCCAAGCCCTAGGGCAGCATTTCCCAAAAGAGTAAAAACCACAGCTCTCCAGTGCCTTTAGATATGGGAAAAAAGGAAGAAAGGACTCTAAGCAGAAAGAGATCAAACTTCAGAGAACCAGGCACTGGGGGCAGATCCTGGCCTGCCACAGAAACCAAACCACTCCCCGTTCTGAAAAAAAATCAGATTCCCCATTCTCAACTCCATTGCTTCTCAGTAAACGGCAGTCATGGAGAGAGAGCAAGAGACCCGGGCACGAGACCACACAGCCAGGTTGCAAGAATTCTCCCAATCTCAGCTCTGCCTGGGGTCTAGACTTCCCACACTAGCTGTGTCTATTTCAACTCAGGGACTCACAGCTGGTGAAGAAACCAAAGAGAAGTCAGGGTGAAGTGGATTTTTCACAGTGGACAAATTCCCCTTCTCTTCCCACCCAACTTGCAGTTGGCCTTATAAAACCTCTGTCACCCTCAATTTACAAGGCCAGCTGGCTCTCCCAGGCAGGAAGAGGGCTGGGAAGCCCTGCATTCATCTCCCTGGGGAGTCTGAGATGTAACTTGCCTGCACAGAGCTTTTCAGTTCTGGGCCAGTCTCATTCCCCTGAGGTTTTCTGGGCAAGCCCAGTAATAAGCCTGTTTCCTCTCCCACCGAGACCCCACAGAGCTGTCAGATTCTGGGGTTTAGGGTAGAGAGCAAGCCATGTGTGCTCAGACCACAACTGATGGAAGAATGGGGGCGGAAGAGAAGATGGGAATGAGCCAACTTCAAAAACTGCCCAGCTGGAGCTTCAGAGAAACATTGGTGGCAAAGGAAGGAGGACTGGTCAAGAGGCTCCAGTGTGGTTCTGGGAACTGGGAACCTAGCAGGACAGCTCGTTCCTGGGGCCTCCCAAAAGGGTAGCGGGGCGGCAGAATCGCCTAGCCCTCGTCGGCTTCCCCACTCGCCTCTGGCCCCTAAGCCCCCAGCCCTCACCCTGTTGCGGGTCACAGTATGGTTGAAGGTGTAGATGTTGACCAGCTCGCTGTTGACCTCGTCCACGTAGGTGCGCTCAAACTCGGCGTCTTTCTGCGAGACGTTCTTGGGCCCCAGAACCCCCAGATGGCTCTCGACCGAGGCCACCAAGAGCACCAAGAAGGGCAAGCCCAGAGCGAACATGGCCCCGGCAGGGCGGCAGTGGCAGCGGTGGTGGCGGCGGCGGCGGCGACAGGAGACAGGACACCTCCGGGACGGGTTGCGGCTGCGGCCGCAGCTTCCAGCATCTCACCAGGACCAGAACTTTAACCCCGGCCTGAGATTAGGAAATGTCCCCTCCCAAGAGCCCCGAAGAGGCTCCCAGGGTCCCCGCAGGGGAGGGGGCGGCCGGGAGGGGGCGGGGAGGGAGGGGATGCTGGCTACGGGAAGGGGTCCCAGCTCGCGAGGGGCTGAGTACGACCTGAGACCCTGGAGCCCCGGGCCAGGGCCGTGAGAAGGAGGGCGGCTGGTTGCCGGGAGCCTGGAGACGCCGGGAAAGGGGAGGGAGGAAGAGCCGGCGGCGGGGGCTGGCCGCGGAGGAAGGCGAGTCGCAGAGTGAGGGGCGTGATAGGTGGTAGCTACCCGACGCCGTGCTGGGCTGCGAGTTTTCCGAGGTGCGGGCCCTTTAAGGGCGGGCGGACGCGCCGTCCCGACGCACGAACACTGAAAAGTGAGCTGCGCCGCTGGGCGATAAACAGCAGGGCTGCTGGCCCGCCCGCTGACGTCAGGGGAAACTGACACAGATTTAAAGGACCAGGTCCCGCATTTGCCCTTAAAGGGGCTGCAGCTGTCTAGCTGAAGGGGAAAGCTTGCAATGCCTTCTCCAACTCCTACCCAACTCTCTCCCGTGATTTTCACCATCTCTGAAACTCACGTTGGAATAGGCAGATGTTTCTGTTAACAATCTCCAAGTGTTGGGTTCTTGCTGAACAACTCTTACATTTGCTCAAACATAAGGATTCCCCCACCCCCACCACCACCTTTACAACTAACATCGTCCAACCCTGGGCCACTTTTTCTCCGGGGATCTTAAAAAATGAAAAACTCGAAGGATTAGGAAACAGGACGGTGGCCCTACCGGCGGAGGGGAAACGGAGGCAGCACTGCAGGAGGAATCCCCATGCCTTTCCCACCTCCCTCTAGAGGGGCCACACAACTGCAGGGACGGCCTTCCGAGCTTTCCAAGCTTGCCGGGCTGTTTCCCCTCTTCTCTCAGAGACAGTTACAAAACTCATTGAAAGATACTGACCTTCAGTGTAAATTGGTGAAAACTTTTCTACAAAATATTTTGGCACTGTTTCAAGAAACTTAGAGAGCTTTATACCCTTTGATCCAGTAATTCCACTTCTGGACTCTATCCTAAGGAAATAGGAAGCACAGATAAAAATACCTGGGCAGCTACGCTTATCACTGTGATATTTATAATATAAAGCAAAAAGGAAATGACTTGGATATCCATAATGAGGGATTGGTTAAATGCACTATCATGAAGGCATCAAAAATGATGCTTAAGACTTCACAGGACACGTAAGCAGAGAATTCAGGATATGACACTAAATAAACAGTATATAGAGCCAGGTGCCGTGGCTCACACGTGTAATCCCAACACTTTGGGAGGCCAAGACAGGTAGATCACTTGAGGTCAGGAGTTCGAGACCAGCCATGGCCAACATGGTGAACCCCATCTCTACTATAAAAATACAAAATTAGTGGGGCGTGGTGACGCGTGCCTGTAATCCCAGCTACTGGGGAGGCTGAAGCAGGAGAATCGCTTAACTCTACCAGGCGGAGGTTGCAGTGAGCTGAGATCATGCTCCTGCACTCCAGCCTGGGCTGCAACAGAGCAAGACTCTGTCTCAAAAATAAATAAGTAAATAAAACCGTATATATTCCAAATGCATATAGACATGCATAGAAAAATAGAAAAAAATTGTACTAAACATTTAGCAATGTCTCCAGAAAGCAGGGCAAATTTTAAAAATAAAATTTAGCAGTAGTTATCTTTGAATTACAATTTTAAAAATAACACATATTGTATATCATTTTCCTTTAATTCTAAAAATATAGAGTAGTACCAAAAAATAAAAAATAATGGATTGTGAGTGGTTCTTAAATTTTATTTTTTATATTTAAAAAGATTTACAAATGTTCTACAATGTATATATATTTATATATTGCTTTTTTATCTGCCGGGGGGTGGAGACAGGGTCTCGCTCTGTTGCCCAGGTTGGAGTGCAGTGGCACAATCTCAGCTCATTGCAACCTCTGCCTCCTGGGTTCAAGCAATTCTCCTGCCTCAGTCTCCCGAGTAGCTGGGATTACAGGCCATGTGCCACCACGCCCAGCTAATTTTTGTATTTTTGGTAGAGACGGGGTTTCACCATATTGGTCAGGCTGGTCTCGAACTCCTGACCTCAGGTGATCCACCCACCTCAGTCTCCCAAAGTGCTGGGATTATAGGCATGAGCCACCATGCCTGGCCACATATATTGCATTTATAAGACAAATTAGACTTTTTTTTTTTTTTTTTTTTGAGATGGAGTCTCACTGTCACCCATGCTGGAGTACAGTGGTGTGATCTCAGCTCACTGCAATCTCCGCCTCCTGAGTTCAGGCGATGCTCCTGCCTCAGCCTCCCAAGTAGCTGGGACTACAGGCACCCGCCACCACACCCTGCTAATTTCTTGTATTTTTAGTAAAGCGGGGTTTCACCATATTGGTCAGGCTGATCTCGAACTCCTGACCTCGAGTGATCCACCCACCTAGGCTTCCCAAAGTGTTGGGATTACAGGCGTGAGCCACTGCGCCCGGCCAAATTAGACATGTTTAAAGGAAAAGAAATGTGGCCACCTCTGAAGCTGTCAGACATCCTAATAAAGCCACCCAGATCAGTGCCTTGTCAGAGTTCTCTCAGCTGGCAGGATTGCAGCAGTCTCAGCTCCCAGCCCTGCCCAACTATCTGGAGCCTTGTTCCAATGAAGACTATTTTACCTTATGATCAGTTAGTTATATTTACTCATTCCTGCAATAAATATTTAATAAGCATCCACGATGTGCCAGGTACTGTTGTAGTTATGCTGGGCAAATGGTGAGTGGAGGAATTAGTTTTGGCCCCTGTCCAAGCACAGCATACTTGAGGATGAAGACCAGAAGCAAGCTGCACCCCTTTTCCAAAGGGTTCACCAATTAGAAAGTCAGCTGGAAGATAACCTTATGGGTTTCCTTGGCCAACCCCTCATTATACAGATGAGGAAAGTGACGCTCAGAAAAACTTCAGCCCATTAGTACCTCACTAGACTCAAGTTTGCACCTTGGTCCAGTACTGTTTCCAGCACATCTAGGCGAATATGAATCAGAGAATCCTCAGGATGGCAAAAGAGGTTTCTTCATCATGAGCCCTCCATGCAGTCAGCTGCCAAGTTTGGAGAATCAGTGTAGGATTTCCTCAGTCCATCTGGACTTTTCTTTCATGGTAATCCTGCTCATCTTGCCAGTAAATAATCTGAAACATTAAGAAACACTCGTGATACATTGCCCAGGCTGGTCTTGAACTCCTGGCTTCAAGCGATCTGCCACAGCCTCTCGAGTAGCTGGATTACAGGCAAGCACCACTACTCTAAGTTGGCCTCATAACTTTGGGGCAAGATGTGACCCTACGCCTGTTTTAAACGCACATCCAGAGTCCTACTTCACACTTAATTCATCTTGGGAGGTGGAGCCCAGAAAACTGCAATTTAACGGGGCACTCCAGAAGCTTGCTATGCACAATGAAGTTTGAGAACCACTGCTCTGGAACCAAACAACTGTGGACTATCACTATTTCTGTTTGCTCCCTTTCCGCTGGCAATATCTGGAGAGAAATCCATCCAAGCAAACTCTGAAGGGATCCTTCCCTTTTGCAAGGTCTCAAGACTTAACTTTTGAATCGTCAGGACCCTGCGTCTACAGAGTGGGAGGGCAGCAACTGCACATTTTCTTGCTGTTCCCAGGTCTGCAGAACTTTCCTCAGTCCCTCTGCCCTACCCCGCACTTATGAATAGGTCCTTTCTGAGGTCTGTCCACTGGGAGAGAATGCCTTTTTGTTGGCTGCAGCAGTCAGCAAAAAAAGGCAGTGGTGTGTCTCAAAGCCAGACTTGTGAGCACACAGGGGAGATGTCGGGGCCTCAGGGATGTGATCCTGGCCTTGTGCACAGGTCCAGCTACCGCATTCCCTGGCATAATATACAAAGAGCTCAACCCTAACCGTGGCCCTCAAGCGGTCAGGGTGGGGCCATAAGGCTTATTTGACTTATATTTCCCTGTGGACCACCCTTCCTGAGCCTGAGTGTTGAATGGACCAAAGAAATGGGACCATTCAACACACAGCTGAGGAGCTTGCTGGACCCATGAGTCCAGCTCCATTTTAAGTCACAGGGGATTTATGAAGTTTGGGGTGAGAGGACAGGGAGGAAGCTTCAGGTGGCTCAGGGGTATTGTTAAAATGACCTGAAGATGGCCTGGTGCGGTGACTCACGCCTGTAATCCCAGCACTTTGGGAGGCCAAGGCGGTTGGATCATCTGAAGTCAGGAGTTTGAGACCAGCCTGGCCAACATGGTAAAAGCCCGTCTCTACTAAAAATACAGAAAATTAGGTCAGGTGCAGTGGCTCACGCCTGTAATCCCAGCACTTTGGGAGGCCAAGGTGGACGGATCACCTGAGATCAGGAATTCGAGCCCAGCCTGACAGACATGGAGAAACCCTGTCTCTACTAAAAATACAAAATTAGCCGGGCGTGGTGGCACATGCTTATGATCCCGGCTACTTCGGAGGCTGAGGCAGGAGAATCGCTTGAACCTGGGAGGCAGAGGTTGCGGTGAGCTGAGATCACGCCATTGCATGCCTGGGCAACGAGTGAAACACCACTAAAAAAAAAGAAAAAAAAATGGCCAGGGGCGGTGACTCACGCCTGTAATTCCAGTACTTTGGGAGGCTGAGGTGGGTGGATCACCTGAGGTCAGGAGTTTGAGACCAGCCTGGCCAACATGGTGAAACCCCGTCTCTGATAAAAACACAAAAATTAGCTGGGTGTGGTGGCAGGCGCCTGTAATCCCAGCTACTCGGGAGGCTGAGGCAGGAGAATCACTTGAACCTGGGAGGCAGAGGTTGCAGTGTGCGACCACAGGCCATTGTGCTCCAGCCTGGGCAACAAGAGTGAAACTGCCACACACACACACACACACACACACACACACACACACACACAAAAGACATGAAGACTGCACTCGAGCAGGATTTTGTAAGAATCACAGTAAATGGATTAGCTGAATCCAATCAAATTATTTAGGAACCTGGGAGGTAGGGAGTAGCCATGCCTATGGGTGGGAGACAGAATCAAAACAGATTTTAGTATCATGTAATGGTATAACTTTAACCCAGAAAAAAAAGATTCAAAACCAACCCCTCTGAAGGAAATGAACCTGAAGCTTTCTGTTTTCACTGTGATTATAAAAAGGGCTGTTTTTTCATTTGGTGCTTAGAAAGAATTGTCCCAGACATAAGCAGCTCCAGCAAGAGTTCAGCACTTCTTTCCATCATACAAGTTCTGTTCTTTCCCAGGGCTGCCCTTGTGTCTGGTTATCTCTCTTCCTGCAAGGACTGCAAAGACTGGATGCATGTTAGATTGGGAATCAGTTAAAGACACAGGATTTAATCTGCCATACTGGGGAAGGTCTCAAACCTGTCACATGGCTTCATGGTATTACGGAAAAAGGACGGACTTTGATGTCAAAAAGTTCTACAGTCACTGGGAGCTGCGGTGGCTCAGGCCTGTTGCCCTGGCACATAAGGAGGCGAGGCTACGTGTTTGAGGCCAACCTGGGCAACATAAAAACCTCTCATCCATTCAAAGAAAAAGAAAAAAGAAAAAAAAAGTTCTACAGTGAAATCCCTGCATTGTGTGCTTTAGGCAAACCACTTGAGCTTTCTGAGCCTTTTGGGAGCCTTGTCTGGACTTGGTCTCTACTGTCCTAAGTACTCACAGTGGAGCTAGGCTTCCCTGCATTCACCATCCTACTGTCTAAAGAACAGGAAGAGAGACAAACGAGATAAGCTCTGACCAAGTGGGCAGTACTTTCTCCTAGAGATAGGTCAGTCACTTTCCATTTCCTAAAACTGGGCTTTCACCATTCACACTGGGAAATATCTGTGATATACTCAGGCCCTGCATCTGGTTCCCTCTGGCCACGTGATGAAACCAACATCAGAGCTTTCCAGGAAACAAGGCTGGTCATCAGGTTGCAGAAAACAAGCAGATAAATACTTGACCGTCTCAAATCTCTGCCTCCAAAGATCACCGATAAAAATGAGCCAGCTCTCTTATTTCAAGAAAGCTTGGGTCTTTGGCTTAGAAATCAGAAGACAGGCGGCTGGGTCCGCGGTGGCTCATGCCTGTTATCCCAGAACTTTGGGAGGCTAAGGCGGGCCGATTGCCTGAGGCCAGGAATTCGAGACCAGCCTGGTAAACATGGCGAACCCTGTCTCTACTAAAAACACAAAAACTAGCCAGGCGTGGTGGTACACGCCTGTAATTCCAGCTACTCAGTAGGCTGAGGCACATGAACTACATGAATCCAGGAGGCAGAGATTGCAGTAAACCAAGATTGCACCACTGCACTCCAGCCTGGGCAACAAAGCGAGACTGTTTCCAAAAAATAAAAATAGAGTAGGAGCTAGACCAGCAAAGGGGTAAGAGCATATTCCAGATAGGGGGCTCCCAACTATGGGCAAAAACATAAAGGAAGCTCAGTGCTCTTGGCAGAAAAGTTCAAAGTAAAGGGTGGAAGGTTACAAATTAAAGAGGCCAGGTCATGGAGACTGTTAGATGTTACATTTAATGGCTTGGACTTGATCTTTTAACTCAGTGGCTGACAAGCAAGCTGCAGTATACTGATGTGTTATGAATCCACTATAAGCATACTGCCAAAGCTTGACCAGAATGTAAAAA